>NC_000017.11:14733535-15036565 GCF_000001405.40 Homo sapiens | reverse complement strand
CTGGACTGATCCTCCTGAACATCTTCACTATAGCTTTTAGAAAAATTACAGAAAGCGGTTCACTGAAGTAACTGCCAAAATAGCTGATTCGGAAGGGGAGTTGGCACTTGGAGGAAGGAAATGGCACCCGGTGAGTTTCCAAGGCTTCTAGCTTGTGAGTAGGCTAGATCAGTGTCATGCAGATTGACTAAATTCCAAGAGAAAACCCAGTCTCTCTGGCCTCAAAAATCAGAGAACAGAATTTGTGACAACTACTGCCACTAGAAAGGACGAGGGGTGGCACATGGAATTCAAGAAAAGAGAGAGCCAGAGAGAAGTCGTCCAAATTTCACACATAAACTCTGCCCATATCTCCGGCTAACCCCCTCAACTAGATATGTATGACTGACTCAATGCGGCTTAAGTATTAAAGAACTGAACTGAGATTTGAGATGCTACCCAAGAGACATAATTTGCAACTTGAGCAACCAAGTATATTGCCTGTTGAAATGGACAATTTACATACTTTGGAATAATATAACACTCCAGAGTCACCACAACATAAAATTCACAACATCCAGGATATAATTACAAATTACTCAATACATAAAGAAACAAGAAAATTTAATCGATTCTTAAGAGAAAACACAGCAATGAGCCCAACCTTAAGAGAACTCAGAAGGTGGGATTCTCAGAAGAGGATTTTAAAGCAGTTATAACTATGCTCAATGCTGACATACAAATAATCAATAAACAGAAAGGAAATCTCAGCAGACAAATAGAAACTATTAATAAAAACCACAAGTTAAATTCTAGAACCAGAAATACAATACCTGAAATTAAAAAAAAAAATCACTGGATGGACTTAATGTAAGTGAATGAGGAGAGCGTCAGTGACTGTAAAGATACATTAATAGAAATTCCAGTCTGAAAAATAAAAGGAGAAAAAGATTAAAAAATAAAAATGGTGGCTCAGTGACCCACAGACAATATCATAAGGTTTAACCTACACGTGACTGGAATCCCGGAAGAAGAGAAGAGGGAGATAATGGGGCAGAAAAAAAATATTTAAAAAACTAGGCCAGGCGCGGTGGCTCACGCCTGTAATCCTGGCGCTTTGGGAGGCCGAAGCAGGCGGATCACGAGGTCAGGAGATCGAGACCATCCTGGCTAACACGGTGAAACCCCATCTCTACTAAAAATACAAAAAAATTAGCCAGGCGTTGTGGTGGGTGCTTGTAGTCCCAGCTACTCGGGAGGCTAAGGCGGGAGAATGGCGTGAAGCCGGGAGGCGGAGGTTGCAGTGAGCCGAGGCTGCGCCACTGCACTCCACTGGGCGACAGAGTGAGACTCCGTCTCAAAAAAAAAAAAAAAAACAAAAACATAAAACAAAAACTAATGGTTGATAATTTCCCAAATTGGTTAAAAGACATAAATTTACAGACTCAAAAAATCAGTAAACATCAACCAGGATAACTATACTTACAGAAAAAGTCATAGAAACAGAGGTAAATGAATATTCTATCTCTCTCTTTTTTTTTTTTTTTGAGACATAGTCTTACTCTGTCGCCCAGGGCTGGAGTGCAATGTCGCGATATACCCCCACTGCAACCTCCGCCTCGCCTCCAAGTTCAAGCAATTCTGCCTCAGCCTCTTGAGTAGCTGGGATTACAGGTACTCGCCACCACGCCCGGCTAATTTTTGTATTTGTAGTAGAGACGGGATTTCGCCATGTTTGTCAGGCTGGTCTTGAACTCCTGACCTCGTGATCCAGCCATGTTGGCCTCCCAAAGTGCTGGGATTACAGGAGTGAGCCACTGTGCCCAACCTAATGCATACTCTTGAGGACAAGAAAGAGAGGAAAGAACCTTTTTTTGTTTTGTTTTTGTTTTTTGAGTCACAGTCTCGCTTTGTCGCCCAGGCTGGAGTGCAGTGGTGCGATCTCGGCTCACTGCAGGCTCCGCCTCTCTGGTTCACTCCATTCTCCTGCCTCAGCCTCCTGAGTAGCTGGGACTACAGGCGCCCGGCTAATTTTTGTACTTTTAACAGAGACGAGGTTTCACCATGTTGGCCAGGCTGGTCTCGAACTCTGGACCTCAGGTGATTTGCCTACCTCGGCCTCCCAAAATGCTGGGATTACAGGCGTGAGCCACCGCGCCTGGCCTGGGGGACCTATTTTAACTTCAGCATCCCAGTCTTCTCCTTGTGAAGTGAAGAAATTGGGGCCCAGGGGAGTCGCACTCAGAGCTGTGCTGCTCTTTCTAGACTCCACTTCAGACACTGGGGTATTAGGTTCCCTAAGCAAATGGCCTCAACCCCATTTCCAAAGACTGCGAGGGCCTCTTTTCCAGGTCTGTTTGGCAGAGTGATCCAAGGAGCTGCTATTAAGAGGCGTGCTGGGGAAAGAGCGTGAACAGGACTTGGGCATGTGGGTTGAGAAGCTACACACAAACGTGGGGTGGGAACCTCATTTGTATTCTTTCTCTGGGTCACACAAATATTAGGGACAGACATGCATGGAGCATATTTGCTATCATCTCAGGGGAGTGAAGGGAAGTTACAGAGAAGCTCGGTAACTTGTTTAAAGTCAAAGTAGGAGGCAGATGTGGAATTTGTATACATTGCTAGCCTCAAATCTTGGGATTTTTTAAAAAATCAATTCTACTCTTTCATTTAACAATTATTCTTATTCTCCCCCCCCCCACCGCTGCTTTGAAGTAGCTAACAGTTGTGTAAGCACATGCATTGTGTAAGGCACAATGGTGGCTGCAGTCATCTTTGTGATCATTGTGGTGTGCCATCCAGACCCCCTTTCATTAAAATACCTATTGCTGCAGCTGCTGAGCTTGTTGTCAGCACCCAGCATCCAGCTGTTAGCCCTTCCAGATTGCCTCAGCTGCAGAAGGACCCCTCACCCAAATACATGACCCCATCCCTGGTAGAGTTCACACCCAGTGACTGGTAGATGCAGGATGCAGGCCTGGTGATCTCAGCCTTACTAGGACAATGCTAAGTTTGCTCCGGAGCTCCCCATAGGGTAGGCTGAGGCTGTCATTTGGATTTGGACTTCATTGTCATGAATTTGCTCACAGTTTCCTTCTGACCATTCCTGCTTTTTTCCCCTTCCTTCTACAGAACTTGATACCAAAGATGTTCTTTAATAAATATTCTGCATGCTAACCTATATCTCGGAGTCTGCTTTCTGGAAAATCCAACTACAATAGTGATCCTTACATAAGATGCAGATAGACTAGTTTCTGTTCCTAGTACCTTAGTGGGGAAAGTAGGGCATGAATCTAAGTTACAACAGTATTAGATAAGTGTAGTAAGAAGTAGGGGATGTGGAATCACTCTGTAAGGCACGATTACCATATTAGGGATGCCAATCCCTTCTTCCATGCCCTTACACCTCCTCTTTAGAGAGTCTGATCTTTCCACGTCCCTGGAAGGAACAGTCAAAGGTGCCATGTAGTCATGTACCTTCTTTCACAGTTGACTTGTCACGGAGTGGACATCACCCCCAGGGGAAAACAACCCATTGGCTTGGTTTGGCTATTAGCTTTTCCTCCAAGACATTTGAAATTGAGACATAGTGAGAACCTACTCTGTTTCCACTGGACTCTGGAATCGATGAAACAAATAAACCACCAGATATATGCAAAATCCAGAGAGCGGATGAGAAGAGAGCAACAACAATGAAACATATATGAATAGAGAAGCAGACAAGTGAGAACGGGGTGCTTCAGAGATGGACAGAGTAACTTCCATTCCTGATTTTCTGGTTTCTCTTACTCCAATTTCATATGAGACCTGGCTGCATTTTATGCCTTAGGTTCTGTGAGTTAGCCCTGTATTTTTTTTATTAAATACATTTAGCTTTTTTTGGCGAAAAAAGTCTGTTTCTTGTGATAATATTGGAGTAAGACAATCATAAGGGGGAGGGATTTGAATTGGGAATTGCTGGAAACGAGATTTCAATATGGGAAGATGAAAGGATCTTGGAATTCAAGGCAAGGAGAACATCACACACAAAGGTGCTGAAACACATACTTGTTGGACATATTTGGCGGATGATGAATGAGCCAGCTTGGTCAACATGGGTTGAACAGAAAGCAAAATAACAGGATAAATGCTTGTAAGACTGACGGGAAAACTTTGATTAATCGATGGAGCTGGCCTGGATTTTAAAAATCTGTTTATTCTTTTTAGGAATTCCCAAAGGCTATAGAAGACAGAGAATAAGGGTAAAAAACAGTAAAAGTTGGCTGTTGGAAGAAGTGAAAAAATAAAAATAGGGCAATGGTGTCTTACATGCAGCAGGGTAATAAGAGATGAATGAAAATCGGCAGTGAAATAAAAGGAATCAGTGGGGTACTAGCAGGGAATTTGGGCTTCCTGCTGAGTGATAGAGGGGAATAGGCTGTTTCTTAGGCATAACATTACATTTGCCACATGTGGCTGCACAGGCTGGGCCCTGCCGGCTCCAAGGAAGGACTCCCCCTTACAAAGACTTCAAAGTGAATCGTGCCCCTGGGCTTCTGCAATAGGGGTGGCCTTGCTCCTAAGTCATAACTCTGTGTATCCCCACAACATCTTTCAATTGATGGCCATAAAAATCCCAATTCAAACTGGTTTTAAAACAGGGACTTTATTGGCTCATTTAACTGAAGAGTGAAGAGGCATACGGGCTTTGGGGGTGGATTCAGAAGTCCACACCCTCAGCGCTCTGACTCCAGACCTCTTTGATCCTTTCAGAGCATCTCTTCTCTGTGTGTCAACTCTGTCCTCTGGTTAGGTCCTTTGATGGCCAAAATGGCTTTAGTAGTCTCACATCCAATTTCTTTATAACTCTCCCTACACAAAAGAATAGACTCTTCTTCCATGGTTTCTCCAAACCCTGATTAAATATCTCCTCACGTCTCATGGACCTAAATTAGGTCTTGTTCATCCAGGTAGTGTACAGATGAATGTCTAGCAATGCTCTCTCCCTGTCTGTCTCTCTCAAAAAAGAAAAAGAGGTAAAAATGAAAAAAAAAAAAAAAAAAAAAAACCCTGACATGCAGCGTTTGATTTTTATGGCATAAACTCTCTCACCATGGCTGATTTCAAACTACCAATGCGATGTCCCTGGACCCAGCGTGCGGTAGAGGGGCCTGCAGTGGACTCTCTGAAGCCCCTGGGAGCTGGCTCCAGCAGTCGGCTAGGTCTGTCCCTGAACCAATTCCTGTGAATAGGTAGATAAGCCCTGCTGATTGGCTTAGGAAAATCAAAGGTGGCTGATGAAGCTTGTTGGGGTTAGTTCCATTCTTCCACATGTAAGGTAGGGATGGAGAAAGTGGATAACAGTTGGCCAATTGTGAAATGTCTGGTACTGTTGAAGTGAATGCAGGAAGATGAGGAAGAAAGGTAAACTATTAGAGAGAGGAAGGCAGATAATGGAGTGAGATGTGGAAAAGGAGTCAAAGATAATGATTGGGTGGCTTACCCAGAGCACGAAGCATGGGGGACAATGAAGAGGAGCGAAGTTAAGGAGTAAGGAGAGATTGACTACAGTATTCATCTTTGCACTAAACTATTCATCCAAGCTCTCTACAGTTTGGCCCCAGTTCATTTTCCACGTCTATTTGGGAGGCCGTATAGTGTCATGGGGACTAGTCTCATGATCTTGGCTGAGTTTGGGAAGCAATTCTGAACCTCTGCTCTCCTCAGAGCTTCATGGGGGTGTTGTGAAGATTAACTCAGCCTACGAGAAGGTGTAGGGCATAATGGCCATGAATGAAGTCTCTGGGGCTGGGCTGCCTCACTCAAACTCCAGTTCCAGCAGTTATTGTCTATGGGACCTTGGGCAAGTTGATTAAAATCTGCACCCCAGGTTTTGCATCTGTAAAATGGAGACTACCATAGTATTTTTCTCTAAGGTTGTTATGAGAATCATATGAGTTACTTATAGCTTATAGAGTTAAAGTGATTATATATATATATATATAATTTACTTATAACTTACAGAGTTAAAGTGGTTTTATATATATATTACATAATTTACTTATAACTTATAGAGTTAAAGTGGTTATATATCTATTATATAATTTACTTATAACTTATAGAGTTAAAGTGGTTATATATATATATAAAGTGGTTATTATAACTTATAGAGGTAAAGTGGTTATTACAAAAAGTACCTGGAAAATGACAAGTACTGTTCAGAAGTGACAGCAATAGTTGTGTATTTAGCAGAATGTTAGGCAAATAGGAGATACTAGATAGTCATTAGCTACACTTATTATTATGACCACCTGCTACTGCCTTAGCCAGTATTTTGTTTTGTTTTTAGAAACGAAGTCTCACTCTGTCACCTAGGCTGGAGTGCGGTGGTGCAATCACTGCTCACTGCAACCTTGCATTCCTGGACTCAGGGTGTCCTCTCCCCTCAGCCTCCTGAGTAGCCAGGACTACAGATCTGCAACACCTTGCGTGATACCCAGATTTTATGCTCTAGCCAATGTTCACATTTCCTGCTGTTCACTAGAAAAATGATTGCAGGACTGAGTGGGAAATGCAGACCACATCCATACATTTCTTCTTCTAAACTCTCAAACACTGTGTTTGTAGCTCTGTGGGCACTATTTCAGCTGCACAGTTTTGTTTTCTGTGGACTTTCCTCATTTGCTCACATTCTTGAAGTGAGAGGGTGGCTTGGCCACTGTGGGCAGGGTTTAAATCATATTGGCTTTATTGTGTCACCAAGGAGCTCCTGGATCACTAAGAAAGAGTACATATGCTGATTTCAATGCATTAAACTCATTTTAACATAATCTAAGATATCTTGTTCGTGGGTCTTGGATCTTGGCTTTTTCTACTGTTATATAGGAGAAAAGAATGGGCTTGTGTATCAGGCAGGGTCCCAGCAGGGGGCAGAATTCACCCCAGGTGCTTCAAATGCACCTATTAATGCATAAAAGCCTAATGCATTAATAGGTTTTAATACAGGGATGAACTAAAGAGTGGCAGGGCTAAGGAAACCAACCAAGGGTGACAAGGCACCCAGAGAATAGTAACAGTGGGAAGTGTTACTTCCCTAAGTGATGAAGCAGGACACTGTGTTTTCAGAGCCCAGGGAAGGTGGAGTCCCGGAGCAGGAGCCACCAAGTTAGAGCTGTTGTCACCGTGACGCCCAGCTTCTCTAAGAAACATGGACCTAAGGTAGGGAGGGGAGAAGAGTAAAGGCTTGCCTTGCCTGCTCCTTTTTCTCACACTCAGATCTTCTGCCAGGGCCACCCATTGGCTGAACTCAACCAGGAACCTGCCATCAAGGAAGCCTGGGGGACTCAGTCCTCAGAGGTCAGCCTGCTGGGGCAGGGGACAGGACCGAGAATAGAGAATGGATAACATGAATTTTAAAAATATATTTTCTATGTTACTGTATATCCAAAAGAGTATCATTTCAACATGTCAATGATATAAAAATTATGATGTTGATGATTTGCATTCTTCTTTTTTTGTACTAAGTCTTCAAATCTAGTGTGTATTTTATTCTCCTAGTGTATTTGAATTCAGACCAGCCACATTTCTGGGGCTTAATAGCCATCTGTGTCCAGGGGCTATTACCTTGGAAAGTGCAGTTCTATAGTTCTAGTCTGTTATCAGTATCTTTGGACGTAAACATGGAAACAAAAAAAAAATGTCAATACAATAAAATGACACCTTAGTGAAGAATAATTGTAAAATATTATGCCATTAAAGTCTTCAGGAAATCTAAGCCCACATTCTAGGATTTAGAGTGCTTATTAACAGAGCTGATGAATGATTAAAAAGTCTTTTTCTCCTTGTAAAAACACGCTTTCTTTTCATCAAACAGAGCAAAAGGAACCAACAACGCAATATGCAGATTATTTATGAATCTCTCAACTTTGAGAACCAGATGTAATACAAGTCTGCTATGTGTAAAAACTAAATCAGTGTTAAACACATGTATCAAAAGTATGTGCCTATAATAGGATCTGTTTTCAAACACTCACTGAATGTATACCACATGTAAAGGAGCTTTATCGCCATGACCAGAAAATGTCACTACTTTCTACTCAGAATTTTTCCTTAGAGTAATAAAGCTGGACAGCATTCTTTGTGGAACTTCAGATGACTATGATTTCTTTTTCCATGAGATTAGATTTTGTTATTTCCTAATCTTGTACAATTTCCAGTTTGTGACAACATGGTTCATGTCCTTGCAATTTGGGAATGGTTGCTTGTTTTGGTTTTCCAAATGAGATGGTTTTGTATAAAAAGCTTTTAAACTGTATCTTTAGTTTTCCTGATTTAATTCTCAGCTAGGGAGATTTCTCCTGTTACCTCTGAGTCTCCCAATTTTCTCTTGCTGATGAAGGAGAAAATGTGTACAAATATGCATTTTTCTAAGGATACAGTATGATATTGCTGTATTGCTTTTACGTAAACTTCTCTGACAGCTTTACCTTTTGGAAAGGGAAATGGAGCAAAATTGTATTCTGTCTATTGCTATTAGAAATTGGATTGAAATAGCTCAGTAAGCAATTTTTTGCAACCTGTTGATTATGTGGTCTACTTCTGGCAGGCAAATCCAAGCATATATTAGAATATATTTAGGAACAATGAAAATTATGCCAGCTTAAATCTCTCCTGCCCTTCAGCCTTTTCTCTCTTCTAGAATATTTTATCTTCATTGAACATTCATCTACTTCTGAAAGGATCAGGAAATGCTCGGCTTTCATGCTTTTCTGCCTTCTCTTCAAGAGTGCCAAGTGGCCAAGAAGGACTCTTTTCCCAGAAGTATGTGTGTGCCCATTTGAAAATTCTAGGGCTTCCAAAACCATGTCTGTGACTTGATGTTAGCATTCCGAAGAGTCTTTATTCATGGTTTAAGCACTTGATGAAGAGTCTTCAGAGTAAACTCCTGGCTAAAGATGGATGGCCTGAGGTGATCCAAAGGCCAAATAATTTCCAGACATTTCTTTTGGATGGAAACACATGTCTTTCCCTTGGCATTAATCTCCTTGGGAGATAAACAGGCAGACCCCAACTTATAAATAGACTTTTCAGAAATTTCATTTGAAGGTCAGTTGCTTAGAATGGGTAGTGATTTCTTTCTATAGAAGTAATATTATAAATGGCAGTTAAGGATCAAAGTCAGCCCAAAAATTCTTACTTAACCCAGACCTCGGTTGAAATAGCGCAATGGCAAAGAATGGAAAACACAAGAGCCATACTGTGTGCATCTTGCATCCTTGTAGAAGTGGCATCTCATGGTGATGATGGGCACAGCTTCTGGGGCCACTGACTGTGCTTGAATCCAGGCTTGGACACGCACTTGCTGTGTGACTTTGGGTAGGTCACTTGGCTTCTCAGTTTCTTCATTCATAAAAGGGGCATGATATTAAGATCTATCTCATGGAGCTGTTGTGTGAGAATTTAAATACACACACACACGCGTGCACACACACACACGTGCATTATTAGAACAGTTCCCGGAACTCAGGAAACACCATGTGATTGTTTGCTCTCATTCTTGGTTCTAGTAACTGGCAAGATGCTGGATCTATTTCAGCCACTGTTTCATATTTCAGTGAACAAAGAGCAATACTGAAGGAGTATTAACAACAAAACAACGAGGAAAAAAAGTAGTAGATGGCTTATCCCCACCCGCCACCCCGCCCCATAGCATTACTGTTTAGGGGAAATAAGATGAATTAGAGGAAACAGGAAACAGATAGGTGCTGACATTGAATTATAGGACACTTTCAGTGTTTCCAAAGGTTGACTCTTTTTAAAAAGTTAAGTTTTTTAAAATCATAAACAATTTGGAGAACATAGAAAAGCACAAGAGAGAAAAAGTCTCCATGTTGGAACCCCCAGAAATAGCCTCCAATAACTTTTCATTTTGTCATCTTTTGGTATTTTGTCCTATGCATCTAGACAACTCTCAAAAATAATTTATAATAATTTGATTTAAGCCATCCATATTATTTTCGCACTTGATTTATTCTCTTAGCAACATACAGTAAAATTTTTCTTCATATTCTTATACTGTGTGACTTCTAATGGCCTCATATGTTCCATCATGGACAGAATAAAACTGATACAGACAATCCTCAGTTGATGGACATTTAGGTTGTTTCCCTTTTTATACTATTCTAAATAACGTTGTTATAATTATGCATATGGATAAAAGTTTACTGTTACTCTTTATTCCTTTTAACCAAGAAGTTAAATTTCTAGAAATGTATGCATAAATGTTACTTGTAACCTAAGGCATTTGATATATTTTGCTGAGCTAGCTTTTAGAGTGTTGCAATTCATCTTCTTTTCCGGCAACTCAAATGCAATGTTTTAGGAAGTTTTCTAAATTCTGACACTGAGAATGTATTTAATCTTGCCAATCTGTTAGATGAAAGGGGCATCTCATGATTTTAATTTTCATTTTTTATCTGATGTTGAACATTTTTCATATGTTTATTGTCCATGGGAATTTCTTTTGTCAATTACCTCTGCATGTTCTTTGACCATTTTTCTATTACTGTTCAGTTTTCATTTTTTTCTGTTTCCCTTAAGAAAAACCATTTTTTTCTTCTGTATTCACACAATACAAAAACGTATCTAGAAAGGAAAATAAATTGCACTGTGTGCTCCGGGCGAGACTGTTATTGGAAAGTTAGGTGAGGCCCCCCCAGGGACTGCTCATAGGAGCCTCTGCTGCACTGAGCAGTGAAGCTGAGAGCGGGTGACTCAAAGCAAAGAGGGATCACACGCAGGGTCCAATGGCTGGAACAGGAAGGAAACTCAGGACCCAGCAGTATCGGATATATGGATAGATATTAATTATTATAGGTATGGGAAAATAATTGAAAAATTAAAATAAGAGGAGGATGAATTATTACGTGAAAGATTTTGAAAATATCAGACAAGTTGGGTCAAACAATTCTGCTGCTTTCTGAATGTCAGTTAAGTGGTCTCATTGATGAAGACTATTTTTAATATTTTACGAAATAATAAGAATAATGTAGCCCAAAGACAGTTCACATCCCTACCACTGGAAAACAACAGTAAGAGCAAGCTATAAATAATAAATGTACAATTATTTTCAATTGATTAAATTATGGTTTAACTAAGTAGCAAGAAAAGGACAGGTTCTCAGTTAATTATTAAATTCTCAAAAAATTTAAATTTTATTTACCTAAGATAAAACACTGAACGGTAGGAGTCCCTCTTTGCAAAAGAAATAGAATTACAAGATGCATAATTTGGCAAGAATGGCAGAATGTTGAAAAAGTAAGAACATTGAAAAGGGAAAAAGAAGAAAGTCATATGCAAATATTACACAAAAACACAAATATACGATAGAAGTGGAATGGCAGATATCTTAAAGGGGTGGCGGCATAGATATAATACAATACAAATTACAAGTCATGGCTGGGTGAGTTGGCTCATGCCTGTAATCCCAGCACTTTGGGAGGCCGAGGCGGGCGGATCACGAGGTCAGGAGATCGAGACTATCCTGGCTAACAGGGTGAAACCCTGTCTCTACTAAAAATACAAAAACAAAATTAGTCGGGCATGGTGGCATGTGCCTGTAATCCCAGCTACCCGCGAGGCTGAGGTGGGAGAATGGCGTAATGGCGTGAACCTGAGAGGTGGAGCTTGCAGTGAGCCAAGATCATGCCACTGCACTCCAGCCTGGGCGACAGAGCAAGACTCCGTCAAAAAAAAAAAAAAAAAAAAAAAAATTACAAGTCATTGGTAAAATTCAATATAAAGCTTAGAAGAATTAGAAAAAAAAATCTTGGAGATTCACATGCCAGAAGGTATGGAAATCATATACTTAGGAAACTATACTAATAAAAGGAGCAGATATAATATTCAACACCAATGGAGACAAAAAGCTGGATTCTCGATTAGAAATACCTGTGGGACATGGCTATTTGGGGGTCGGTGGGATGGTAGAAATGCACACAGTTAGAAAAACTTGGAGTCAGAGAAATGTTACCTGCAGCAGCAGCTGCATGATAGGCCCAGATGGGCCCTAATGGGAGTTAGCAGAGGGTGGAGAGTAGCGGGTAACAGGAGAAAGACACTCCGAGTGAGTAAGCAGGGGTCCGTATGACCTAGTGGGAGATGACAGGAATAACTGGACTCAAACCGGTTGTACCCAGGTGATTTGGCAGGAGGTGGTGAGGTAGGGGGTGGGACTGGACTCGAGGTGGGACTCAGACACCGGACCAAATTGAGGACTAGCTAAGACAGAAATGGAGTGGAAGCAGCTTTACATAAGACATGCCCACCAATGTGCTACATCAGTTTACCACTGCCATGGCAACACCTGGAGTTACCGCCCCTTTCCACGGCAATCATTCTTTTGCATAACCACCCCTTAATCGGATGTACATGTAATTAAAAGTGGGTATAAATATGACTGGGAACCGCCCTGAGCTGCTCCTCCCAGCACATTACCTTATGGAGTAGTCCTGCTCTGCAGGAGCAGTCACAGAGCTGTATCACTGCTGGAGCTGTAACACCGCCTCTTCAATAAAGCTGTTTTCTTCCACCCTACCACTGGCTTACCTTTGAATTCTTTCCTGGCCCAAACCAAGAACTTTTGTGGGCTAAGCCCCGCTTTGAGGCTCTCCTGCTGGATATGCAGGGGCACCCAAAAGGGGAAGGCAATAATTGGAGAGCTATAGAGTTGGCACAGGAGTTCAGCTGCTGAAGTGGAATTTACCAAAGGTACATCTTTGGGGGATGGGCAGGAGCTGAGCAGAGCCTCTCTCCTAGGAAGATGAGTACTGGTTAGAACCATGACTCAGGAGAGTCTGTTAACTCATGGATCTGCCTTACCACTTCCTGGGCTGCAAGCTGGGGTCGTGACCGTAGGGCCGTAGGGCTAGCACAGGAGATAAACTACCAGAAGGTAGAGGCCCTGCATTTTGAACGAATGCACCTTTGGTACCCTAAAACCTAAAGTATAATAAAAAATAAAAATAAAAAAATAAACAAAGTAAAAAAAAAGAATTTATAAAACAAAAAACAAAAAACAAAAACAACAACAAAAACACCTCAATTCTGAGGACTGGGATATGGCCAGTGCTGAAGGTAGAGCAAGTTGCAGACCAACAGGCCCAAATGATGGAAAGGGGAATGAATCAAACAGCAAGAAAAAGAAAATGGAAAAGAAATGAAAGGAAATCCATGTTTATACAAGTGTTTGCATTTGGAATAGAAAATAGAGTCTGTAAGAGAAAATAATTGTAGAGTGTTGGGAAAAATTATGAATTTGATATGGTAAAAATCCTTTTTAAAGTGCTTTATTTATCTGGAATTCAGCATGTAGATCTTACTAACCAAATCCAGTCCTTCAAACACCTGAGCTCTAAAAAGAATTCACCATTTGGATTAAAATATCTCTAAAATATCTATTATTTTATCCCTCACTTACACAGAGTCTATTGAACTTTTGGCACAGATTCAGGGTCAGAGTTATAAACATCCCGCACTGCACTGTGGAAGTGCATGCTCTGCCTGCTCCTTGCTTCTCCAGTTCTCTCTCTCGGTGTGGGATTATCAACCATCGTTTCCACCATCAGGGTGCCCCTTCCTATAGAGCTGCTTCTTTCCCCTTTCTCTTCAATTTATTTCTTTGCTATCCAATGAAAAGTTGGATCTTGTCAGAATTCAAATCAATTTAAAGAAGGAAGAGAAATTTAGTGGTTCCACATGAACAAACCCAGAGGAGGAGTAGTAACCTCTGTAACGAGGGAGTTACACACCATCAGGAAACTGCTGGTTTCCCTTCTCTGCTTCCCTGTTCCTGTGGCTACCTCGTCACAGTGCAACACAACTGCATGGTTGACAATATGGCCTCCAGCATGGCAACATCTCCATGTCTGGAGAAGGGAAAAGGCTTCTCTCATTTTTTTTTAGAGATGGGTCTTACTATATTGCCCAGGCTGGCCTGAAACTCCTAGGCTCCAGGAATCTTCCCACTTCAGCCTCCAGAGTAGCTGGAACTGCAGGCACATGCCACTGCACCCAGATACCTCTTCCAATTTAACTAGAAAAAAACTTCCTAGAAAGTGCGCTGATTGGCCAGGCTTAAATCACACATTCATCCCTTGAGCCATGGCAGGGGATGGTGGTGAGGCAGTGTGAATAACTCTGATTGGGTCATTTGTTTACCGCTTGTGGCCAGGGATCAGAACACCTTTTTTTTTTTTTTTTTTTTTGAGACAGAGTCTTGCTCTGTCACCCAGGCTGGAGTGCAGTGGCGCAATCTTGGCTCACTGCAAGCTCCGCCTCCTGGATTCAGGCCATTCTCCTGCCTCAGCCTCCGGAGTAGCTGGGACTACAGGCGCCCGCCACCACGCCCAGCTAATTTTTTGTACTTTTAGTAGAGATGGGGTTTCACTGTTAGCCAGGATGGTCTCGAACTCCTGACCTCACGATCTGCCCGTCTCAGCCTCCCAAAGTGCTGGGATTACAGGCGTCAGCCACTGCCCCCGGCCAGGACATCTTATAAGAAGGGAGGCTATGGTGGAAGAATGATCACCACTGAGAGAATCATTGTGAGCCAGGAGGCAGTCTCAATTTGTGTTCGTTATTACAGACAATCAAACTTGTGAAGAATTTGAGATGATGAAATAAACAAGACAGTAAATGAGGGCACCTAGGATGTGGTGGGAGACATGCAAGGATCTGTAGAAACTGCAGCGTGGATCTGGGTTTGCTTATTCCTAAGTGGCACTGGGTAACAGGAATGTTTCTGTAAGTACCAAATGGAAATACTTTCCTGTAATGCAGAACTTGTGGGATCACTTTCTGTAAAGATTTTAGGACAGGGTTGATACATGCTTGTCAGGAATAGATGAAAAAAAATGCAAGTCTGCAGGAAGCAGGGACAGATGCCCCAAAGTGCACTTTAATCTTTCACATTTACAGAAATAAAAAAGTGGTCTGGGCAAATGTCTCCTTAAGAACCATTTACGACTCTTGTAGGGTTTTACAAGGACACTGCTAAGGTCCCAGTGAAAAGCCTAGCACCAGCCTGAGCCTACTGAAAGAGATCCCGAGACTCAAGGGCCCCAAGTGACAATGGCCCCAGGCTATGTCCTGCTGTCCCTCCAGCCCGCCCTCAAAACTCAGTGAGAATGTAGCATCTATAAACAGGTAATGAGATGGAGTACGGACTCCCACTTGGGCCTGTGGAACCCCCAACCGTGGAAATAAGGGAAAATCTTGAGTTCCTCCAAGGGAAATTCTAGACACCTAGCCAGCCCTGAGAAGCAAATGAGCAACTCGATTAAGCAAGAAGGTAACAGTGGCTTTAAAACAACAGCCAAGGAAGTTAGAGTCAGGAGATGTTTGGTTCCCTACAGAAACTAAAGATAACACTTTTTTTCTTTTATTTTAGGTTCAAGAGGTACACGTGCAGGTTTGTTACATGGGTGAATTGTGTGCTGCACGGGTTTGGTGTACAGATAATTTTGTCACCCAGATAATCAGCATAGCACCCAGGAGGTAGTTTTTCATTCCTCACCATCCTCCACCCTCAATAGGCCCCAGGGTCTACTGTTCCCTTCTTTGTGTCCACGTGTACTCAGTTTGTAGCTCCCACTTAAAAGTGAGAAAATGCTCTATTTGGTTTTCTGTTCCTATGTTAATCCACTTAGGATAATGGCCTCCAGCTCCATCTATGTGGCTGCAGTAAGGACATGATTTATGACTGTGTAGTATTCCATGGTGTGTATGTACCATATTTTCTCTATCCAGTCCATCACTGATGGACATAAAGATAACATCTCTTCTTTTATTTATTTATTTATTTATTATTATTATTATTTTTTGAGATGGAGTCTCACTATGTCACCCAGGCTGGAGTGGAGTGGTGAGATCTCAGGTCACTGCAACCTCAGCCACCCAGGTTCAAGTTATTTTCCTGCCTCAGCCTTCTGAGTAGCTAGGATTACAGGTGTACGCCACCACATCTGGCTATTTTTTTTTTTTTGTATTTTTAGTAGAGACAGGGTTTCACCATGTTGATCAGGTTGGTCTCGAACTCCTCAGCCTCAAATGAACTGCCCACATTGGCCTCCCAAAGTACTGGGATTACAGGTGTGAGCCACAGTGCCCGACCAAGATTACATCTTAACATATGTCCCTGAGTTGTTTTCTAGAAACCTAGACCCCCTCCAAATGGATCCCCTGGTGCATACACCCCAGGTAAGAAGGAACTGAGGACTGAACTCCGGACTGCCATTCTTTGTTCTAAATTTTTTCCCGAGAGGCCTGGAGGAGGTCATGCTTACAGGTTCAGACCTAACATCTTTTCTGCTGACCTCAAGTCTTCAGACAAAGTTTCACTTCCTTAATCAATTACAAATCAGAAAATCTTTGAATCTACCTGTGACCTATAAGCCCCTGATTGAAGATGTCTTGAATTTTTAGGTCAAATTAATGGATCGCCTCCATGTATTGGCTTATGACTCTGCCTGTAACCTCTGCTTCCCCACCTTAAAAACCCTTACATGTGGCCGGGCGCAGTGTCTCACCCCTGTAATCCCAGCATTTTGGGAGGCTGAAGCGGACAGATCATGAGGTCAGGAGATCGAGACCATCCTGGCTAACATGGCGAAACCCCGTCTCTACTAAAAATACAAAAAAAATCAGCTGGGTATGGTGGCGGGTGCCTGTAGTCCCAGCTACTTGGGAGGCTGAGGCAGGAGAACCGCTTGAACCCGGGAGGCGGAGGTTGCAGTGAGCCTAGATCCCGCCACTGCACTCCAGCCTGGGTGACAGAGAGAGACTGTGTCTCAAAAAACACCCTTACATTTAAGCCACTGGGGAATTCTTTTCTCAAGAATGAGCTGCCGGTTTCTCCTTGGTTGATTCCCTGCAGTAAACGCCTCACTTTCTCTCGCTGCAGATCTCAATGTCAGTGTTTGGCTTTTCTGCACTGAGCAGGCAGACCTAAATTCAGCTCAGTAATAGTATCAGTAGATTTATGTGTAGAAGAAGGCACACCTGTAACGCTAGAGAAGTGGGGCCCCCAAACAAAAACCTGTTCCATTAAAACTCCACGTTCATATTGGGCAGCCATTGAATAGACAGTGGATTCTGTGATATAACTTACTGAACCCATGAGAACATCAACAAGCATTAGGTGATGGGTTGGAGAGAGGGAATTTGCATATGGTCTTTCGAGAGTACTCTGAGGTATATTTTGAGTTCAGTCTTTGCAATTAGCTCTGTCTGGATTCAGTTCCTAACTCCATCACTTACCAGTGGGTGACTCAGGGTTAGACACATCTTTTCTGAGCCATGGAGATAATAAAAATGACCTGTTTTGTCAAGATGTAGTAAGGATTACATGCACTGAGAGGTATAGCACAATATCTAGTATATCATAAGCACATTTTCTAGTATATTTGGTAAATGTCAGGCCAATCTTCTTCTGTAGCCAAAGTGATCTCAAAATTTAAATGTGAGCATATCATTCTTCTACTCAAAACTGCCCCTATGGTCTCCCATTGCAATTGGAATGTGACCCAAAGTCCTTATCATGGTTTACAAGTCTTTATATGTCTGGTTCTTATGTTAGTTTGCAATCTAATTTTTTGTCAGTTTCCTTGTGTTTATTTTTCTGACCACATTGACTTCCTTTATATTCCTCAAATGTCCCAGCAGTTTCTGCAGCCATGAAAATGTCCCAAGATTTCCCCACAGGGTGTTATCCTCTACCTTCCTCCATCACCTGCCATTTGCAGAAGGTTTAATGAACCCCATTCCTATGGGTTTGCTGCTTGCTGGTGCTCTACTCCAGCACCAACTATGCAATTACTGTTAGACCACATTTTTCTTTCTAAAGGTTCCCGTATAATTTCCTTATAAACAAAGTACCTTGTTCATGTCCCGGTTTTGAGTCTCCCGAGTCTCCCAGGCACTGATCTTGTCTAGCACCCCACGGATGTTTTTACTCAGACTGAAAACTGAGCCACGTGTGGGATTCAAAACTCTGGCTCCTAACTCTCAAAGGGCTCACAAAGAACATTTCTCAGAGCCCCAGAGTCCATCTCCTTCTGAATACTTGATAATTTTCATTCTTGAATGCATTCCACACTTACTCACGTAAAACCCTTTGCAGAGCCCCACAATTGAAACATTTACGTGGCATGCATGATAGGCATCCTGACCAGCCATCCTGATCACATGCAAAGACCTCGCTGGTCTCCATGAATCATGGTTTTCCCTAAATGACAGAAAGACACTCTTTTCATCTGATTGCCTGGATGGGGCATGGCTCAGAAAATTGGTCTTGGTAATCCACAGACTAGACCTAGCTCCTGTAGAATTACATATGTTTTATGGTATCTGTAGTAACATGTCTGAGACACAAAAATAGGATCATTGACATTGGGGCACTTTTAGGATCTTGTGATAACTTTAGAATTTCTGATTTCCCTTCCTTTCTCTATCAGCGTGGGCCTATGTTTTCAGCTGCATTTCTGGAGGCACAAGGATTCCAGTGCAAGAAGTTTATCTGGGAGGTGATTCCAAGAAACATCAGTAAAGAGTGGGGATATAAGGCAGGGAAGGAAATGAAGCAGATACACACCACACACAACTGAGGCCTTCCTGCTGGGGAACTCTCAGTGGCAGTGTGGAAGATTCCTCCGAGGTTTCAACTCTGGTCAGTTATTGCTTGAGGGCGGTGGGGAGCTGCTAACTCCTTGGCACTTCCAGCTTTCTGGGCAGGTTCAGATAACTAGAGAAAGCGCTCAAAGAGACATAGGTGTTCATGGTTGGAAGCTGTCAGATTGATGTGTGCAGAAATGGTGACAGCTAAGATGATACAAGGGGGAAGAGTACCAACAGCGTTAACAGCAACTACTACAGCGTACCAGGAAATCATTGCCATCTTCCTGGCCATCATGATCTATGTTCAAAACTAACAAGGAATGCAGTGTAAAAAAATGACAGAAAACAGACCTTCTCTGCTCTAGGACCAGAGTTCACTCACCTTTGATGTCCTTTGCTCCCTCTGGATGCTGTCTCTGATTCCCTCTGACACATTAGTCTTTGGACATCGTGAGATTAAAACTATGATACCTGGGATTTGATTTCCTCCCTACCTGGTGATGCCATCCTTAACTTTTCTTCTGGTGTTCACACTGATTGCTGCCTGGCAGAGCTAAATTAATACTGTTGGCTAGAATGATAACTATCTATTATGCACCCAGAGAATTAGTCTTTTAAAGAAAAAACAACTCCCTTGAATGGTTAATTCAACGGCTCTTCAAGTGAGTATGAACCTCTACATTTATCAGATTTTTTTCTAATTATAAATCTGCCTAAATAAATATGTATTTTTTTTCTCCAGGAGTTGGAGGTCTGATTGAGCAGGTATTTTCCAGAAATAATATTCGCTAGAAGAAGCAGATTTCATGAGACAGAGAGAGAGGGGGAAAGAAAGAGAAAGAGAGAAAGAAAGAGAGAGAGATCAAAAGGCCATTGGAGGCCGGGCGCGGTGGTTCACGTCTGTAATCCCAGCACTTTGGGAGGCTGAGGCAGGCGGATCACGAAGTCAGGAGATCGAGACCATCCTGGCTAACACAATGAAACCCCGTCTCTACTAAAAATACAAAAAATTAGCCGGGCGTGGTGGTGGGCGCCTGCAGTCCCAGCTACTTGGGAGGCTGAGGCAGGAGAATGGCACAAACCCGGGAGGCGAAGCTTGCAGTGAGCCGAGATCGCGCCACTGCACTCCAGACTGGGAGACAGAGCAAGACTCTGTCTCAAAAAAAACAAAAACAAAAAACAAAAATGGCCAATGGAAAGGCCAAGAAAGCACATGATTTTAACTTTGGCTGTTTTACAACCAAAGGAAGAGGGTCAAAGAGAGTGAAACCTCTTCCTTTCTGAAAGTTCTGATTGAAACTTGAATTCTAAAATAGTCTTTGGCTTGAGGGATTGAACTGCACCATCTTTCCGTATAAATGGCATGGGAAGACACATTTTTATGCGTTGTTTTATGGGTTTTCTTCGCATCTTCAATGTCTAACGATTTTATAGTGCTTGGCTTTTCAGGGCCCTTGAGATAATCTCCCGAGCAATACTGGCTCTTTTATTTGTAACACAGGAATAGTTAAGAAAGTGCCTGCACACCAATGACAAATTATTGCAATCTTAACTAGAAATAAGGTAGTAAAGATTGCTCAGACTAAAAACTTTAAAGAAGGTTAGAATACAGAGAGGGAGAGAAATCTTCCAAATAGAATAATGAAGTTAATTGGTACAAATGAGTGTGTTTTACCATACTTGAAGATCAATTGCATTTTGTAAACTGTAAAGTTCTTTTCTCCTCCCACCAATTTGGTGGTAGGTTTTTTTTTTTTTTTGTTGTTGTTTTTTTTTTTTAAATCCCTTGATTCTAAGAGTTTGGAATGCATCTTTAAAAGTGTACATTTTGGGGCTGAGAGCGGTGGCTCACGCCTGTAATCCCAGCACTTTGGGAGGCCGATGCAGGTGGTTCACGAGGTCAGGAGATTGAAACCATCCTGCCTAACACGGTGAAACCCTGTCTCTACTAAAAATGCAAAAAATTAGCAGGGCGTGGTGGCGGGCGCCTGTAGTCCCAGCTACTCGGGAGGCTGAGGGAGGAGAATGGTGTGAACCTGGGAAGTGGAGCTTGCAGTGAGCCGTGATCGCGCCACTGCACTCCAGCCTGGGTGAGAGAGCAAGACTCCGTCTCAAACAAAAACAAAAACAAAACAAAACAAAAAAACAGTGTACACTTTGAGGAGTTACAGCCCCATTGTATAAGATTTTATCTATAGAGCTGTTTATTTGGTATAAAATTTATTATAAGTGAGATGTAATTTGCAGATCATAAAACACTGTATTTTTTCAATCTGTCCTTGTGTGTTACTATTTATTTACTAAAATCTATTTCCAATTTTTAATGATTAAGTTTAAAGGCATTTTGATATTTACTTGAAGAAGTTATCTTAAAGATTCCATTTTTCCTCTTTCTCAGTCTTATTCCAATAATTATGAAAGGCAACTTAAGGTGATGGTGAAGAACACAGGCTTTGGTTTCAGATGGATTTTGATCTAAGTCCTGGCTTCAGCCATTACTAATTGTATGACCTGAGATAATTATTTAACTTTGTTCTGACTTTCTTTTCTTACCTATAAAAGGGGAATACTTTGACAATACTTAGTTTATAAGTGTAATATTATGAGAATTCAATGATAGAATTATATAATTAACATTATGGTAATACGATACAATTAACACAGCATGATATAATAGAATTTTGGAGCATTAAAGCATTTAAACTGTTAGAAAACAATATAACTAATTAGCAAAAACATTTTACACTAATGGATTTGATCAGATGTCAAACTAAATGATATATTACTACAGCACAAGAGGTCAGCGAGGGAAATTAGTATAGAAGAGATAGCTCAGTCTCTGATTCTGGGCTTTGCATTTGAATACCCATTTACATATTTCTTTAAGAAAAAGTGATTTCCACCAAGATGCATTGGCCTGTGTAAAGGTCTCTAGGCAGCATAGAGCTCTTGGCAAGAATATTCTCACCCAAATATTTTATATGTAAGATAGTGAAATAAAAAGTTTAAAATATGCCTATAAAAGTTGAAAGTTAATGTTTTAAAATTCTCTCTTGGATTTTTTTTTTTCTTACCAGAATCCTTTTCTTAGCCCAGCAAGGAGATGGAAAGGGAGTAGGTGGAACACTGAGAAAGTTTCACCATGGTTTGCTTCTTAGGTCATAAGTACATGACTTGGGGCTGGCTCAGACCTCACCTTTAAGTTTTGTTGGTTCATTAAGACTTATTTCCACATCATAGAAACTTAGAACTTGGAACACAGAATTTATGTGAGAAAATATCAAAGTAGATTTTTTTTTTTTTCTGAGATGTAGTCTCACTCTGTCGCCCAGGCTGGAGTGCAGTGGCGCGATCTTGGCTCACTGCAACCTCCACCTCCCAGGCTCAAGTGATTCCCCTGCCTCAGCCTCCCGAGTAGCTGGGATTACAGGCCCATGCCACCACGCCTGGCTAATTTTTGAATTTTAGTAGAGACGGGTTTCACCATGTTGGCCAGGCTGGTCTTGAACTCCTGACCTCAAGTGATCCATCCGCTTCAGCCTCCCAAAGTGCTAAGATTATAGGCATGAGCCACCGTGTCCAGCCCCAAAGTAGATGTTATCTAATATATTGTTTTTCCCAAAATAGTCCTCAGAAATATCCCAAGAGAATCCCCCTTTTCCACTCTCTGATCTCATACATTTCCTGTGTTCAAATAAATCCCCTCTTGAAACTTCATCGTGCACATTAATATCTTAAAAGTTCTGAGGAGTCCTAAAATAAAGAAACCAGTATGATTCACTTTCTTTAACTCAATGAGTATTTCCCAAACTTCTGTGTCCATGGCACCCTTTTTTTTTTCCAGTGACAGCTGACATTCATGGCATCAGTGTTTCATGCAGTAGATTTCAGGCTACCCCGGGGTAATTCATCATGCCTGCAGAACCATGTCCGTTCTGGTCCAGTGTCCATTATCCCTGGTCTCGGCGGCCTAGGCACATACGCATAGCAATTTCAGGAACCCAGTGATGCAACCTGCCATTTGTAAGTCACAACTTTTAGATTCAGGCCCCTGTGAACTCAAAGCTTCAGCAGGTGTTTGAGATGCAAAGAAACATGAGATCATGGCTGTATTAGGGTTCTCTAGAGGGACAGAAGTAGTTGGACGAATGTATATATGAAGGGGAGTTTATTAGGAGAATTGACTCACATGATCACAAGCTGAAGTCCTATGATAGGCTGTCTGCAAGCTGAGGGACAAGGAAGCCAGTTTGAGTCCCAAACCTCAAAAGTAGGGAAGCTGACAGTGCAGCCTTCAGTCTGTGGCCAAAGGCCTGAGAGCCCCTGGGAAATCACTAGTGTAAGTCCACAAGTCCAAAAGCTGAAGAACTTGGAGTTTGATGTTCAAGGGCAGGAAGCATCCAGCACGGGAGAAAGACGGAGGCCGAAAGACTCAGCAAGTCTGTTCTTCCATCTTCTCCTGCTTGCTTTATACTAGCTGCACTGGCAGCTGATTAGAGGGTGCTCACCCAGACTGAGGGTGGTTCTGGCTCTCCCAGTCCACTGGCTCAAATGTTAATCTCCTTTGGCAACACCCTCACAGACACACCCAGGAATCATACTTTGCATCCTTCAGTCCAGTCAAGTTGATACTCAATATTAACCATCACAGTGACCTTCACCTGGGCTGGGGGGTCAGGGTGGCTAAGTTGAGCCTTTGTAAAGAGGTGACTGTGGAAGAGCCCAGTAGAATTCATGCACTTGTCCCAGCTGCTACATTTTCTTCTACAGAGGCTAGGGAAATTAGCACCACTGGTATTTTCTATCTCTAAAATTTGTTTCCATGTATAAAAAGAAAAAAACACCAATAATTAAAAGAGAATGATAAGATGTTTGTGTTTGTGAGAAAGGAAAAAAAATGGGCTACTCAGGTATTAATAAAAGTGAATCTTCTCCAAATACTCTACCTATTTCTCAAGGGACTGTTTCCTTGCAAATATTGAAAATGAGAAATACAAGAAAAATCTATTTATTCCAAAGAGGAGTGCAAGAATGGGTAGAGAAGAGCCAATATATTTCCAGAGTTTTTCTTTCTGTTTCATTTTTGGGATGGACTAAGACTTGGCAATTTTTCTTCCCACGTTTCCTGGATTTTCTTCAGGAATGGAAACCATTTGTGATCATAGGAAGAAATGTTCTTGCTGACACATGGGCGTTCTTTGCTGTGTAGGCTCCAAGATTTTTAATGACAGCCATGTAAATCCCTAGTTCCCAGTGAGTGTTTGCATGGCCCCGGGCAGCTGTGTTTGCAAACACCTGCTGGGGGAATAGATAAAATTTTGCTGCCTTTTCTGGCCCAGGATGATGGATGTTTCCCTCTGTGTGGTCACAGAGTGGGAAGGCTCCCATGGAGCTGTAAAGGAAGAGCTCCCTTAACCACATAAAATAGGGCAGAGTAAGGCATGGATGGAGAGGAACTTTCTCTAGAGCAGTGGTTCTCAAAGTGTGGCCCTGCATCGGCACCATCAGCTTCGCCTGGGAACTTGTCAGAAAAGCAATTCCTAGGGTTCCTTCCAACTCTCGGAATCAGAAACTCCTGGGGTGGAGCCCAGCAGTCTGTGTTTTGACAAGTCCTAGCCCTCTGGATGATTTGGATGCTGCTAACATTCGAGAACCACTGTCTGAAAGGAAAATAATCTGCTCAGAGGGGAAAGAGCATTACTGGGCATTCTTCAGATACTACTGTGGTATTTCCTCTGCAGTATAGTCTCATTTTGATCCCTTTGCCATTAAGTCCAGCTTAAGGATTATAGTAGTACCTATACTTTTTTTTTTTTTTTTTAAACGGAGTCTTGCTCTGTCGCTCAGGCTGGAGTGCAGTGGCGCGATCTTGGCTCACTGCAACCTTCGCCTTCTGGGTTCAAGCAATTCTCCTGCCTCAGCCTCCCGAGTAGCTGGCACTACAGGCATGTGCTGCCACACCCAGCTAACTTTTTGTATTTTTAGTAGAGATGGGGTTTCACTGTGTTAGCCAGGACGTTCTTGATCTCCTGACCTCATGATCCACCTGCCTTGGCCTCCTAAAGTGCTGGGATTACAGGCGTGAACCACTGCATGGGGCCAGTAGTACCTATTCTTACCTACACAAAGATGGCTAAGAAGCCCTTTCTGTACTTTCCTGAGTATAGGTGAGTCTGGCTGACATTTCTAACACAGTGATGCTTAACTTTGGCTGCATATTGTGATCACACGGAAGAAACTTACAAAAATCCAAATATCCAAAGCCACATCACAGATGGGTTAAAGTCTGAGAGGAGGAGGGATGAGACTTGGGTATCAGTGTTTTTAAGCCTCCCCACTGGGATGATTCCAATGTGTAGTCAAAGTTGGCTCTAAAAGGAAAGGGTCATTGAGGCTAAGGGAAACAAAAGACTACGACGTGTACGTAGGCAAGATTGCTAAGCACTGGATTTCAAGCCTGAAAATTTTAGGGCTTACCTAAGTCCCACATCCTGTTTCCTGATTCTGGTGCATCTCTGCAGGCACCTTTCTTCACCTCTTCCCATTCTATTCTTTTGCAGACCACAGCTCCTGCGAGCCATCTGATTTCCTGGCTTCCAAGAGCAAGTCTAGGCAGGCGTCAGATTTTACTTTATTTTTTAAATATTTAATTAATTAATTAATTTATTTATTTATTATTTTTGGAGCCATAGTCTCACTCTGTCGCCCAGGCTGGAGTGGAGTGATGCAACCTCAGCTCACTGCAACCTCCACTTCCCAGGTTCAAACAATTCTCCTGCCTCAGCCTCCCAAGTAGCTGGGACTACAGGCGCACACCACCATACCCGGCTAACTTTTTTGTATTTAGTAGAGACAGAGTTTCACCGTGTTGCCCAGGCTGGTCTCAAACTCCTGAGCTCAGGCAATCTGCCCGTCTTGGCCTCCCAAAGTGCTAGGATTACAGGTGTGAGCCATCGTGCCCGGCCGACATCGGGTTTTATAATAAGACATCATCTTCACACTACCTTTGGCTCTTAGGTGCCAAGTACAAAGAGGCAATTTTGATGGAGGCTGCTCTTTGGGCCACTGGTCTCATGTTATCCTATCTCTATTCTCCCCCCTCACTTACCTTCCTGTGCCCTGACAGGAGCTGTTCATGCTGTCTGGGGCAGTGATTACAGCACGGTGCCACAGTCCACTGTGTCTGCTTCTCCAGGTCCTTTGGGTCCTGAGACATCCACATTTGGTCTTTGTACCAGTCAGAGGCCTCCAGAGAACCAAAACCAATAGAATACATATAAATAAATTCGTTATAAGATATTGGCTTCTGCGCTTATGGAGGCTAAGTGGTCTCACTACCTGCCCTCCGCCACCTGGAGTCCCAGGGCCAGCAGTGTAGTTGGAAGGCTTGAGAACTGATGGTGGAGATTCCAGTCTGAGTTTAAGGACCTGAGAACCAGGAGAGCTAAGGGCAGAAGAAGATCAATATTCCAGTTCAGTCAGGCAGGGAGACAGGGTGAATCCTCTCTTCCTCCAACCGTTTGCTCTATAATGTCCACCCACATTAGGGAGGGCAAACTGCTTGACTCAGTCTACTGATTCAAATGCTAATAATCTCTCAGGAAAACACCCTCACAGACACACTCAGAAATAATGTTTAGCCAGATATCCCAGCATCCTGTGATCTGGCGGAGTTGACACATAAAACTGATGATCAGTCTTTTTGGGTAAAGGATGAAGCATGGGGCAACCTGGGGTTTGGAGGGTGGTAGATTACCTAAGGTTTGGGAAGATTAGTAATCGACAGAGTGTTTGTTCTTTGACGTTGGTGGGGTTACAGGGTGTAGAGGAGGTGGGCAGTGTCACTAAACATCCTGGTGTTTGCAAACAGCTTTAAATTGGAAATGTGTGGGTGTGTGCATGTGTATTCACAGGTGTGTTGGGGCTGAAACCACATGGAATTGAGAAAACTATCTTTGATAATGTAGATTACAGACATAGAAGGTGAAAAAAGATCCATTTACAATTTAGATAGTGAGGGACAGACTAATGACAGCTCTTTTGACTTCTTACATCTGGGTTTTGTGGCTCACAATTTTTATCTATGTCATTAATATGTGTCCATTTCTATGTGGTGGTCCAAATATCCAGAAAGAGTTTAAGAGTGAACTAACAGAGGAGAGAAGTACACCAGGGATGACCAGAGGCAGGAAGTCATTAACAGCTCTATGTGCAAAGGGGCAAAGTGAGAGAGCTGCTGTAAAAGGGAAGGACCCACATCACAGATACGTGGCCATGGGCAGAGGCACACAGCCATTGCACACCACGGCCCAGCAGGGAATAAATGCTCTGACCTCAAGTGTTTGTTGCACATTCAGTTGTCAAACTTGTCTCCCCCAGGACTCAGCAATTCCTTACCTTAGCTTCCTGGTAGATTTTTCAGAACCACCAAAGTTTTGCCTAGCAACTGCCAGAATTTCCAATGATCAACTTAAAGGAGAAAGAAAACACTTAGTACAAATTGAATTAGCCCCCTTTTTCTCTTTCCCAAACCAAATGCGAAATGCTCACAAATCAATGTATTGCATTGATACAGCAATTTACTCCCTGACCCACAATTCTACCCCCATTTGGAGCTTAAAGCAGAAACCTGGCAAATTTCGTTATCTCTGATTTATACGTGGGAAAAGGCCTATTCAGTGACGTGAGTCCACATTTATTGCTGGTCTATAGGCTTGTTTAGTTCCTCCTGTGAGGGTGTTTAGAGGAATTGCGTGGAGCTTTGTTTGTTATCAAAACGAAAGCCAGGGTCTGTCTCTCCAGCTGTCTAATGACAAGGGAAAAGATGTCAGGGCATCCTCATTTTACAAATTACCTATGAACAATTCCTACTAGGGTAATTTTATTCGTTTTGAGACATTTAGCTGCCACTAATCCAATAAGGATATACTTCCAGGATTCTAGGGTTAGAGGCAGCAGGTGAAGAAACAAGTAGACATTAATACTTTGTAAGCTGTGAACAGAAAAGATATCTTTTTGCTCTGAACACAGAAGCTGGGTGAGAGACAGGCAGAAAAGCTTCCTGGCACTACTGTATGTGTCTGCAGAGAATTTTTGTCCCACTTGGCTCAAAGATACGTGAAGGATGAGGCTAAGATTTGAGTCTAAGGATGAAAAAAAGGCTCTAAATGTGGGTATAGGAAAAGGGACCCCAATCAAACATCTTCAGATACACCCTACTTGCTCTTTGACAAGACAGCTGCTTCTAGTAATGGGTTTCGTTGGAAGTATCCTTGTTTTTTTCTCCTACTAGCCAACAGGAATTAGAATTAATCATAAATAAAAAGTAATGCTGCTAAAACTTACAAGGTCAAGTTTTTTATTCCTTCGATAAATGAACACATTTAAAGTGAGCCATATCATCAGGCAATTAAGTGTAGAGAAGAAATTATATTTATATGAACTTAAAGATGGTGTTAGGTTATAAGATCATGGAGTTCATAATAAGATAACAGAATTGAGGAACTGAGAATTGACCTTGATCTACCCTCTGGTTTAATAAATGAGGATACCTGATGCATTCAAACTATAAATGATTAGCCAAGAGTGCCACAGGAGTCAAAAAACCAAGGCTCCATCCCAGATTTTTTTGTTTGAGGGGTAAATGATGAAGTCTGGATCTTCTGGTCTGAAATGGTGCCTTATGCCAAGAGAGGAATCTCATGAAAATCAAATCAGAGATGAATCATTAGGCATGGCCAGCACCAGGGCCTCAAAGAGTGCTTTCAAGACTCTGCTGCTCTCTGTCACTTCTAGTGTTCTCTGTATTGGCTTTGCCCTCAAGGTGGCCTTCTATCCATGGTACCAAAGATAGGCCCAGCTAATTTAAGGTTCCTTTCCAAGTGGCTCAGGAGCCCTTTTCCAATAATTCTGCAAAAGGCTCAGGGGATTGCAGATTGCAGTTGGAGCAGGTTGTACGTCCAATCTTGGAGCACAGGTGTAGAGTCAGCTCTCTCAAACCCCACAGACTGGGAATGGGAGAAAGACAGTGCATGACTCAAAGACAGGCTCAGCAGATTGGGCCACATGTACCCTTTTCTTGGGTGGGACACCCATGACTTTGGACTTTTATATCCCTTTTCATATTCATACCTGAACCCAAGAGAAGGCAAGAGCAACAAAGCCACACATTTTTAGAAATGCGTTCTTTGTTGTTTGAAGAACTCTCCCAATTTTTGTAACATTCTCAGACTTCAGACTTGGCACACACTCAAATTCATGTCAGTTTTCTGAAATAACTTTTCCAGTCACATGACCACGATTTTAAGTCTTAGCAATTTCCTTTAGGAGAACATTTGTGTTGATTTAGCACCATTGCTGAGAATTCCTGTGCCCCATGTCTGCACCCCTTGACTCCAGGTAGCAGCCCAGAAAAGGCTAAAAGGCTCTTTGGAAACACCTGTTAGGGAGCCGCGCACCTGCTTTCTGATGACCTCACTCTTGGCCATCCAGGCATCCAAGGACGACGGCTAACAGTTCATAAATCTAACCCACTCACCATTCCTCAGCTCACACGTTGGATCAGAAGGCTCCTTTTCACTTTTCTTTCCACCCAAAGTTTCTGGCAATGGAAAACTTTGATGTTTTCTGAGAGCCTGGGAAACTTGGATCGCATGCTATTAGCAGCTGTACTTTATAGTTGTAATGGCTGTGGAGGACTTATTTCTAAGTGTTGAGAAATGTATTGTCACCCAGATATTCAACGAGGGCTACAGAGAGATGTTGTGAATTAAAACACAAAGGGCAAACCACAGGAAAACGTAATATTTGGATATCTTACTTACGGGAATTATTTAGAGCCAAAGAAACTAAAATACAAAGTCCCTGGCTCTTCCAGATTATATTAAATTCCTCCATCCCTAAGGTCAAAAGCTTTTCATTGGAGAATGAGACATGAATAATACTATCAAGGGGTAAGCTGGTGGCAGGCTAGAGACAATCCTTTTTGGAGGTCCCCACGCAGCTGAGCACAGGGTGTGGACATACAGCTCTATGCCCGGAGGCGAATTAAATTCCCTTTGTAAAAATTAAGACTCTTGGGTGTGACCCCAGCATTATTGAATCAAATCTCCAGGGAAGGAGTTTTAAACATTTCCAGGTTTTAAGCAGAGGCTTAGATTGCCTAATTCAAGGGGAGAGCAAAGCTTTGCAACTAGCTCCAAACAACCGCAGGTTTACTCTCTGGGGCTGGCACCTTTCCTATGGAACCCCCTTGAGACGCAGCCTGTTTCCATCCACTGCTGTCACTAGTTTCAGCTCCATCAAGTGCCCATGTTCTGGAGGATCAGGATCAGGGACTCTTGTTTCTCCAAGGTGCTGCCTGGTCTCGTCTCTTCGCTGCTGGACTTTGTAGGGGCTTCAGGCTAGTCTCCCGGCGCCTTACCACCCTACCCCTATCCCCGCCCTGGGAGGAGTGCTATGGGTGTGGTCAGGGCCAGGACATTTTACTGGAGCTGAAGGCCTGGTCCATCTTGTTCCCCTGACTTCCCTTCTTTAGTTTGGATCCTAGGTAGTAGACATTGAGAAACACCCTATAACCTCTAGGTTATATTATAGAGCATCCTTATAATACAGCATCCCTCTATAATAGGTGACCCTATTACAGAGCATCCCTATAACCTCTAGGGATTCTCTGGACCCAAGACTTTTGTCCTTTGTTCCCTATGCCAGGAATGTTCTTCCCCATATCTACATGGCCTGCTGTTTCAGCTCCTTCAAGTCTTTGCTCAGACGTTGCCTTTCAGGGAGGTCCATGCTTACTACCTTATTTAAAGTGGCTAACTACATTTCTCAATCTCCCTTATCATGCTTATTTGTTTTTCCATAACCTGTGTCACCATCTAATGCAAAATATAATATACATACAATATATAATATACATATACATATTTGTTATGTTTATCGTTGATTTTTCACACCCAACAGAATGTAAGCTCTACAAAAGGAAGGGTTTTAGGTAATTGTTGTATTGGCTGATATAGTCACAGAGCCTAGAACCGTTTGTGGTATTCAGTAAATATTTGTTGAGGAAATGAATGAATGAATGAGTAAGTGAAAGTCTGAGCCAGACTTCTGGGGGAAGGCCTAGTCCTGTTTTTCTCTTTTTTTTTTCACGTTCGGATGCTCTTCCTTCTCTAATATGCCCATGTAAGCTGAGACTGGAAGCAAGTCGGCTCCCACTCCACCCTGTCCCAAGGAAGCACACGCTGGGTGCCTATTCTGCCACTGGTGTGAGCTTTGTGGTCTCCACTGCTCACTCTCACACTCTCACTCTCACACACACTCTGCTTTTCAGGGCACACATGCCTACCCTTTCTTCTTGGCCTCTTACACTGACCTCACTTAGCTAAAAGCTCTCTCCAAGGGGCCAGCCCAGTTCACTTGATTCCATACGGGGCACTGGGTCAAAGTTCCAGCGAATATGTACTTCATTTTCATGTTCCTGCAGATCTACTGGGGAAGGATAGTCCCTGCTCTGTGGCTTGCTAATGTTTAGATCTCTCCTTTTAAATGCACCTGGACATTATTTGTTATCTCAGCATCCCAGAGGTGACCCAATCCAGCCTTACTGTTTGGGGCAGGGCTCAGGCTGTACAACCTGGCACACTTCTGTACCTGGGGACAAATTCTTGTTTCAGTGTGAAAGCTTCAACCTTCCCCCTCATGGATGATCTGGAAGCCCTAGGAGGCCTGACTGAGCACTGCTTCACTTCTTGTTATTCTCTTTCCTCTTGCTATTCTCCCTTTCTCTGGGCCTCTACGTATCTTGTAGTCCCTGTCAATGGAAGGAGTGGAAATTTTTGCAATGCCATGTGATATTGGCTGGAAATTCTATATAGCCTGTTTGGTTAATATTCTCACTAGGTCTCAGAGCCACTGTGAACTTCTGATTTCATGGTATTCCCAGCCAAAGAGTCGTCATCTTCATTGTGGTCAGCATCACCTAAAATTGCCTGGCCATTTGTCTTCTGGGCACTGTTTTTTATTTCATACACATGTGGTCTTTTTAATTTTTATTCCTCACAACTTTATGAAGTAGGTTCTGTTTTTTTTTTTTTTTTTTTTTTTGAGACGGAGTTTCACTCTTGTCGCCCACGCTGGAGGGCAATGGCGCGATCTCGGCTCACTGCAACTTCCGCCTCCTGGGTTCAAGTGATTCTCCTGCTTCAACCTCCTGAGTAGCCGGGATTACAGGTGTGTGCCACCACGCCTGGCTAAGTTTTGTATTTTTAGTAGAGGTGGGATTTTTCCATGTTGGCCAGGCTTGTCTTGAACTCTTGACCTCAGGTGATCCACCCGCCTCGGCCTCCCAAAGTGCTGGGATTACAGGCGTGAGCCACTGCGCCTGGCATAGGTTCTGTTTTTACTCACGTTTACCAGATGAAGAGAGTGAGGCTCAGAGTAAGTCAGTCACTTGCTGGAGCTTGCAAGATTATAAATACCAAAACCTGAACTCAGAGTTAGGTTTTGTTTGATGCCTAAGCACAAGCTCTTTCCCCACTATGCAGTGGACCAGGAAGGGATCAAACGTGTGTCCAAATGGGGGAGAATGCCCAAGGCTGAGCATGATTAAGTGTTGCATTGATCATCCTCTAGCTCTATGATTTGTTTATCTTCTAGTCTAGCTGTCTAGGACTTCAACATAATGTAGAGCTCGCTGAAATTGCTGGTGTCTCAGAGATTTGGGGACAAAGCCCATTCGTGTCAGGTGGTGGCCAGCTCACCAATTTGAACACAGTTTACATGTGTCCCAATGAAAGCAACAGTTGGGCTGTGGCCAGTCAGTAGTCTGGGTTGTTTCAATAGCTTTATTAACTTGAATTTTATCCCATGGAACCAATAGTAAGTGCCTACTATGTGCCCATCATTGTACCTCCCTAAGTTGCTGTGCCTGAAAATTAGGTCACTGTCACAGGATGAATACCGTGCCTGGCTGTGGGTACATGGACCACTTCTGCACACTTTCTTCAATCATAGCATGCTGGGGGGGCAGATGTTTCCCTAAATGGGCTTTGTGGAACACACACTATTTCCAGAACATTTTAATAGTTATTACAAGGACACACATTTTCTCTGTCAAATAAGTTTCAGAGAACTTGAGTTAAAATTCAAACTTGGAAGTTTTTTCTGCTGAAAGACTTCTCAAAGTCCCTACCATGTGAATGTGAATGGTATATTCAATGAAGAGTAAAGAATGTAACAGTTTCCCAAACATTATTGACTGTACATTGTCCCAAACATTTCCCCCTATGAATTATTACATTATACCTGTGCTCTGTGGAACTCATTTTGAGAAATACTGATTCAAATACAATGTACTCTCCATTAAAATAACAAGCAAAACAAAATAATATATAGATACTAAAACTATTTTCCATGTAACTTTCCTTTGCCCAAATGCCTATTTTAGTTGGTGGTGAACTAGAGGTTACAGAAGTGTGCTGCCTACATGTCTTTGCTCTGATAATTTGTTTCTAACCAAGAGGTTTTCTTGCTATGAAATCAATATGCCCTGCTTTCAGCCCTTGCCTAAGGAAATTAGCATTGTAAAATCACTTACAATTATTCTCTAACTCATCTACCAGGCTTCTAATCAAAGCACGTTTCTAAAATGGTTTATACATTGTTTTCCTTTTATGAAAAACTTTAAACTGAATACAACTAGGTGTTTATGAATGGTTTCTATGAGGCCTAATAATTTCTGAACACTGTTTACAAAGCTGATTAAAGCTACTTCATTTTTTCTGGAATTCCAGAACCCACGTTAAACTAAGAGAATGACAAGAACAAAAAAGGAACCACACTCAACCACATCGAGGGCTGAATATTTTATTTCAAACTCCATGAATGTTTAATTAAAGAAGTCATTGACAAGATACTGCTCATTTTAAAAATTTCAATGCAATTGAATTTTTAGTTCAGTTCTGTCATCTCTGTTGGGTTTTTATCTTTGGAATTCCGGACCAAAACATATTCCTTTTGGTTAACAAGACTTTCCTTTAATGGATGATAAGGCCAAGTGATTAATAATCACTCGGCTCTTATTATTTTCATTAGGATGATAACATATGGACATGCTGCTCAACTTCATCACAGAGCCCCCAAATGGAATCATAAAAGGGGAGATGAGAAATTCTGGTTTAGATTACAGCAAATAGCTTGAGGAATTGGCCCTGATGAGCTACAATTTACTGTTGTAAAATCTCACAGAGATGAGCCTTCTGCCATTTCCTCTCTCGTGTTTGAGATTAGTTGGAAAGGGTGCTGGGGGATCATAATCTCTCTGTTTTTAGCAGTCTTGATTCCAGTGACGTTAGTTATAAATGAGATGGGTGTGTGGGTGGGCCTCACCAAATTCCCAACAAGCACTTAACCGTAGCCTCAAATCCAATACACATTTGTCTTTATTAAACCCCACTGGTTCAGCCAAAGCTGAAAGAGATATTGGTGGAGTCAGTAAGAGGGACTGAAAGGAACAGGGGAGGTGCAGATGTACAAGGAATGGAGTGATCAGAGATAAGGAAGTTACCCATGCAGAGAAATGAAGCTTTGAGGTACCGACTGCATTGCGCCAAAGAAAGAGGTGAAGGAGCAGGGAGATTCTGGTTAGTAAATATAAAGCCTGGCTTTTAAACAAAATCAGCAACAATGGAGGGCAGGTTGACGCAGGTATGGGGAAGAAAATTTGTATTTGTTGAGCAACTATGATTGCCAGACCCTAGGCTAGGCTCTCAGACATGCTGCCTCGTTGATTTTACAACAAAGGACAATAGAAATAATCATTAACCAAATAGATCTGGTTTCAAAATCAGAGGATAATGAAAGTAATATGTACTCCATGGGGCTGCTGTGAGAAAATAAAACAATGCATATTAAAAAAAAAAAAGTTAAACAACTTAGGGGAATGCTGGATGCATAGTATATGAGTTCCTTTTGTACTGGTATAAAGGAATACCTGAGACTGGGTAATTTATAAAGAAAAGAGGTTTATTTGGCTCATGATTCTGCAGGCTGTACAAGAAGCATGGCACCCGCATCTTCTTCTGATGAGGGCTTCCGGGAGCTTTTGATCATGGCGGAAAGGGAAGGGGAAGAGGTGTGTCTTATGGTGAGAGAGGGAGCAACGAGAGGGGAGGAGGTTTCAGGCTTTTTTAAACAACCAGCTCTCATGGAAACTAAGAGAGAGAGAACTCACTCCGTACCGCCGGGACAGCACCAAGCCATTCATGAGGGATCAGCCTACATGGCTCAACACCTCCCACAAGGCCCCGCTTCCAACACTGGAGATCAAACTTCAACATGCGATTTGGAGGGGAAAAATATTCAAACCATACCACATGGTAAACAATAAATGCCAGTCTCTCCCACCCCCCACCCACCCCCCGAGTTACCTACCAAACCAAACAACAACTTTAAAAAGCCCTGTGAGAATGAAGTATTGTTGGTCCATTTCACAGACTGAGCATGTGAGTGTTTTCAGCGGTCTGCCTGTGTCCATCTCTCTCTCACTTTCTCCACTTCCAGTCTGTCTGTCCAAACTGACTTTACTACCCCACTTTGCCAAAGCAGCATCTTCTCCTGACTTTTGCATTGTATTAAATATCATTTTTCCTGTTTTCAGATTCAAAACCATACAATCATACCTGGGTTTCCTATACACTTTAGGCCCCATTCAACAGACATAATTAATGTCCTATTAATTCAAGAATGGCAGACAGTATTTCCTAGGTGTGTCCCCTCCTTTCCATTCCTATTGTCACTACACTCCTTCAGGTCCCCAATGTTTTTTGCTGCGCCAGTTGTAGGTTCAGTCTTTAACGAGTGTGTGGCTCTCACTGTGTTCTATCATATTGCCTTGCCTGAGGCTAATTTCCAACTTTTTGACCTACAAATATATTCTGCTTGATAATGTCTCACCTCTACTCATTGCACATATGGTCTCTAACTGGATCCCTGGTGTCCCACCTCCTCTCACTACTGCTTACCCCCACATATTGAGGTATTTGACATCATTTTTCAGTTACAGCTTTATTGAGATATCACTCACTATATGATTCACCTCTAAATGATTCACCTCTAAACTATATGATTCACACCTAAAGTGTACAATTCAATGTTTTTTGTGTATGTTCACAGACTTGTGCAGTCATCACTATAATCAATTATGGAGCATTTTAAACACTTTGTAAAGAAACCCCATACTCTTTAAGTATCACCAAACTTCTGATTCCCCCATCTCTAGGAAACCACTAACCTGATTTCTATCTCTACAGGTTTGCCTATTTTGGACATTTTCTATAAATCGAATTACATAATATATGGTCTTTTGGCTGGCTTCTTTCACTTCACATAATAATTTCAAGGTATATCCATATTATGGCATGTATCAGTACCTCATTCTTTTTTGTAGCCTAATAATATTCCATGGTATGGTAGACCACATTTTATTTATTCATTCATTAGTTGATGGGCATTTCGGTTGCTTCCACCTTTTAAATATTGTGAATAACACTGCTATAAACATTCATGTACAAATTTTTATTCGTATACATGTTTTCAGTTCTTTTGGGTATATCCCAAGGAGTGGAATTGTTGGGTCATATGGTAACTCTGTTTAACCATTTGAGGAACTGCAAGTCTGTTTTCTAAAACGTCTGCACCATTTTATGCTCCTACCAGTCGTGTATGAGGGTTCTAATTTCCTCATCAATACTTGTTATCACCTTACTTTTTGATGACAGTCATTCTAGTGGGTGTAAAGTAGTATCTCATTGTAGTTGATTTTCATTTTCCTGAAGACCAATGATGGCAAATATTTTTGCATGTGCTTGTTGGACATTTGTATATATTTTTGGAAAAAAATGTTTATTTAGACACTTTACCTGTATTTAATTGGCTGAATCTTTTATTATTGAGTTTTAATTATTCATATTTTAGATATGAATCTCATCATATAAATCATTTGAAAATAATTTCTTCTATTCTGTGGGATTTTGTTTTTACTTTCTTGACAGTGCCCTTTGAATCATAAAGTTTTAATTTCGATCAAGTTTAATATATCTATTTTTTTCTTTTGTTGCTTGTGCTGTTGGTGTCATATCTGAGAATCCATTGTTAAATCTAAGGTCACAGAGATTTACAAAAGGTCACAAAAATTATGTTTTTTTCCTAATAAATGTATAGTTTTGGCTATTGCTTTTAGGCCTTTGATCCATTTTGAGTTAATTTTTGTATATGGTGTGAGGTAAGAACATTTTTAAAGTCTCAGCTTATATGCCATCTCTCCATTAAGTCTTTTATGAAACCACTAATTAAACATTGAAAGGGGTGATAATAATGATGATAACACCAGCCACCATCAATAAAGTACCTTTTTTTGAGATTACCACTAGTTTCTTTCCCTTATTTTATCTAATTCTCACAATTCTGTAAAACAGTTGCTCAAAAAAAAAAAAAAAACAAAAAACAAAACCTAACTAAAAGAATGTTTGCTAATGTAGTGTCTTTTTCCCTATATTATAAATTTGGAAGTTTAAATAGCTTGTTCAGGTTAGTGGCAGATCTGGGATTCAAACTAGGTCTTTCTCTACTTTCTCCTCTCCTATGCTGTCTCCTGAATGATACTTCCCTTGTTCCTCTCTTGAGCCCTAATGTGACTTTACATGTGCTCCTCACACTTAGGACCCACCACATTCTTCCTTGAATTACAATGTTTTTGTATCTGAGTTATCTTCTCTCCTGAACTAAAGGGTCCTTGAGAACAGAAATACATTCATTTTGCAAGTTGTACAGCCACAATCACAGTGCATAAAAGACAGTTGATAAATACCTGTTGAGTTGAGCAGCAATTCAACTGAACAGTAAATTCAGCAGTTTACTAAAATCAGAGCCTGGAGTTTCACCATAATTACCATTAGGTGATCAATGGGAACAAAAATAAGGTATCTTCATCTTCAATAATAATCTAAAAATGATATTGCTGTTTGAGCAATAAATAGCATAATAATGGATCAAAGCAGAAATATTGAAGGTATAATTGCTCCAAGTAAGCATGGTTTGACTTTAACCTGGAAGAATACATTATATAGCCAAAGAAGTAAGAAATGTTTGCATCCCTCAGAAAGATACTTATTTGGGTCATTGAAACATAGATGATTATTCTGGTTATGTATCGTTGTGTATGTAAAAAAAACTACCCCAAACCTGTGTGGTATAAAATGTTTATTATTATTTCTCATGGTTCTATGCATTGATTGGGTTTGGCTGGTTTCTCATTTGATGACGCTTACATGGTTGCAGACAAATATCAGATGAAGCTGCACTCAACTGAAGGTCCAACTGAGTTGAATGGCCAAGAAGTCCAACTCAAAGGCTGGCAGTTGATGCCAGATGAGAATTCAGCCGAGGTTGAGGACAGGCACACATACACATGGCATTTCCATGTGGCACGGGCTCCTTATATCACGGTGGATGTTTTACAGGAGTGAGCAATCCAAGAGACTCAGGTGGAAACTGCAAAGCTTCTTATGACTCAGCCTGGGAAGTCACAGAAATCCTGCTTCTACTGCATTCTGTGGGTTAAGCAAGTCACTAAGGCCAAGGACAGGGGAATTAGCATTCACCTCTTTACTGAAGAAGCAGCAGGCATATATAGGAATGGTCTGAATTGATAAAGGCCACTTTGGAGAGCACTACCACAAAATCGGAGAGTAAAAGATGTCAAATTGGCAGAATGCATCCAAGAATGAGTGTTTTCTGGATTAGGGGCATGGCTACCTATTCCAGTGGCTGAGGACTATCCCCTCGTTATGTTTGAGAAATTTTTATTCACAACTTTTATAGATTCAAGCTTATCCAGCTGCAAAAGATGCATCATAAAGACCCAGACGCTGCCAAGTGGTAATGCAAATATAAGCAAACACAGAGTAAAGCAAACAGGCTTAAATGGACTTATTAATATGCAATTTCCAATTAATATGCAATTTCAATTATTGTAGTATCTTCAGGTAAACAAGACCTTTAATGGGCCTACCACAGAGTGAAACTCTGTCCTTCTGGCCCTCCAGTCCTGCTGGACTCTCATGCTCCATCAGTCTCACATTCCGAGCTGTTCTGACCGTTACCCTTGACTCTCATATGTTTTAATTTCTTCCCCTGGTTCTGTATCTCCACCCAGGCCCTGTGTTTGAACTGTAAACGTATTTTCCTTCCAAGAAATCCATCTGATTTTTATTATTCACCCTTTCAACATCTTGCACCATAGCAATTACTTTCCTGATGTCACTTCATTCTTAGAATATTGAGTATTGAAACCTTGAAAAAAAAAAGTACCTATTTTAATCATGGGTTTCAGTACACTTTAAGAGCAACTGATGAGAAAAAGGTGTGTCTGGATATTACTCTACAAGGGATGTTTTACCTCTGAGCTGGGACATTGAGGGCATGATGACTCCTAACCAATGTCTTGTGAAGTGGACACCAAGACATGATCTGTGTAACGTGATGAAACTAAAGGCAAGAAAAAGAAGACAGGAGAAGCATAGTCTGCTTTACTCTCAAGGCAGAAGAGTGAAGGGCCTTATAATACATGGTATTTTTAAGCCGGGTGCAGTGGCTTATGCCTGTAATCCCAGCACTTTGGGAGGCCAAGACGGGCAGATCACGAGATCAGGAGATCGAGACTCCTGGCTAACACGGTGAAACCCCATCTCTATTAAAAATACAAAAAATTAGCCGGGCTTGGTGGCGGGTGCCTGTAGTCTCAACTACTTGGGAGGCTGAGGCAGGAGAATGGCGTGAACCCAGGAGGCGGAGCTTGCAGTGAGCTGAGATCACGCCACTGCACTCCAGCCTGGGCGACTGAGTGAGACTCCATCTCAAAGAAATAAAAAAAGAAAATACTACTACTACTACTACTACTACTACTAATAATAATAATAATACATGGTATTTTAAGCCTGCATTAAAACTGTGGGGATTAGAAATCAAGAAATGTCAGAGTAATAAAATTGATATTGTCTATGCATTAAGAAATCAGCAGGCAACTTTAGATTTTAAAAGGCTATTAAATACAGTGTATGTCAAAATATAAGATATGGTCAAGGCAGCAGTAACCACAGGAAGATGCATAGTTTTAAATGAATGAATTATATATATATATATATATATACACACACATATATATATACACACATATATATATATACACAAATGAATGTAAATAAATATTCAACTCAAGATGGTAGAAAAATAACTTCAATAAGGAGACTGGAGGAAGGTAAGCAGAAATTAATACATTTCACATAGAAAAAACTGCATAACATAATTCTAAGAACTGGCTTCTCTGAAAACAATAATGAGATAGACAGCTCTAGAAAGATTAATCAAGGAAAAAAGAATAAGGGTAAATTAAGACTGAGAAAAGGAATTTATATATGTAGAAGATTCTAAGGAAAGAATAATGTATTTTCCAAATTTATTTTCCAGTCTTTGTTAATCATTTCAAAAAGCTGGAAGATATGGGCAACTTACAAAGACTTCAAATCTTATTAAAGGAAAATAAGATAAATAATAAGGGGAAAAATAAGCAAAGTTTTCAAAGAATCATTTTCCCTCCTGCCAAAATGTCTGCACCTAGGTGGTTTCATGGATAAATTCTTTTCAGGATTCAATAAAATTCCTTTATTATTTAAATTGCTACTGGGCAGAGAGAAAGAAGGTAAGCAACCCAATCTGTTTTAAAAATCTAGCACCGGGCTGGGCGTGGTGGCTCACGCCTATAATCCCAGCACTTTGGGAGGCCAAGGTGGGCGGATCATGAGCTCAGAAGTTCGAGACCAGTCTGGCCAACATGGTGAAACCCCATCTCTACTAAAATACAAAAAAAAAAAGAATCAGCTGGGTGGATGTAGTGGTATGTGCCTGTAGTCCCAGCTACTCGGGAGGCTGAGGCAGGAGAATCGAGTGAACCTGGGAGTTGGAGGCTGCAGTGAGCCGAGATCGTGCCACTGCACTCCAGGCTGGGTGACAGAGAGAGACTCCAACTCAAAAAAAAAAAAAAAAAAAAAAGCTTGCATTACATTCAAAATGAAACTGGACAGAGAATGCCACTCCAAAGAAAACTGTTTATCAGTTTCTCTTATTAATACAGATTTTAGAAGTTCTCTCATCTCAGCAAATAAAATATACCACATGACCAAGGAGGTTCCCCCTAGATTTATAAGAAATGTATTTTAACATATTTGTAATTTCTTTTAGTTACAAATAAAATCATTTCAAAAAAAGTCAATTTTATAGAATTCAATTCCATGCCTGACTTCAAATATAAACAAAAGACTGAGTAATCTAGCAATATAACCGCCCTTCATTCACAGGGTTAACAGAATTATCTGAAATGAACAATCACCTACCACATTTAGTTTTGTAACAACAGGGCATTCTCCTTAAAGTCAGGAGTAGTTCAGGGTACTGCCCCTGAAATAGTGGCATGAGTGATCTTCCTGCTTCCCATCTCACCCAACTTCTTCCCATTCTCTGAAGGTCAGAATCCTTTAATGTGCACATCTTGTCACATGACCATTCTTTATACCTGTAATTAATTCCTTTTGTTCTTATGCAAGAGAACCAGGTCTTTAATGTGGTATCAATGTCCTACAGATTATGGTTCCTCTTCAGTTCTTCTTCCTTACTTAAATGGGCTGAGACCTGTAAGGTCTTTGGGGCAATGTAGGGTACAGACACTCAGTGGTATTGAGGAGGAGGAGGAGGAGGAGGAAGAGGAGGAAGGTATTCTTCCTGGGATTCCACCCACCAGACCTCCTGGACTTCCTTCAGCCCCTTAGTGGTGGCATGTGCTCTCCTCTCCCATGGCCCTCACCTGTACTCTTCCTGCCTGGAACCTTTCTCTTCTCTTCAACCAGGTGAAGTCCTTCAGAACTCAGCCTCTTACAGCTCCTTGACATTGATCTTCATTTTACTTATTGCAATTTTTAATTATGTATCTGTGTGATTGTTACTTCAAATTTCTAGAAAAAGAGGCCCTGATGCACATGCATGCAACCTGTGTCAGGGGTCTCTCCTTAATCTAATGAGCTCTATTCAGGGGCGCAGAGGACTGCAGCAGTTGGAAGTCTCCTTATTTTTTGTGAACGATGGGGAGGGGCCAGAATGACGAGAAAAGAGGATTAAGCAGGCCACCTGCCCTGACTACAGTTATCTGAAATAGTTCTGGAAGTGCTAACCGAGAAAGGTGAAGGATGAAAGATACACACACACCACACACTCACTGTGGAATGCTAAAATGGTCCAGTAGAAAAAACTTTTTTTTTTGTTTGAGACAGAGTCTCACTCGGTCACCAGGCTAGAGTACAGCGGTGCGATCTCTGCTTATTGCAACCTCCGCCTCCTGGGTTCAACTGATTCTCCTGCCTCAGCCTCCCAGGCAGCTGGAACTACAGGCATGCACCACCACGCCCAGCTAATTTTTGTATTTTTTTTAGTAGAGACGGGATTTCACCATGTTGACCAGGATAGTCTCGATCTCCTCACCTTGTGATCTGCCCGCCTTGGCCTCCCAAAGTGCTGGGATTACAGGCGTGAGCCACCGCGCCCGGCCAAAAAAACGTTTTCACTGTAATAGGACAATTTGTTAGGGGGTCCCTTATAAAATAAATGTAGAGAATTAGGATTTACAATAGTTGCACACATGCTTCAGCCCTTCGCCTTTTGTTTGAATCCACAGACATTGTAGAAAAGAGCACTGAACAAATGCATCATAGTTCAGAAAGAAAAAAAAAAGCAGCGCCCCTTTTAGCTAAAACTGTGTGGAATCCCTGACAGATGGGAAAAGAACATGAGTTCAGTTTGGATAAGAAAGCCACACCCCCAAATGTGGTTATGTGCAAAAGGGGCAATCCAGAGGTTCTTGGGGAAGGATGGAACAACCAAGGGGGTGACCCTTCAGCATCCTGAATCCCCTCAGGCCCCCATGGAATTTTGGGGTAGGCAGAGAGTACAAGAGAGTGGCCAGGATTGCCTGGGACGGAGACCCAGCATCAACATGATGGTAACACCCAGAACAAACAGAGAACTCATCCATGTGGAAGAACAGCTACCGGTACCTTCCATGGGGCAGCGGGCCCCACTGTTTCCTTTATGAAGAAGGCTGAAATCAGGCATTTGTACCATGGTCTCATGTAGGCACTTGGGGATCACACACTTAAGGAAAACCAACAGCCTGAAGACAGCTGCCAGGTGCAACCAGCCTGAGAAAACAGAATTAATGGGAGATGAACAGGGCAATGGTTTTCCAAGAAATGTAGGAGGATATTCTGTTCATTGAAGGATGAAACAGAGATCTTGGAACTGAAAACCTCATCAAAATTTAAAAAACAAAAACCAAAAAATATTCTATTTAATGGATGGGCTGGAAAGCAGAATTTGTGAAAATGGGGAATAGATCCCAAGAATCCTGACAGACCACAAGGCCACAGGCATGAAATGTTTAGTAAAAAAGTAAAGAGAAGGAAGGACAGCTCCAGGATGACCAATGTCAAACTAATAGGCATTTCAGAAGGAAGGAATAGTGAAATTCAGGGGAAGAAATTCTTAAGCAATAATAGGGTATAATTTCCCCAAATTAAGGAAAGAAATGTCTTCAAATGTAAAGAGTAGTATAAGGTGAAAAAGAACTCTCACCTGTACAAAGAGAAAGATATCTAAAGCTGAGAAGGAAAGGCCAACACACACAACACACACATGCAGAGAGAGAGAAAGAGAGAGACAGACAGAGAGAGAGAAATCCAATGTGAACTTAGGATCAGATCATATGTCACTGGCAGCATTGGCTACAGAAAGACAATTGAGCAATACGTTTAATCATCTGAAGAAAGTAACCTGAAAATATGATTCTGTATTCAAAAAGTATAATTTAAGTCTGCAGGAAATATGTAATTTTTCTGACATGCAAGAAATAACCATGTTTATCCCCCCACACACTCTTTTTGAAAGAATTATGAAAGAACATATTCCAGCAAAATAAATAAATGAATAAATAAAGCCAAAGAAAGAAATGGGATGCAAAAAGTAATTGAAGACGTAAGTGACAAAGTACGATAAGATACTAGTTGTATCAAGTTTAAATGCACGCTATACAATTCTACATGTCATTTCTGGACATAAGTGGATGTGGTAAAATACAAGGCCATGGAGGGAATGGTACATACCAAATTCAGAATAGAGGTCACCTCTGGGGAATGAGGGGATAATAGGATTGGGAAGGAGTCCAAAAGGGGATTCAATTATACAGGTAATGTTTTATTTCTTAAAAACAAAAAGATAAGGATCTTGAGCAAATATAGCTAAGTGTTAACATCTGTGAAATCTGGGTATTGAAAACATGAATAATGATTATACTATTATTTATCATTTCCTTTATATTGGAAATTTTAAAGAATTATTTTAAAGAGTGGATTAGAAATGAGGAAGTGGAGAAAGCATTGAGTAGATAAGTACTTAAGATATTTGTTGTGGAAGGGGCAGAGAGATGGGGCAGAAATTGGGGTGGGGATGGAATCGAGAGAGACTTGTCTACATATTGAAGGAGATAATCTGGTAAAGGGAGGGACTGAGATGGGAAAGGGAGGACTAATTGGAGACAGGAGTACATGCGACAGTGTACAGGACACACTAACCCAAAACATGGCACCAAATGTGGCATTTGAGAAAACAGCAGAAGCCAGAAGGTCACCTTCAACCTTCTCCCCTGAAGCAGTTCATGTGAGAGGTGCCTTCCTTATATCCAGAGGAAAGAAACTCCTCAAGGCACCTCATGTGAGAGGTGCCTTCCCTATATCCAGAGGAAAGAAACATCTGTATCCCGGAAGATGCAGGGACACAGAAGAATCTTAACAAATAGTCCTTGCTACACTCCTTCCAGTTAATCACCATTAGACTCTACCCCCTTTGTCCAATCATACTTCTCCAAGACCATCCACTTCTTCATCACACTCAGCATAAGAAAACACAGGTTTCCCTGTCTCATTGAGTCTTCATTTCTGTGTCACATAAAATTTATAGTCAATACATTCGTATGACTTTTTTTGTTAATTTGTCTTTTGTGATAGGAGCATCAGTCACGAACCTAAGATGGGAAGGAGAAAGAGTTTTATCCCTGACACAGAACACCTGAAGAAGCATTTGCCTTTCGAATCAACAGGAAGTCACTTCTTCCTCTTGAATGCCAGGAAGGACAGGTGAAATTACGGATCCTAAGGGTTTTCAGAACTTGGTGATGAGACTATAAAACAGCCTTCTCAAGATGTATTCCATTTTATCATTGACATAAAAAGTAAAATCATCATCTGAGAGTGGGCGGGATGGTATGGGGGTGGCTTTCTTGTTGTTGTCAGGTTTATTATTATTTACATCTGTTAAAATTCACCCCTTTTCATGCAGAGTTTCATAAGGTTTAACACACACACAAACACACACACACACACACACACACACAGTTTTTGCTACAATCAGTATATCGAACAGTGTCATCACCCCCCTGCCCCAATTCCCTTGTGCCCCTTTGTAGTCAACTCCTCTCCTCTCCCCAGACCCAGGCAGTTTGGATAAGAAAGCCACACCCCAAAATGTGCTTATGCAAAAGGGGCAATCCCTCGGGGTCTTGAGGAAAAATGGAATAACCAAGGGGGTGACCCTTCAGCATCCCACATCCCCTTGGGCCTCCAGGCAGTCACCGAGCTGATTAATATCCTTATTCTGCCTTTTTGAGAATGTTGTATGAAAGGGAGCATTTGATGTTGTATAATAAATGTTGTATAGCATAAATGTTGTATAGTATGGAGCATTTGAAATTCATCTGCATTTCACGTGTATCAGTAGTTCATCAGTGTGTATTGCTTGAGTGCAATACTATTGTATCGATTTGGGTTATTTCCAGCTTTGGAGGATTCTGAATAAAGTCACTCTGGACACTCATGTACAGATTTTGAGTGAACATTCATTTTCATCTTTCATCTTTCTTGGGAAAGGAAAGATTCTACTTGGGAAGAGGATCAGTGGGTCATGTGGTAAATTTATGTTTACATTTATAGAAAACTGCTGAACCGATTTCCAAAGAGACCATACCATGGTTATGAGGTTTTCAGGCAAAAGGAGAAAGCATGAAATTGGCATCTTGGAGTGCAATGGTCCTTGTTTTCTGTTTATCCCCCATCCCTATCTCCATCCTTTGCCCTGCTCTATGCCTTGGAAGCCTGCCCCCACTGACGGCATCATGTTAATGTCCTTGTTGGCTGGCCCTTGGTGGGATTTGTCAACAGAGGCACCAGTGGGAGACTGGGGTGGGAGAGAAAAAAGTCTAGGTGTTTTTTCCCTGGTTCCTCCATGTCAATGGCTGTGTCCCTCCAAAACTGGTGCTCCTACCAGATGATGTTTTATCCATGGATCCAGAGCTCTCCACGATTCAGTAATACTGCTTCCTTCTCCTCTTGCCTGTTCAGATTTAAGGATGGAACAACTGCCCACTCCCGCTCATCTCTGAGTGCCCTAACATCCCTAGTGTTTCTCTTAATTTTGCCCACATCTCTTTGAGAGGTTTTTTCATTAAAGTCTTCTGAGACATCTATGTTGTACTCTATTTCTGCTAGGACCTTGACAAGTTGAGTGAGAAAGCACACTCTTTATTTGGGGGGCTGAGTAGGATTTCTAGAGTGTCTAGGGATTTCTAGGGTTGCTCCTTTGACATTTGTGCTCATGGATTTAAAGTGACTCCAGGCGCTCTGGAGACATGATTTGATCTGGTGAATTTCAGCTGCATTGTTGCAGGAATGGAGAACAGATCAGGATCAGTCAAGATGGAGATTGAAGAAGTGAGTGGGTGATAAGTGGAAGACCAAACTTGTTCGTATGCTTCAGGTCTCAGCTAAAAGGAACTATTTCTGGTCATTTGTCTAAAGAGACTTTCCTGACTCGTTCTATTTTCTCTGCTGACTGTTTCCTTCATTGCATGATCACAATTTGTCAATACCATGCTTCTTCACTTGTCTTTCCCCATGAAAAGCAAGCTTCACCTGCACAGGACTGTTCATTGTATTCGCTGCCACATCCCCTGTGCACTGACTGATATAAAGTATGGGTTGAATGAAGCTTAGAACTTTTTTACCCAATGCATTTTTTTACCCTTTTATCCTATGAAGGTGAGTTCACCACTAAGAAAATAACCCTGAATTCTCCCTAGTGACATTCATAGTTTTCATGTCAACACATTCCTTATACCTGGTATTTTCAATCTGAATCAGTTTTTTTTTTCCTGAGATTGTAAGTCGAGGGATATAGGCTGATAATAATTAGAAAGTTGATCATGAAGGTTCATACAAATTCAGATATGAATAAATAACTGCCCATCTATGCCCAGTGAGCAAGATCAGAATTTATGATGCTAATTCTTTGACTTACAGGCTGAACATGTGGAAATTGGTAGAAATGAGTTAAATCTAGATTGTTAGATTATCCAGAGAATGGGAACTCAGAGGAAGATTCCTTTCCCTCATTAAGAACTGAATCATTGACACGTACCTAAGGCTATGCCATGATAAATGTGAAATACTCATTTCAAAGACCTAAGTGGATGATCTTTTATACAAAGAAACAAGGTGTAGCAGTAAGGTAATAAGATTTACTTAAAAACTAGAATTAATAGAGACTTTAATCTATAATAATATTTCACTGCTACTTATAATGATTTTCTGAGGGAAGGAGGTTATTGCAATTTTTTACACTTTACATTATCTTTCATATTAGAGCATTTTTACAAGTCACATGTGTTACTATTGCATGCAGAAAAATATAAATATTTAATGTTAATAATTTCTAGCTATATTAAATTACTTTATAGGCAGAAAATAACATTAGTTTTCTTTTTTTTTTTTTTTGAGACGGAGTCTCGCTCTGTCACCCAGGCTGGAGTGCAGTGGCACAGTCTCGGCTCGCTGCAAGCTCCGCCTCCCGGGTTCACACCATTCTCCTGCCTCAGCCTCTCTGAGTAGCTGGGACTACAGGCGCCCGCCACCACGCCCGGCTAATTTTTTTGTATTTTTAGAAGAGACGGGGTTTCACCGTGGTCTCGATCTCCTGACCTCGTGATCCACCCGCCTCGGCCTCCCAAAGTGCTGGGATTACAAGCGTGAGCCACCGCGCCCGGCCATAACATTAGTTTTTTAACCTCTGCGGCAGTGGTAGTTCTTAGAGAATGCAGGCTTTTGAATGAGATGAACTTTGCATAGAATCCCACCCTCCCCTTGTCTGTCTAGCTGAATGATATACATTAAGTTCCTTTCCTCGAGCTCAGGTTTCCTCATCTGTAAAATGGAGATGGCAACTGTGAAATTCCCTGGGTTCCCTTGGTTCCTTTGGTTGTTGTGAGAATACGTGGTGATTTATTCTAGGTAGTCACCTTAGTTCCGGGCACGGTGTTAGCTCTATGGAAGTATGGCTTCAAAGTAATGTGCGCTTATTTCCTCCTGAGTCATCCTTGAAGTGATCGCTTTATGTTTCTAACAATTGTACCAATATTCTCTCAGGCTTAAACAATGAATTATGGTCAGTGTACATCTTCCTCAATCCCCATGGACAGTCAGATATCAATTCTGTTGACTGCTTTTTTACGTAGAATGACTAATATTCTCTTTTCCTTTCCATTTCCACTGCCACACTTTGAGTTTTGTCCTTACCCTCGTGTCACGCTGGTGTGACCCAGGCAGACTTCCTGATCCCTCCCACCCTACAAGCACCCTCTGTTTTCCTCACTCGCAGCCTGTCTCAGCCCCTGCCCCTTGGCTACAGGTGATTTCCCCATGTCTCAGCACAGTGCCTGTATTGTCTCATTTAAAGATACCGGCTGATATTCAGGCAGATTCTACCCATAGAAATTGATGTAATCCTCAGTGCGAATCCAAGATGCAGATTCTCCAAAGCAAGTCAAGAAGTCACATCTTCAGCCTGGGGTAGATGAGGTGCTCAACCAGTCTTGGTGAGTAAATGTTGGATGGCTTCTCAAGACCTACCAAACCACAATCTTACACAATGTCTGCAGCTTTTCATAAGAGAAGCCATCAACCAGGCTGCAGACCTCCCTGACTGCCATGTATGCCAGGCCTGACTAACAAAATATGCAATCATTACCCCCCACTGCTAGAATTGATCCATTCTTTAAGATCCTTCTCATAACCCAGCTCTTTTGAGAAACCTTTGTTGTACAATCTGCCTGTGTTCAAATTTTTTAGAACTTACTTTTAGTCAATCTGTATTTAAAAAAAAGCAAAATTGTGCTCTCTTTGGTATTGTTTACTCTTATTGGGTCATCTGGCCACAAGTTACTTGTGGCTTTTACTGAAGGCAGCAACCAGGCTCAACTTCAGCACAGAGTAGAATCTTGATGTTCACTGATAATTAACTAATATGTGAGATAGTATTTTAAAAATTTTTTGCAGGGTGGCCTTTGATACCAGAATATTGTGCATGAAGCTGAAGTTCTAATTTCAAAAATGCACAAAAGGCTCAGAGGGCTGAAGATGTGACTTCTTGGCTTTGTTTGGAGAATCTGCAACTTGGATTCACACTCAGGATTATACCAATTTCTGTGGGGAGAATCTGCCTGAATATCAGTCAGTATCTTTATATGAGACAACACAGAGGTATACTTTTCTACAAACTTGTTTACTGGTTTTCTGAAGGTCAGCCAGATAGGGGTAATTTGCTACGTTAAACAGATTCAAGCCGGATGAAATACCAGGTGTCTTCTGTTCATCTTCCCACCTTCCTGAAGCACCGTTAGAGCAGCCCCTTTGACGCCTTTTCTGCCTTATTTTTCTTCCTGGTACTTATCACGATACGACAAACTATATATTTCATTTGTTTATTTCTTTATCTTCCTCCATAATGACAAGGACTTGTTTGTTTTGTTCATTGCTGCATCCCTAGTGCCTTGGATAGTGCCAGGCACATAGCAGACATTCAAATCAGAACTAAGGAATGAATGAATGGGTGCGTGCCTCTGTCAAGAACCACCAAAACCAAAACAGACTTGGTGACAAATTACTGACTTATAATGGGGGAGCACAGTTGATGGGCTCTGGGGCTCTCTAGGACTCATGTAGAATTGGATGGGGCAACAGATATGTCTGGTGTCCCCAGCACAACTCCTTGGCCCATCTCTAATTTCAACCAAGCTGCTGTGGACAGCGTTTCATGCAAGCTCGGTTTACCTACCTTAAGAGCACTGAGGAAGGCTTTTCTCTTTCTGCCCTAGACTGACCTGGCAGGTGCAGCTAAGCCAGCATCACTGGAGGCATCCCAGCATCATGAGGGGCAGGAGGCATGGATAACACTCCAGTTGCCGTCATGCTGGTGGGCCATTCGAGAAGCATTTTGCTTGTGTCAGAAGGTCCTGGTGGAACTGTTTTTTTCTCCTTCCCTGTGTTGTCACTCTTCCTGCTCTCTCATTCTTGCTTCCTGGGATCACCTCCCACATGAATTCCCTTGTCTCAGGCTTTGCTTTCGAGGAAACCCAAACTTAAACAAGTAGAGTGTTCATGTAAACATGATGATGAGTTACTGAAGCAATTTCCTGTCCAATATGATTGTGTTGGCATTTGATTAGGAGTCGAACTTAGATTCTTGTTCTGGCTGCATCAAAGCTTCTTCCTCTTCTTCTTCTTCTTCTTCCTCTTCCTCCTCTTCTTCTTCTTCCTCTTCTTCTTCAACTTTTCTCTGTGAGTCTTGCCTAAGACTTTTTTTTTTTTTTTTTTTTCCTGTGAGTAGGAAAACCTAGAAGTTGTAGGTCCAGGGTATTTCTCTTCTCACATGGTTCCTGGCTTACCTTGGATTTGCTCTTGTTCGCAGCTGCACAGCTCAAGTGGTGCGCAGAATAATGAGAGGTAAAGAAAGATGTATCCTTCAGAGGTCAGACCCACCTCCACCCCCAGCTGAGGGCACATGAGCTGATTCTGGCCTTGAGGTAGAAATTCCGTCACCAAATCTTCCTGCCAGAGGCTGTTTTAGCTATTTGATGGAGACTGTTTTCCAAGTGTCTGACTTACGTTTCTTTTTGTTTGTTTGTTTGTCTGAGACAGAGTCTCGCTTTGTCACCCAGGCTGGAGTGCAGTGGCGTAATCTCGGCTCACTGCAACCTCCATTCCCTGGTTCAAACAATTCCCCTGACTCAGCCTCCCGAGTAGCTGGGATTACAGGCGCATGCCACCAAACCCAGCTAATTTTTGTTTGTATTTTTAGTAGAGATGGGGTTTCACCACATTGGCCAGGCTGGTCACAACCTCCTCACCTCAGGCAATCCGCCCTCCTCAGCCTCCCAAAGTGCTGGGATTACAGGCGTGAGCCACTGCGCCCGGCTGTGTTTCACTTTTTTAACGACTTGACTTTTTCAAACTACAGTTGACCTTTGAACAAGGCAGGGTTGGTTAGGGGCACCAGCTCCTCTCACAGTCAAAAATCTGCATATTCTTCTTGACTCCCCCAAAACTGAACTACTAATAGCCTACTGTTGACCCAAAGCCTTACTGATAAAGTAAACAACACATACTATGTATATGTATTATATACTGTATTTTAAAGTAAGCTAGAAAAAAAGAAATGTAATTAAGAAAATCGTAAGCAAGAGAAAATGTATTTACTATTCATTAAGTGGAAGTGGCTCATCATGAAGTTCGTGTCTTAGAAGGTCCTGGTGGAACTGGTTTTTTCTCCTTCCTTTCTTCTCATTTCCTTCCTTTCTCTGATTTCAAACACACTGCAGTGGACAGCGTTTCATGCAAGCTCAGTTTACCTACCCAATGTTGGGTAGGCTGAGGAGGAGGAAGAGGAGGGGTTGGTCTTGCTGTCTCAGGGGTGGCAGAGGCGAAAGAAAATCCACCTGTAAGTGGACCCACGCAGTTTAAACCCTTGTCGTTCAAGGGTCACTTGTAATTTATAACAAAACCTACACACCAGGTGAAAACTGTTTGATGCCAAATTCAACAAAATGTAAACGAGCATATTAATTTTTGCTCCCGTGTCTCCTCATTCCTCTGCATGAGACAGTGCCTACCATCTATCTGCTTATATGTGAAAACGCCTTAGACATGTCTTTGGTAAAGTATGTAGCGTCTTGGAACTGAGTTTAAAAAGAAGATCAGGCCAGGCGCAGTGGCTCACGCCTGTAATCACAGCACTTTGGGAGGCCGAGGCGGGTGGATCATGAGATCAGGAGATCGAGACCATCCTGGCTAACACGGTGAAACCCTGTCTCTACTAAAAATACCAAAAAAAAAAAAAAAAAAAAAAAAAAAAGAAAAAAAAGAAAAAAAATTGGCCCTGCGTGGTGGCGGGCACCTGTAGTCCCAGCTACTCAGGAGGCTGAGACAGGAGAATGGCATGAAGCCAGGAGGCGGAGCTTGCGGTGAGCCGAGATAGTGCCACTGCACTCCAGCCTGGGCGACAGAGTGAGACTCCGTCTCAAAAAAAAAAAGAAGATCAAACCCACACAAGCCCACTTGAGTATGACTGTGATAGGTGGTACATTCTTGCATCCTGTGTACCTCATGCCACATGTGTTAAGCATTGTGTGCCCATCGGTTGTGTGATAACAGGTCCTATAATGATATTATTATGTCACTGATTTTCTTGTAAGTTTTAGGTGCTTGTTATTTAACTTTCTTTTTTTTAAAAAAGAAATAAGAAATGTGAGCAAATTTTAAATATTGTTAATAAATCAAGTTCTGCTGCTCCTCATTCAGCCCCCTGGACCTATTTTATTGAAGACTGTCATGAGCTTGTTGACTCAACATGTCAAAAACAAGCAGACAGACCTGTTATATACAATGACTTTTCCATGTCATTTTGGATTTTTCTGCACAATCAACCAAAATATGGAGACAAATTGGTTGCCACAACTCGATCTTAAGCTCTGATTTCAAATATTTCTATTTATAAAAATAGCTTCCTTCTTTTGTTAGTGATATAGATTTGAACTAAAAAAAATGATGAATACTGCTTTTTTTCTATGTTCTATTTTGAGGATCTGTGTAAAATCAAAATTTAAAGAGCTTTTGCTGCTAAAAGAAATATTCTGAAAGCCACTTATAGGCACTGCCGTGAAGACCACCCAGAGCAGAGCGTCAAACTCTAATCGACCACCGCCTTTCACTTAAACTCACTCCCAATCATCCTGGCTCTAGTCTTCATCTTTAAAATCTCTGGCCTCTTACTTTTTTTCTATTAGTACTAGGTTGGGATGAAAAGAAATCTGACATACTTAAATTGAAAGGTTATGATAAGGACATTATTAAGGGTGCACGTTTTAGTGGATGGATACTTTCTGGAAACCAGATTATTGCCCATATTCAGTGTAACTGGTTAAATGGCCACGTGAGCACTAAGGTGATGCCGTGCAAAGGAGGTGAGATTATGTGCATCGTTGCCTAGAAATGATCCTTATCCTCTTTTTACCTTAAAGCCTTTGTCTCATCCTGTATATTTTTACTGTGAAGCCTGTGATCTATCCTGAGTATATACCCTGCAGCCCAGGCATTTTTTTTATAACTAAAAATCAATTCCAGTACTTAGGATCATTATCATCATTCTCATCCTGACCCATAAACTACATAACTCCTCCTCTGACACTCTTTGGGATGTGAAAAGTATATGTATAGATGTGCAACTTTTGTTTTCATTTAAGCTGTAAAAAATGCTGTATATAAGAAATTTTTTAAATGAAAATAATGAAGTTTAATGTAAATATATCTCATGATTTTTTGATTAATATTCATTGCTTAGTACCCATCAGTAAATGAGTTCTTTTTTTCTGACCCCAAGGAAACCATAAAGAGGAATCTTATAGAGCCTCAGATATCTGCGTCCCAGATTGGTCTGGACTATTTGATGTAGAAAGAGACACATTCACTGGGATGGAAGAAGATAATGTACTGGAAAGGAGCCAGAATCATGATGTAGTGGGCACTTGGGATTAACTGGATTTCCATATATAGAGATCTCCTATCCATGAATTTAACACCAACAATTTATTTCAAAGCCAGTGATTTAGAACATGTAATTTAGAGTAATGTTATAAATGGTGGTTTGGCTCCTTCTGCCTGTGTCATATCTTACGGTTGCCCTGCATAAAGTAATCCAAAGGAAAGTTGAACATGGCAGTAGTGATACACAGTATCATTACTCTGAGTGGTCTGAGTCTACTCTCTATTCCCTGGGTAAGAAAATTGGGTAGTATTAAAACAATAAATGACACAAAAATCAAAAGCATATATGGACAACACTCCTATGGTATTTGGTTATACAAAGTACAATCTGAATAGGAGTCGAAAACCAAGTTTTACTAGTATGAATGGGACTTGGACAGGCTCATTCACCTCTCTCCGCTCAGTAATGACATTTGTGAAATGGAGACAACATCACCTACTAAACTTACATTTAAGAACAAACGTCATGCCTGTCTGAATGCAAAGCAGCATGGCTAGAGAAGAGCTCAGAACAATGCCAACTCAGTTCGTTTTAAACAAAGAATTGTAAATATCAAATGGGTGAATGATCCTATGTTTCTTTAGTCAATTCAAGCTCCCTAAGAGCGATTTCACTTTTCCTCTCTCCTTTTTTTTTCCTCAAAGAAGAGAAGCAAGATGCCCACATATTCTACCTCCTAATCTGCCAGCCAACCTGCACCTCTACCCATACATCCCACTTTTTTTTCTGATGTGAGAGGTGAACTGTCTGTTTCCTGATCCCAGGTGTCCACCTCCATTTGTGCCCTGAATCTCAGGTCTTCTTGCCTACTTAGGAGGATTGCTTCTACAACTGCTTCCCTTCCCTCTCTTAGATGATCATTTTCCCATCTGCTGGCTCATTCCCTTCAGCATATAAGAACACCATATCTTCCATCTTACAAGAACCTCCATAGACCATGCAGACTTCTCAGCTACCGTCCTGCTTCTCTACAAACTCCTATAGCCAAGTTTCTCTGGGAGAGTTTTGTGTAGTGGCTCTAACTACAGCCTCCTTGCATTCTCTCCGGAATCAACTCCAATCAGACCACTTCACCGAAATTTCTCGTTAGGCTGCCAATAACCTCTGCGTGGCCAAATCCCAGGTCATTTGCTTGTTTTCATCTCACTAAATGTGTTCACAGGCTTCAGGGCAGTTAATCACTCTCTCTTCCCCTGAGATACTTCCAGGCACCACGTGCTCCTGGGTTCCCTCCTTTTCTGCTTCCCTTGATGATGCCACTTTCTCATCCCTATCAAAAGGGAGAAGTGACTCATGGCTCAGTCCTGGGACCTCTTCTCTGGTCACATTCATTCCTCTTGACTTAATCTATTCTTGTGGTTTTATATCTAAAAGCTGATAACTCCAAAATTTATCTCTCAATCCCATCCTCTTTCCTCCACTTGAGACTGCTGTATCCAATTGTCTTTTGAACGTCTCCATTTAGATGAAACACAGACATGTCACGAATTATCTGATTAAACTTCACTCTTGATTTCTGCCTACTTTTCCTCAAATGAAAACACAAGCAAATGAACACACTTCCCATCTCATCTAGATTAAGTTCTAAATCCCTCAGCATTGCTTACAAGGTCCTACATAAACTTGCTGCTGGCTCTTCTGTGACCTCATGTTCCACAAATCTCTATCTGGCTCACGCTAGGCACGTTGTCCCCCAGCCTTTTTCTTGATCATTGTGGGTGCTGTCCCACCTCAGGGACATCATTGCTGTTTCCTTGGTCCATAACAGTCTTCTCTGAGATGTCTGCAGAGCTGGCTTACTCACTATCCTGATAGCATGTACTTTCTAGTGTTTGATGGTGATGGTCACACAGGATTTGTTAGGCAATGCAATCAATAAATAAAAAGAAGTGTATTTGGTGTCAAGTAATCATAGTCCTTATGCAGAAAAGTAATAACACAGGACAAGGAGGTAGAAAGTGCTGGAGATCTGGGGTGGTATTTTGGATGTGATAATTAGGGGAGGCCTGTCCAGTAAGGTGACAGTTGAATGACAGCCTTAAAGAAGTGAGAAAAAAGTTTCTATTTGATGGATTCACAAGTGACAGAGTCACTGAATAAATACAAGAGCACGGACATTTCTACACTTTCAATAGTCTTCCTCTCAATTTTAAATCTGGTACATTTGCCAATCTCTCTAAAATTACTGAACCTTTGAGGAAATAATACACAAGTTAATGCCCCAAGTATTTGTGACACTGAGCCCTTCTCTTAAGTATAAAGATTAATTATGTGTATTAATTAATGAACATTAACATACAATATAATTTTTTGACTCAAAATTTCATTTTTTTATTATATTTTATATCACTTCTAAAATAATAAAATACAGGAGATAGAAGGCATGTCATGTTTTGATTTAGTGGAAATACATTCAATGTTTCACCTGCAAGTACAATCTTGGCATATCATTTCATATATTCTCAATCATATCACGTTTATTAAGAGTTTTTTTGTTCTATTTTAAATAGATTTTTCATTCTATCCAATGCACTTCAGCCTTTGTAGAGATGGAATATACTCTTCTTTATCTAATAATAGGATGAGTCATATTACCACAAGCTCTAATATCCATACGTCTTAGTTTGTTTGGTCTTCTATAACAAAATATCTGAGATTGGGTAACTTATAAAGAACAGAAAATTATTTTATTACAGTTCTGGAGGCTGGGAAGTCCAAGATCAAGGCACCTGTATTTGGTGTCTGGTGAGGCAGTTCTCTCTGCTTGCAAGATGGTGCCTTGTTGCTGGGTCCTCTCTGGCAGAAGGGTAGAAAGAGCCTAGCTAGTTTCCCCTTGGCCCTTTTATAAGGGCATTAATCCCATTCGTGAAAGCTCCACCCTAATCACCTCCTATGCGCTTCACCTCTTAAAGCTATCACATTGGTGATTAAGTTTCAACATATGAATTTTTGGGGACACACTCAGACCATAGCACCTTAGAATCCTGGAGTTGGTTTTGCCTGATTGTGGTGATGATGTATATTTCTATTAATCCACTTCTGGAGTCAATTTGTTAGTGTTTAACTTAGAATGTTTACATCTGTATTCACAAATAAGATGGAGGATCAACTTCTCTTTCTCTGTTTTGACAAATTACTGAATTAGTCATATTAGATCTGGAAGAGAACCAAGAATCTTCTTTCTTATAATATGTTCTGGGTACAATTTAAATGGCATATGAGTTATCTGGAGCTTGAAGTTTTGAAATAGAAAGTACCCATAAATTCCTTTGGGCTGGTGCTGTTCTGAAAGGAAGCACTTTAATACATTTTTAAGATTCCTTTTATGATTACAGCTACATTTAGAGTTTTAATTTAATTATGAGTAAATTTTAAAAACATGTATTTTTAAAAATTTTGCCTATTTTATCTACATTTTAAAATATATCAAAATAGATTTGTACAAACTATATACTATTTTATTAAATTTTCTCTGCATGTCTTTTCTAATTTTGTGTATTTGTGTTTCCTTCATTTTTATTTTATTTTTATTAATTTGTGCATTCGTATGTTCTTTTTTATTTCCTGATTAGAATAGAATGTACGCTTCCACTGCTTAGTTATTTTCGGAAACAGTTCTTAAGTCAGTTGATGAATTCTGGTCTTCTCTTCTCTACTTCAATTAAGGGACTTTATGATTGTTTGTATTGCTTGTGTCTGCTTCTTCCTTTGGGAGACACTGTTTTATGTAAGAATATGTATTAGATTAATTGGATCTATCCATGAAGTTGATCATTTCTCTCTCATAACATTTATCTGTAATCTTCATCTATTCTCTGGAGGGGTTTTATGAACTGATAACCAAATGCACTAATTTGAGTTGTTTTGCTCTTTTCCATTCTCCAATTTATTTTCTTTATTCATCATGGTCTGATTCTGTTTTGCCAACATTGAATTTTGCTGAGATTAGAAATAAAAAAGAAAAGACTAAATTCGATGTGGTCCTCTGCATTGGATCTTGGAACAAAAAAGGAAATTTAGTGGATAAACTGGTGAAAAATTGTATCTTCATTTTGGAAAACAGTTTGACAATTCCTTATAAACTATATATAGTTACTATACAGCCCAGCAATCCCACTCTTAGGTATTTTCCTTAGTGTATTTAAGAGCTTCCATCCATGCAAAAACCTGCATAAAAATACTTATAGCAGCTTTATCCTATAATCACCAAAAACTGGAAAAGGCCAGTGGCTAAATTGTGATACATCCGTACAAAGGGATACTATCCAGCAATGAAAAAGACTGAGTGATCGATGCACACAACAACACGGATGAATCTTAAATGCATTTAGCTAAGAGAAAGAAGCCAGACCCAAAAGCCCACACAGTATTTGATTCCACTTCTATACATTCTGGAAAAGACAAAACCATCAAATTGGAAAACAGATCAATGGTAGCAGTAACTTTGACTACAAACAGGGTGCACAAAAAATTTTAGGGTGATGAAACCATTTTTCTATGAACTACGGTGGTGAATGCGTTTGTCTAAACCCAAAGAACTAAACATCATAAAAGTGACTTCAGTGTATGCATATTCAGAAAATAAACCTATGTGACAAGAGATCCAAGATGGAATGTAGACTGATGAGTGAATTTAACTGTATTACATATGTTAGTTGGAATCACTGAGGGGCTGGAGGAAAACAAGAAACTGATCTAGGTAACTTTGGAAAACAATATTTTGACTGGGTACTGTAGGGCTGAAGACAAAAGGAACTGTATATAAACTCTGTACTCTTGGTGGTAACATTGTTCTTTGTGGAGATACAGGTTAACAATTATGAGATTGCTTTACTTATATACTGGGGGTTGAACAAGGAAGTAAATGGATGGTGGATAGTGAGAACCAAGTTTCTCACTGCTGGAGAGAGACATTACAAATCAGCAAGGAGCAAAGTCTAGAATGAGCCATATGACACTGGACTCGGGGGAGGATACCAATATGAACTCATGTTTAGCTTACACACACAGAGAACAGCTACAGAAATAACTATTGACGTGTGTATACAGTGGTTAGTAGACATATACATACATCCTAGCTCTGTCTACCGAGAGGTTCTAGAAACGATACTCCAGTAGCAACATCACACTCAATGTATAGATCTCGGTTTCTAAATACCGTTCTTTAATAAAAGGAACATGGGATCCTTGGGGAAGTAAATTTTTCTTGGGATCGGACAGAGAAAACAGAAAAGAAATTTTCTTACAGAAAAATTCCGAATAGTATATTTAGACAAAGCCCCTCTGGGAAGTGGAGCTTACTGCCGTTCCCCCTCCCTTAAGTGTACGCTGGACTTAAGAGACTCTCTTCGAAAGAACAGAGTATGGAAAGAAAAAACAACTAACTTCATGGCGGAGAAACCTGATAACCAATACTTTAACCAGGAGATCAAGGTTAATATCACCAGTGGGAAATCATGTTGATATCATGCACTGCCTGATGCAATGGGATGAAAATGTCCCTCATTCCACCTCTGCAGTATTCTCCATCAAAAGCCAATAGCCCTAATCTAATCACAAGGAAAACATGAGAAAAGCCCAAATTGAAGGTCATTCAAAACACCAAGTACTCCTCAAAAACTCCAAGGTCTTGGAAGACAAGGAAAAAGACTGAGAAACTGACTGACTAAGGGAGACTCAGGGGATGTGAGGACTAAAGTCAATGTGGTCCCCTGCATTGAATCTTGGAACAAAAAAGGGAATTTAGTGGACAAACTGGTCAAAGCCAAATAATGAATGTAGTTCAGTTAGTAACATACCAGTGTTGATTCTTAAGTTCTGACAAATGTACTATAATTATATAAAATGTTACCATAGGGGAAATTGGGTGAGGTATATAAAGGAACTTTCTGTGTTATCTTTGCAACCATTCTGTAAATCTAAACTTATTCCAAATGAAAAGTTTATTAAAAATATTTCTTCTCTTGTTTCTTACAGCAACTGTTTTATCAGGGGAGGGGGTGACAGTAGGGGACATTTGCTCTAAAAGTTGAAGTAAACCTTACAATTGTCTTCTCTTCTCATATCTGCTGCTATTTCTCTGGCTGTTCCTTCGTAGAGGAGGAGGTCCCTGCTCACTATAGGTGGCACTTGCAGGTGACTCTCTCCATAATTTTTTATTCAGGGGCAATCTGTCCCATGGGCAACCCAAAGCCGGTGAGGACAGAGTTCCTCATTGTCAGAGCACCACCTCCGTGGAGACCCCACTGCCCAGTGGCTAGCCCAGCGTCAATCCCACTGGGTTCAGGTAGTAGTGTGGGCTGTAGTGCCTCAGCACCCTTTTGCTTTGTGTACCTAGCCTAGAGCTTCAAGCAGCCAACATCAGCCCTAGATTTGAAGTCATTGGATGCTACCAGTGGGAAATGGAGTCTCATTATTTCCCTCTATGGGCTAGTTCTTCATTTTTCTTGAAGAGCGGTTGGTTTGGCTTTTCCCCTCAGTGATCTGTCACCTTTACTTTTTCCCACTGAAACACCATGAAATTCCCGCTAATGGGAGAATTATTCCTTACATTCTAGTGGTGGTACACAGTTTTCCTTACATCATCGGATTGGTCAACATCAGCGGGAACTGTGAGATTAGTGGTCAAATATGCAGACTTGGACTGCCATTCTGAATCAAGCTGGTGATTTGGAAGGCAGTGTCTTAGAATTTAGCAGCCCGAAGGCAACACAATTTTAGAGAACGTTTTTAGTCTTACCTTGGTAACCTTTAAATACAAAGAACCCAAAACACTGAACTTATATTTCTGTATCAGTGTCAAGAATAAAGTAATATTCTATTGTCTCCAGTATGGAGAATGAGATAATTTGTATGCTTGCTACTTTTTCAGAGATATAACTTCCTATAAAATTCTATTATTGGAGGTATAAGTTTTCAAAATTGTGAATTTTTATTGTATTTCTCCCAGGAAATCTGTTGCAAAAAGAACACTAGACTCTTGTGCCTTTGGATTGCCTTCTAGCTTTTGAAATAGAACTGCATGCTTCCTGTTTGGTGATTTTTCTCCAGGCTTCATAGGTCCTATTTGGTATTGGGAGATGGATGGACTCGGAGTGTGTTGGGTTGTCTACTCTCCCTTCTTACTTCCAGCCAATTTCTCTGTGGTTTATTTTGCCTTGTGAGGTTTCCTCTTTTCTTTCATCTTTTAGTACATTTGCCCTCCAAATGTGGTGACCTGCGTGTTAATAAGCTCTTACCTTCATCTAGACTTACCTGCTTTATATTTTCTAGAAATCCCTCAAGGTTTCTGGCAGTGGATACAATCCTTTCTTAGTTTCCAGTAGTGATGTGGATTTCCCTCTAAATTCTACGCTAGATTCTTTGGTCAATTCACTAGGAATTTGGGGTGGAAGGTGGGAGGAAGGTGTAGTTGAGTTCATGGGGCTCAGATTCCTCTTTCGAACTAGAGATCTCTGCTATGCTTTATTTATTTTATAACCCGGGTACGTCTTTTCTTTCTAGATATCAAGTTCCTTGATGCTATACTTCTTGGGTTCAACAAAGCCTTGCATATAAGGCATTCAATAAATATTTGCTGAGTGAATGAACTGAATGATTGGATTTAGAGGATATTCAATTTAATTTAGTCACTGAGATGGTCCCCAGCATTAAAGACACTGCTTTCTAATCTTGGCTTTCTCCCGGTTACACACTGTCATAGTTAGCAACTGGTTGTTAAGTCAGACTGATCCATGTACTGTAATGTTTCTCCTCTACCTGGCTCTGGGCTGAGCTAGACTTGGTTGCTGCAAGCTGCAGGCAGGGAATTATTGGTGGACAATGACTCCTACCCCAAGAGCAAACTCCATAAATGGCTCCCCACTCAGAACCCAGCGGGAAGGATGCAGGAAGGACAATAAGGTTGCTCAGCGTGTTCTGCACTGTGGATAAAGAACAATTCCTGACAAAATGAGGAGGTTGAAGCAGTTTGGAGATTAAAAAAAAATTCCTGCCTGTCATTCTATTGCATGGAGCTATATTCGAATTTTATCTGGTGGATGTGATTCTCTTTGATCAGGTTGGCCGTTTGAAGGGATTTGGCACAGAATAGATAATCCCAACTTTGAGCATAAATCAGGGGCTGTGGGCTGATGGATGCCTGGCACTTTCTTATGATAATGTATGATTGTGGAATAGCAGGGAAAATACCACAGCCTTATCTCAGTGCAGCAGCAGCTGGGGGAAAGAACCTCGAGCCCAAAGGGAAGAGGGGGCAGGGGCATAAGAACTTAGTGATTTTTTTTTTTTTAAAGGAATTGTGAAACTGAGCTAAAAGTGTTCTGGGATGTGGCTGGAAATGCAGCATTTTAGAATCTGCCGGTGGCAAAGTACCGGGCAAAAGGAAATATGACTGGCAACCCGTCCCCCTGAGTATGCTCAGTTTACAGTTGCTAGAATTTTGGAGAACATCAGCTGCTTGCATCCCCCTTCTGGAAACCCCTTAGCTGTGAATGGGAGAAGAAACCACTGCCAGCCTCCCGGGACGTGTTCTGCAACATCTAACACATGTGATGGGAAATTCTCACCTCTAGGGAGGTGCACACATTGTGGTCTAAGATAAAAGGGCTATTCTGAGAAGAACCCAAGGTGGGCACCCAGGGGCCCTGGGTCTGGACAGAGCCATTCCACACCAGAGTGTATAAATGAAATCTACCTTCATCTCTTTGGGTGCACAGTACTCCATGCTTATTACTACAAATAAGAAAGAAAATGGAACTGGGTGGTATTAAATGTCTAGTATATTATCATTCATTTAGTTGTGTTTTAACCATGCAGATTCCAACATCTGGCCCAGTGTTTCCAGATGGCCTCTTCCTACTAAGCAGGATGCACCTGCCCCTGGAACACATGTCCACATGCATCTCTTTTCGCTTACTAGGGGCAGGGAGAAGATGGAGTAGGGGGAACAATAGTCTTCCAAATTAAGAAATGTGATCAAGTGACCAACTCCTCTAAAAAATGCTGGTGTAAATAACCCTGCTGATATTAAACACATTAACAATTAGATAATGGTATTTAGTCTGCATTATTCAATTAGAGACTTTCTCACGCTCAAAAAATGGGCAGTGCTAGATGAAAAAATGAGGTTTCGAAGGCATCTTCTTATGGGTAGGAGGCAGCTGGTCAGTTCCCAAGATAGACTTTGACATGGAAAGCTCTTTAAGGCCAGGTGAGGTGGCTCACACTTGTAATTCCAGCACTTTGGGAGGCCGAGATGGGTGGATCACGTGAGGTCAGGAGTTCAAGACCAGCCTGGCCAACATGGTGAAACCCTGTCTCTACTAAAAATACAAAATTAGCCTGCCATGGTGGCTCACACCTGTAAATCCAGCTACTCAGGATGCTGAGGCAGGAGGAGAATAGCCTGAACCCGGGAGGCGGAGGTTGCAGTGAGCCAAGATGGTGCCATTGCACTCCAGCCTGGGCAACAAGAGTGAAACTCTATCTCAAAACAACAACAACAACAACAACAACAACAAAACTCTTAAGCTCTTTAAGAACTGGCATTAACATTTCCTTATCATTGACCACTGAGGGTCGTAGAGATGAATCATGTGGCCTTTCACACTTCAGAGAGAGGCTGTGACTGCCAACCTAGGGGAGACTCCACATTGTTTCCTGAGTACAAGGATCCTGAAAATGAACAAACAGCAGACACCAGCCTCCCTGGGACACATATTCATCCCTGGCTGGGTGATTTGCACACATGTTTAATTTCTTCTAGGAACAATGTAAACACAAGAAAGGAACTGTTCCTAAGTCTTCTCGCCTCTGCCTTCTCATCTAAACAGCAGCGCAGAATGCTTTAATAGCTAACATTTATTGCCCACTTAGCACATGTCAGACACTATTTCAGTTGCTTATGTGCATTACCTTATAAAACCAGGAAGAGAAAGGAGCTAAATATAAAAATATCTATATCTGCAAAGTGTAGATGCTAACACAGAAATAATTTTAAGAGGAATAATCTCAACACTTTCCTTAGTAATTTCCCTGTTGCATATGGCACTGAGATATCAACTCCAATTAAGTTGGAAAATTATACTCCTAAATATCCAAAGGCTTTAAAAATCTTTCTTCCATCTAGATTTGGTCTAGGCCTATGATCAGTGTAAAAGATCACACATTTTTTTGATTTAATAAAACAGACAAAACTGAAAAAAGTAAAAGAGCTCATAAGTAATTGCTAAGATCACTGAAAAGGTAGGTTAAATAATCAGAAAGAGAAGCTCATTTGCAGAGTCCTTCTGTGATGCAGATATAACATTTAGGGGCCCACCAGGCAAGCCATCTAGGGGTGGGCCTGCACAGACCCTCCCTGCACATTTCTGTATGGTAAACTCAAACTCTCAACCTTCATATCCTCCTTCCAAGGCTGGAAGGAGACTTGGTTTACTCCCAGGGAAAACACTGTTAAGATTGAGGAGCAAACTGATAAGAACTAGAAATGAAAGCTACTTTGTATCAACAGTCACATCGAGACAGCAGAGGCTGCTGCATATCAAGGCAACTAGGCTGTTGTAACAGCAACCTAATAGAGGGCTGAAGAAGAGGGAGACTGGGTTCGAGGAAGGAGGTTTACCAGAGCTCCAAGTCAACAGGGGAAGACAATGGTAACCTGCAACAGATGTGACCACAGGGCCCAGGAAAAACAAACTGGCAACTACTAGTCGTGTTCCTCTCTTGGTGAGACTGGAGGGGATTCCAGAAACATGTAATTGAGTAATTATCAGGGTTGGAAGGAAGCAGCTGATGGAGTTCAGGACACACTATCCCAAAATATGGCACCATGGCATTTGAGAAAACAGCAGAAGCAGGAAGGTCTCTCTGACTTTCCTTTTCTACCCTTCTGTCCTGAAGCAGATCACAAGATCCTCATGTGAGAAGTGACCTCCCTATACCCAGAGCAAAGGGGCTTCCTTCTCTCTGAAGACACAGGGGACACAGAGAAGAATCTATCAGAGTAGGTGGTTAGGCAGACATGAGCAGGGTAGGAGAGGGCCCCTGCCCACGAGGGTCAAGTGACCATCAAGTGATGGTCAGGCGGTTGTTAAACTGTCTAAAATGACAATAGGTCACAGCTGGCACCAGAGAAACAGTCTCCCAGTGGATAGAAAACACCTGAAGCTGGCGATCAGCAGCTTCCGGATAAGATCTCAGAAGTTGGGTGAGCAGGCTCAAGCATGCTCACTAAGAGGCAAAATGGCAGAGTTTAACCAGTATATGATCTTCCTCTGGTGATGTTCAACTGGTAAGGGAAAAATGCCTCAAGTTAGCATGTGTACAGCTTCAGTAAACACACTGCACATGCACACTGCACATGCAAACTGCACATTCTTAAGTGCTGGCAGGCTGCTGTGCATGCAGATAGCCATCCCTAAGAGAAGAACTGGGGAGAAGAAACACAAACCACCCAAATCATGTCAATATATAAAACCCCAAGTCAAGGGATGAATAAGGCACTTGGATCTCTCCAGTTGCCTGCTAGACCCTCTTCAAGGGTACTTTGCTGCTGACTTTTTGATGTAGGTGTTTAGGGCTATGAATTTTCCTCTTAGCACTGCCTTAGCTGTATCCCAGAGGTTCTGATAGGTTGTGTCATTATTTTCATTCAGTTTGAAGAATTTTAAAATTTCCATCTTTATTTCATTTTTTGACTCAATGCTGATTCAGGAGCAGGTTATTTAATTTCCATGTATTTGTGTGGTTTTGAAGGTTCCTTTTGGCATTCATTTCCAGTTTTATTCCACTGTGCTCTGAGAGAGTGCTTAATATAATTTCAATTTTCTTAAATTTATTGAGGCTCATTTTATGGCCTATCATATGGTCTATCTTGGAGAAAGTTCCATGCATTGTTGAATAGAATGTGTATTCTGCAGTTGTTGGATGAAATGTTCTGTATGTATCTGTTAAGTCCATTTGTTCCTGAACATAGTTTAAATCCATTGCTTCTTTGTTGACTTTCTGTCTAGATGACCTGTCTAATGCTGTCAGTGGAGTATTGAAGTCCTCCACTATTATGGTGTTGCTGTCTATCTCATTTCTTAGGTCTATTAGTAATTGTTTTATAAATTTGGGAGCTCCGGTGTTAGGTGCATCAAAAAGTCTGAAAGAGCACAAAAAGACAATCTAAAGTCACACTTCAAGGAACTAGAGAAACAAGAACAAACCAAACCCAAACCCAGAAGAAGAAAGGAAATAACCAAGACCAGAGCAGAATGAAATGAAATTGAAACAAAAAAAATTCAAAAGAGAAATGAAACAGAAAGCTGGTTCTTTGAAAAGATAAATAAAATTGATAGACCATTAGCAAGATTAACCAAGAAAAGAAGAGAGAAAATCCAAATAACCTCAATGAGAAATGAAACAGGAGATATTACAACTGACACCACTGAAATACAAAAGATCATTCAAGGCTACTATGAACACCTTTATACACATAAACTAGAAAACCTAGAAGAGATGGATAAATTCCTGGAAAAATACAACCCTCCTAGCTTAAATCAGGAAGAATTAGATACCCTGAACAGACCAATAACAAGCAGTGAGATTGAAATGGTAATTAAAAAATTACCAACAACAAAAAAATCCAGGACCAGATGAATTCACAGCAGAATTCTACCAGACATTCAAAGAAGAATTGGTACCAATCATTTTGACACCATTCCACAAGATAGAGGAAGAAAGAACCCTCCCTAATTCATTCTATGAAGCCAGCATCACCGTAATACCCAAACCAGGAAAGGACACAATCAAAAAAGAAAACTACAGACTAATATCCTTGATGAACATAGAAGCTAAAATCCTTAATAAAATACTAGCTAACCGAATCCAACCACATATCAAAAAGATACTCCACCATGATCAAGTGGGTTTCTTTCATACCAGGGATGCAAGGATGGTTTAACATACACAAGTCAATAAATGTGATACACCACATAAACAGAATTAAAAACAAAAACCACATGATCATCTCAATAGATGCAGAAAAAGCATTTGACAAAATCCAGCATCCCCTTATGATTAAAACCCTCAGCAAAATCCGCAAACAAAGGACATACCTTAACATAATAAAAGCCATCTATGACAAACCCACAGCCAATGTAATACCAAATGGGGAAGAGTTGAAAGCTTTCCCTCTCAGGACGGGAACAAGACAAGGAGGCCCACTCTCACCACTCCTCTTCAACATAGTACTGGAAGTCCTAGCCAGAGCCATCGACAAGAGAAAGAAATAAAGGGCATCCAAACTGGTAAGGAGGAAATCAAACTGTCCCTGTTTGCTGATGATATGATCATTTACCTTGAAAACCCTAAGCACTCCTCCAGAAAGCTCCTAGAACTGATAATTCAGCAGTGTCCAGATACAAGATTAATGTACACAAGTCAGTAGCTCTTTTATACTCCAATGGTGAGTTGGAGAATCAAATCAAGAACTCAACCCCTTTTAAAATAGCCGCAAAAAACATAAAATACTTAGGAATATACCTAACAAAGGAGTCAAAAGACCTCTACAAGGAAAACTACAAAACACTGTTGAAAGAAATCATAGACAGATAGGGTGCCGTGGCTCACACCTGTAATCCCAGCACGTTGGGAGGCTGAGGTGGGTGGATCACGATGTCAGGAGTTTGAGACCAGCCTGGCCAACATGGTGAAACCCTGTCTCTGCCAGAAATACAAAAATTAGCCAGGCATGGTGGCAGGTGCCTGTAATCCCAGCTACCTGGGAGGCTGAGGCAGGAGAATCACTTGAAACCAGAAGGTGGAAGTTGCAGTGAGCCGAGATCATGCCACTGCACTCCAGCCTGAGCGAAAGAGCGAAACTCTGTCCCAAAAAAAAAAAAAATAGATGACACAAACAAATGGAAACACATCCCATGTGCATGGACAGGTAGAATCAATATTGTGAAAATGACGATACTGCCAAAAGCAATCTACAGATTCAATGCAATCTCCATCAAAATACCACCATCATTCTTCAGAGAGTTAGAAATAACAATTCTAAAATTCATATGGAACCAAAAAAGGGCCCACACAGCCAAAGCAAGACTAGGCAAAAAGAACAAATCTGGAGGCATCACACCACCTGATTTCAAACTATACTTTAAGGCCATAGTCACCAAAACAGTGTGGTACTTGTATAAAAATAGGCACATAGACCAATGGAACAGAACACAGAACCCAGAAATAAACCCAAATACTTAGAGCTAACTGATCTCTGACAAAGCTAACAAAAACATAAAGTGGGAAAGGACACCTTTTCAACAAATGGTGCTGGAATAATTGGCTAGCCATATGTAGGAGAATGAAACTGTATCCTCATCTCTCACCTTATGCAAAAATCAGCTCAAGATGGATTAAGGACTTAAACCTAAGACCTGAAACTATAAAAATTCTGGAAGATAACATTGGAAAAACCCTTCTAGACATTGGCTTAGGCAAGGATTTCACGACCAAAAACCCAAAAAGGAATCCCATAAAAACACAGATAAATAGCTGGGACCTAATTAAACTACATTTTTGCATGGCAAAAGGAACAGTCAGCAGAGTAAACAGACAACCCACAGATTGGGAGAAAAATCTTCACAATCTATACAGCTGACAAAGGACTAATATGCAGAATCTACGAGGAACTCAAATCAGTAAGAAAAAAAACAATCCCATCAGAAAGTGGGCTAAGGACATGAATAGACAATTCTCAAAAAAAAGATATAAAAAATGGCCAACAAACATATGAAAAAATGCTCAACATCACTAATGATCAGGGAAATGCAAATCAAAACCACAATGTGATACCACCTCACTCCTGCAAGAATGGCTACAAAATCAAACAATAGTAGATGTTGGCATGGATGCAGTGAACAGGGAACACTTCTACACTGCTGGTGGGAATGTAAACTAGTACAGCCGCTATGGAAAACAGTGTGGAAATTCCTTAAAGAACTAAAAGTAGAACTACCATTTGATCCAGCAATCCCACTACTGGGTATCTACCCAGAGGAAAAGAAGTCACTATTTGAAAAAGATACTTGCACATGCATATTTATAGCAGCACAATTCACAATCACAAAATCGTGCAACCAACCCACATGCCCATCAATCAACGAGTGGATAAACTGTGGTATATATATAAATATACATACTATATAATATATATTATATATATAATGTGTATATACATACTATACTATATATATACAATATACAGTATATATAATATATATATATAGTATATATATACACAATGGAATACTACTGAGCCATAAAAAGGAATGATTTAACAGCGTTTGCAATGACCTGGGTGAGATTAGAGACTATGATTCTAAGTGAAGTAACTCAGGAATGAGAAACCAAACTTTGTATGTTCTCACTGATAGGTGAGAGCTAAGCTATGAGGACGCAAAGGCATAAGAATGATACAATGGACTTCGGGGACTTGGGGGGAAAGAGGGAGGGGGCGAGGGATAAAAGACAACATATATGGTGCAGTGTATACTGCTCGGGTGATGGGTGCACCAGGATCTCACAAATTACTACTAAAGAACTCACCCATGTAACCAAATACCACCTGTACCCCAATAACTTACAGAAAAATATAATAATAATTTAAAAAGTGTACTTTGCTTCCTTTCATTCCTGCTTTAAAACTTTTTAGTAAACTTTCATTCCTGCTCTAAAATGTGCCTTGGTCTCTTCCTCTGCCTTAAACCTACTTCTGCCCCTTAGCTGAATTTTTCCTCTGAGGAGGCAAGACCCTTAAGGATTCACAGGTGGCAATAAATCTAAACAGGCCCTGCTAAGTCCCTCTACTCTACTACCATTAGCTCACACCCCCTTTGTCCAGTCATACTTCCTGCATGACTGTCCACTCTTTATCAAACCTAAGCACAAAAATACACAGGTTTCCTGATTCTTGAAATCTTCATTTCTGAAGACTCCCATGTCACATGAAATTTACGTTAAATAAATATGTATGCTCTTCTCTTGTTAATCTGTCTTTTGTTATTAAGCACCTCATCCATGAACCTAAGATGGAAAAGAAAGAATTTTCTTTCCCCTGCACAGGCAGACAGGCATCTGGCAGGTAAATGCTGGGGCCAGGTCAGGTGGTTAGAGCCTGAGGCTTCCTGCCAGTGCCTGGGACTCAGGCTGTGCCGAGTGAGGGTCAGCTTGAGGTACAGAGGATCCTGGCTCACAGAGGGTGCCTCCATGTGGTGTGGGCCTTTTCAGGATAAAACTCAGGTGGCATTCTGCGAAGATGGACATCCACCTGGCCTGAAGGAAGAAAGGAGGGCACTTCTCTTTCTCAATGGCCCCCAGCCACCATCCAGGGAGGGGATAACATGTCAGTGCCTCCAAGTGAGGTGAGTGGGTTGACTTGATTTGTATTCTTCAGATTGCGATTGACCAGGAATTCTCAGTATTTCTGTAATTGTACCACTTAAATGTTTCATTTGATACTTTATGCAAATTAAAGTGAATAACAATCCTGAGGCAAGTATTTTAACTATTCCCAAGAGTTTAAGAAAAGAGCACTTTGTGGACCAGGAATATCTTGTGAAACTAAATACCTGCTGGAGTTCACTGAGGTGAGTGGGGGAGGGAGTCACAGAGCAAACAGGAGGATTCTTCTTCACCATGTTCTGTTTCCAGCGTGTTTATAAACAGTTGGAACAGCAGCGAATCCTCTGTTGTAGAACACTTTCTTTCTTTTTTGAGACAGGGTCTCACCCTGTTGCTGAGGCTGGAGTGCAGTGGCACGATCACAACTCAATGTAGCCTTGACCTCCCGGGCTTAAGCAATCCTCCCACCTCAGCCTCCTGAGTAGCTAGGACTACAGGTATGCACCACCATGCCCAGCCAATTTTTGTTTGTTTCATAGAAATGTTGTCTTGCCATGTTGCCCAGGCTGGTGTAGATACTTTGCTTTTACTTGTACTCTTCTCTCTAGCCGATTTGCTTTTTCCTCCCCTTAGTGTCCAAATCCTGGTCATCCCTCAGTCCAAATGCCATCTCTTCCATTTGAGGTTTCCCTTGTTTTCACAGCTGGCAGAAACCTTTCCTCTCTCACCTGTCTCCAGCTCTCATGCTGTTCCCATTATAAACTACCTAAAAATACTAGCTGACTTCCTAAAATTTTTATTTAAAATCATTATTTATGTACACATCCGAGCTCCATTCTAGACTGCTAGGTCTTTAATATTTACTGAATAAGTATATAGGAGGTCAAAAAGTTTTGGAGGAAAAAGAAAGCATAGAAAGTAATTGAGAAAGTTTCTTGATCACATAAATATGTAATATGTTTGGAATATAAATGAAAATTCTCAACCTAGAACTCTCTGAAATTTAGTAATATAGCATTACTGTATCAAGTAATGCTGATCAAATCAACTTGTCCCAACAAATAAAAATACTACTTCATAATTTAACAGATTTGACTGGCTGAATGATTCATGCAAAGATCACTTAACTGGGTTGTGGACCCTGATCTGCAACTAACTGGTTGGGTGACTTCAGATGATACATTTGACCTATGAACTTCCTTTTATTCTATCTTGTAGAATAAAATGGTTGAATGAGATGATTTTTAAGATAATCTTTAGGTTCTTTAAAGATGCTGTGATCCCATGGAATACTATGCAGCCATAAAAAGGATGAGTTCATGTCCTTTGCAGGGACATGGATGAAGCAGGAAACCATCATTCTCAGCAAACTATCACAAGGACAAAAAACCAAATACCACATGTTCTCACTCATAGGTGGGAATTGAACCATGAGAACACTTGGACACAGGAAGGGGAACATCACACACTGGGGCCTGTCATGGGGTAGGGGGAGAGGGGAGGGATAGCATTAGGAGATATACCTAATGCAAATGACGAGTTAATGGGTGCAGCACACCAACATGGCACATGTATACATATGTAACAAACCTGCACGTTGTGCACATGTACCCTAGAACTTAAAGTATAATAAAAAAAAATAAAGATGCTGTGATCAAAGAATCAGTATTTGTTGATTGCACTACCCAACGAATTTTGCCCCACAACCACCACCAAACGCTAGAGGATAAACTCTGTCAGGACGGTGAGTAAGGCCAGCTCTGCAGATATTTGAGAGAAGACGGTTGCAGGCTGAGGAAACAGCAAGTGAATGTTCCCGAGGTGGGACAGCACCCACAGTGATCAAGGAACAGTCCTGGGGGGTGATGTGCCTAGAACAGAGTGAGCCAGGCAGAGATCTGTGGGACGTTAGGTCACAGAGGTAGCCAGCAGAAAGCTTATGTAGGACTTTGTAACAATGGTGAGAGATTTAGAACTTAATCAAGATGACATGGGAAGTGTTTTTCAAGCACAGAGTGATATTATCTAGTGAGTATCAACACTCTGCCTTCTGTACAAAGACTAGGCTAGAAGGGGAGGGGACATTTGGAAGACCATTGAAATAGTTCAGGAGAGACCCACCCATACGGTAATGGTGGGGGTGGTGAGAGGTGACCATATTTGGGATATTCTCTCGCAAACTAAAGACAAAATTCTGAGTCCCCCACTGACTGAATGGATCCCCTCTTGGCCAAGGTGACCCCAGAAAAACCCTAAAAACTGAATTCCCAGCCATGAAGAGATGGGAAGTCAGACACAACTCATTATACCCTCTCCCTTTTGGAGTTTAGCCACAAGTGACTAGCATTAATGTTAAAATAGAAATCAAAAGACTACTAGAGCGGACTCTGTAACAAAAGATACCAAATTATAAATAGGGCCTAAGGTCATGCAAGGCAAAGGTTGAGTCACATCCCTTTAGAGGTCACTCTGACCCAATGTATTGGTTAACAGAAATCCTTATCTGAAAACATTTTTTTTTTCTGCTGATTCCAAAATTTTAGACAAAGCCTTACTCCTTCAATGAATTACAAATTAAAGAATCTCTAAATCCAACTATAACCTGTAAGTCCAAACTTCAACATGTCCTCCCTTTGGGGGCTAAACCAATGTTATCTTTCATGTATTGAGTTATGTCCTTGCTGTAACTCCTGTCTCCCTAAAATGTATAACACCAAACTAATGAGACTGCCGTGGGCGCATTTTCTGAGGACTTCTTGAGATTGTTCCCTGGGTCATGCTCACACACATCGGCTCAGAATAAACGGTTTTTCCATTAACTTTTTTTTTTTTTTTTTTGAGACAAAGTCTCGCTCTGTCGCCCAGGCTAGAGGAGTGCAGTGGCACTATCTCAGCTAACTGCAAGCTCCACCTCCTGGGTTCAAGCAATTCTTCTGCCTCAGCCTCCTGAGTAGCTGGGACTACAGGCACACGCTGCCATGCCTGGCTAATTTTTTTGTATTTTAGTAGATACGGGGTTTCACCGTGTTCCCCAGGCTGGTCTCGAACCCCTGAACTCAGGCAATCTGCCCGCCTTGGCCTCCCAAAGTGCTAGGATTACAGGCGTGAGTCACTGCACCTGGCCAACATTCTTAATATTGAGCTGACTCAGTTTGCTAAAAGTCTGGATGCCAAGTGTGTGTGTGTAATACATATATAGATATCTGCATGTATATATACATATTTATTTATATACATTTGTCAAGGATGTCTCCAAGATTTGGAGTCTGAGCAACTGAGAGAGCTGTTCAGTAGGGTGTTTGGTGAGTCACCACTAAGAAAGATCCACAAACAAACTGTTTTGGTTGAACTGCTGAGCTTTTGTGAACAAACCATGGAAATATGGTCAGAAGCAGAGGTTTCTACAAAGACAGCTGGAAAATCTGAAAGAGGGAGTAAGAATAGCCAGTTCTCATTAACCTGGCACTGAAGTAAACACTCTCTCACAAATGCAGATTTTTTTTTCCTAATAAGGTCCTAAACAGTTAGAAATATTTGGAACTAAATTTTTGTGTATTTTCTATCTAGCCAATGTCAATAGCTTCCAGCCAAAGACCACCAGGAACACACCTATAGATGAATAAGTTAGATCATTGCTTGTTACCGTGCAGGGTCCTCATAACATCCCCACAGAGTCCAGCCAGCTCCTAGGTGCCAGGGCTTGCTTACACGTACGAGCTCCTTAGATGAGGTCTTTTCACTAATGGACAGTCCTAACCTTGAAATTAATTTTATGGGCTAATAATAACAATTACGTCTGGACATTTGACACCATACTCCCGGTGCATGTAATCATCTTTACCAAATATTCCTCATGTATATTCCGCAGCTCTATTGATTTTGTTAGACTCCCATTCCCTTCGAGAGATGACGATTGGAGTGTAGAGGTAGATGAGGTACCCATTTGGTTATTAATTGGTAGAATCCTGAACACTGAATTACATTAGTGAACAATTGACCCAATTAGATGGCAAGATGATGAGTATACCAAATGGCTAATGACTAGTTTATTACAACTGTCTTAATTGATTAGAGTAAGTCAGCTGATCAACAATTTGCTCTGTTGCCTTCATATTTAACCATATTCTCACTTAACGCAAAACACAAAAGCACATCACCTGGATGGTTACTTCATTCTCCTCATTGTATATGCACAACCTACTTTTATTTTATCTTGATGGTACACCCATGATGACAGATGCAGTGCAGTACTTGGTGCTTTGCATATTTTGAAATGATCAGAGTATCATCCTTGAAAATAATTCCACCTTCAGTTTGTGCCTCCAGGGACACAATAGTTTATTCACATAAGAAACAAAAATGTCATCCATCTCTGTTGGCTTCACTCTCTGACAAATTGCCTCACTGTTTGAGACTTTCCCCTTTCTGCCTGCCCCTATATAAGATTAATTACATTCCTCTGTGTCACTCATTCTCTCCACCAATGTGTTCATTTTCTACTAACTTTATCCACTGATGTACTTCACCCCCCAGTGTTCCTAAGGAAGCCTGAAATTAACATAGCCTTTTTTAAATTACTTGGTTTTTCCAGGGTAAACCATCCCTTTGTGTATATCCAGAAAACTATGTACATCATTATCATCTGGCTCCCAAAGGTCTTCTCTCCTTATTAATCCTGTAAGTGATTTAGTTATTCTTCAATTTAAATAGAGACATGCCCAATTTCTAGTCAGGACAAATAAAATGCGTAATTTCTGTCACCTCCACCCTACCCTTAGTTTAATGTGCTTAACTTGAAAGTTGCTGGCAAACAACCTCCAAACACTTTTGTAAGAGCAAGGAAATTCAATCCTTAAGATGCAATGGTGGTAATTCTCTTTTGTAGCTGCTGGCCCAAAGTGAGTTCCTGGGCAGTTTTCATGGCAAAATATCCTGCCCAGGGTTCTACAAAGAAAAGTATAATTTAGGGAAAAGAGCCCTGGAGCTGGAATCAGAAGACCCGAATCCACATTTATCTTAAGTGTGTGGCTTCAGCTGCATCACCTAATGTTTCTGCTAGTACAACTTTGGCAGCCAGGAACAGACAACCCTAAGTCACCAGAATGTAAATAATAAGATTTATCATCTGATGCACTATAAGTAATGTGAAATGGGCAGGTTTAGGAGTGCTGGCCCTAGGCTCTGGATCTGTAGTTTTCCTTGGCTTTGTCCTTTTTTGTGTATTGGGTTCATCTATAGGATGGCAACAAAATGGCTGCAGCAACTCCAGCCATCACATTTAAATTCAACAACATCCCGAGGCAGTACAGTGACTGTCTTCTTCTCTTTAAGAACAAGCAGCCCTTTTCCTAACAGCTCTTGAGCACGACCAACTGGCCAGACCACATCACAAGTCTCCCTTAAGCCAATTATTGGTGAAAAGCATGAGGTTACCACAATTGGCTTAGACCAGTGGTTTGAACCCTTGGCTGCATATTAGAATCCACTGGGGAATCTTTTAATTATCACAATGCCCAGAGCATACCCCAGACCAATAAAATCAACCTCTGGGGGCAGAATCTGGTATCAATATTTTATAAAATTCCTCAGGCTGCTGATGTTGAGAACCACTGGCTAAGAGTAATTAGAATCTACTCATCAGTTTCTCTTAAATTATAAGGAAGAGAGTAGATTCTTGAACAGTATCGGGTTTCTGATGGGCAGAAGGAATGAGGAAAAAGATGATGGCTAGGGAACCATTATCTGCTTTCCTTCATTTCTCAGAGGCACGCCTGTGAAATGGAAGCCAGTACCTGTCGTACTCAGCTGCCAGGGTTGATGTGGCTCATTGTGAAATTTTAAGTCAGATATATATATTTATATATACATTCAGATATACAAATATACATATATACATATATGAATGATTATTCTTATTGCTCTTGTGCCCTGAGTGGACAAATGTCCAGGAGGTCTGGCCAGAGTTCAAGGCTCTCTACCATTTAGCCAAGTCAGGTTACAAAAGGTTACTTGGTTTACAAAGATCAAACACATGGAAAAAGGTAGGCAAACATAGGGCAGTTTTTTTTTAAATCTATTTCCAATTACTGACTATTCAGCACCTTGTGAGTAAACACCCAGACCAGTGATTCTCACACTTTTTTTTTTTTTTTTTTTTTTAGACAGGGTCTTGCTGTCATCCAGGCTGGAGTGCAGTGGCGTCATCATGGCTCACAGCAGCCTTGACCTCCTGGGCTCAGGTGATCCTTCCACCTTGGCCTCCCAGGTAGCTGGGACTACAGGTGCACACCACCACACCCAGCTAATTTTTTGTGTGTAATTTTTGTAGAGATGTGGTTTCACCATGTTGGTCAGGCTGGTCTTGAACTCCTGAACTCAAGCAATCCACCAGCCTTAGCCTCCCAAAGTGCTGGGATTACACGCATGAGCCACTGCAACTGGAGGTTCTCAAACTTAAGGCTGCATAAGAATCACCTGGAAGGCTTGTTAAAAGTGATTGAAAAGCCCCACCCCCAGAATTTCTAATTCAGTAGCATTCAGTAGCAAACAGCATTTGTAATAAGTTCCCAGGTGATGTTGATACTGCTAGTGTGGGAACTTTGTTCTTATCTCCATTAAGGTCAAGGTACTCAAAGTGTGGTCTGGGGGCCAGGATCTTCAGCATTATTGAGAAATTGTTAGACATGCAAATTCTCTGCTCCCGCCAAACCTACTGAACCAGAAACTCCAAAGCCTAACAGCCCTATTCCAGAGTTTCTGATTCAGTACCTGCAACAAATCCTCCAGCTGATGCTGATGCTTGCTAATGTTTGAGAACAACTGATCCTTCCTGGCTACACATTAAAATCATGGAATTAAAAAATCATAAGACCTGGGCTTCACTCCTAGGCATGCCTTTTAAAAATTGCCCAGGTGGTTACAGTGCGCAGCTAGGGTATGAGAACAGCAGTACCTCTCAACTTTCCATGTGCTAATTACTTGGGATCTTGTTAATATGCAGATGCTGATGCAGTAGTCTGGAATGAAGCTTGAGATTCTGCAATGTTAAGAAGATCCTTGAATATGTGGCTGATGCTACTGGTCTCCCAGCCACAGTTTGAGTAGCAAGGATCTATGTAGATGATTAACAGACTCCCTCCACTCCCACCTCCATGCTGCTTTAGTGAATTGACATGCATCTTTTGAGAGGCTTGGCTTTTTTCCAAGCATCACTGAGAAACAGAGTGTAATCTAATGGGAAGCTTTAAAGCCTCTTCTCGTACATAGCTAGGCTGATTGCCCACTGTGTCCCTGCTCTGTGGTTTTCAGGGTCTCCCTTTAGAATGAAGAGGTTGGCTGAACCCACACAGCTGCAGCCCCATTGCTCCAATCAGAATCATCCCAAACTCCCACACAGATTCCTGCAGTTGCTCTCTCTTCTCCTTGCCCATCCCAAGATGTGAGCAGTGTCTTTTTCTTACCAAAAAGTCTGGCATCCCAGTGACCCTAGAGGGCATAATATCTTTGAGGTATTTAAGTCGAATCATACGCTTTTACCCTACCCTGATGTAACCAACTACATTTCTAATTATTTTCATGGGGGAACCATACAGTTGACTCTCCATATCCTTGGAACCCATGGATACAGAGGACTTGAGTATGCTGGGATTTTGGTATCCTTGCAGGTAGGGATCCTGGAACTAATTCCTTGTGCAGACGACTGTACTGACCTAATGTCAGTGAACAGGTGGACTTTGGGAGACCAGGTGACCCTTGTATTCTGTTTATGGGACAGGCATAGGACTGGGTTATTTTTTCAACACTAGCAGGACACAGAGGATGCAGAATAAATAGGGGGATGTAGGAATGAAGAAATTTGTCATTGCTATCATTTTCAGTAACAATGAAACTAGGCTGAAATCTTCAAGGGTCATCGTTCATGCCTCAGTTGTGCAGTTGAGCCCACATTAATAGACAAGATGATTTCCAGATAATCCAGATGATTAACAGAAGAAATAAATCATAAGTGATGGGTGGGTCTGCCTTACTCTGAAGCTGCCTGATGCAGACCTGCTCATCTCTAGAGACAGGCTCAGCTGCATGCTTCCTGACAGTGACCTTCAATGTATGGTCCCCTGACAAGCAGTGTTGTCTTGGGAGCTGGTCAGGTGGCCACACTTGAAGTGACTTTGCTCTAGTAGGTATTTGGTGATTACGTATGTAGCATGGTTGAAATTTATACATTCTACTCAGATAAGAAAAAATCACTCTGCTGAATAAAAGTAGAGGGTAAGGGAGAGGAGATAAGACTTAAACTCACCACTTACCTCTTAATGGCATTTTAGTTCCTTCTGAACTAAATAGTCCTTGCAGTATCCCACTTGCTTGCCCAGTCTATTTATTCTCCTTCCTCCTATTCTTTTTCCAGATGGCATCTAGGCATCCTTGGTAGCCCCAGTGGCCTTGTGACAGCAGTGGGAAGAAGGCTTAGTTCCCATGTACATCCATGTCCTGGAGCTCTCCGTGGTTCCTCCATTGCTACGGTGGTGGTGTCCTCGGGCTTCCTCTGTGTCTGCGGCAGCCGGTACACACCTAGTCTATCTGCAGGCCCCATGTCCTTTCTGGGTGACTTAGTCCCACCTTGGTTCTCCTGAGGCCAGAGGTCCTGGTAGCCCCCTGCCATCCTCTGTCCATGTCTTGGTTTACTTCACTCACCCCAGCATCAGGGCACCGTGCCCCATGCCTAGATGGCCCCGTGGTAGGTTTTCCGCTGGTTTCCTGCTTTGCTCCTCTCTGCCCCCTTGGGACGTCCTCTGGGACCTCTGATTTCCATGTTGTTGTTGTTTGGCTGCATAAAGATCTTCTGGATAACTAGTTCATGGGCTCTAAAGAGACACACAAGTACTACCTCAGGCCCTCTCTCTTCTTAACGTCCCACACTCAGCCTCCTCTTTGTTACGGCCATGGCCATGCTCTGTTGGGGTGGCAACAGGCAGAGCATGGGGTGTCCTTTGGGGTCTGTGACTGTCCCTTGGCTCTTCCCTCTATGACCAAATGCTCACGCTGCTTATGGCAATATTTCTTCCACCTTGCTTGTCTCTTCCCTCAAGCTCTATCCCAGGAGGGAAGGAAACCAACAGCACTGGCATCATGTCTTTACTGCCCTCCCCTCATGGGAAGTCTAGGACACATTCCTGAGCTGGCATTTACTCAGCCCCAACTCCTAGGCCATGTGGCAAAATGGCCAGAGGGAAATATAATGCAGATTGGGATGAGGAAAGTTAAAAAGTTTTATTTTGCTTATACAAATTGTTTACGGGTACGGAATACAGAGTTCTAGTCTTCTCTGAGCTCCTCTGTTCCTTGGAGTTTCCTGCCAAAGTAGAAACAGAAAACACAGTGCCTATCAAATGGAGAGGGCTGCGGGTTGGGGGTTACGTGATCACTACCTCAGCAAGTAGAGTTGGAAATAGTGATTATAATAGGCATTTTGTATTTGTGTTTACCTACACAGCAGCAAAAAATCAACTGGCTGTGGCTGGGCACAGTGGCTCACGCCTGTAATCCCAGCACTTTGGGAGGCCGAGGCTGGTAGATCACAAGGTCATGCGTTTGAGACCAGCCTCGCCAACATAGTGAAACCTTGTCTCTACTAAAAAAAAAAAAATACAAAAAAATTAGCCAGGTGCGATTGCTGGCGCCTGTAATCCCAGCTACTCGTGAGGCTGAGGCAGGAGAATCACTTGAACATCGGAGGCAGAGGTTGCAGTGAACCAATATCACGCCACTGCACTCCAGCCTGGGCGACAGTGCGAGACGCTGTCTCAAAAACAAACAAACAAACAAACAAAAAACTGGCTGTGTGGGTCCAAAAACATAGTTTCACATTGGGAATGATGCCTGTTTGATCTGTTACTATATCCCCAGTGCTTGTATCTGGCACACACTACCAGTAATTGTGTGGAATGCAGCAAACATGGAGAGAGAGAGCCCAGCAGACGTGGAAGTGGGTGAAATAACCCAACAGCTTTAACAGTGCAGATGGAAAGAAAATCCTCCAGCATGGAAGGAAAATACATCTCATCACCGCAACCATTTTCACTCAAGACAGTCAATAGACTAGTTGAGGCAGAATTCGGATGATGGTTTAGACGTGGGTATCCTAATCATAATGGATTTTTATTTTTCCTTATTTTACCAATTCTGCTTTTATTTCCCCTTCTTCAGCAATATTTTCTTCCCCGTGACCAACAGATTGCAACTTCAAGATAACTATATTTCACTTAACATAAAATAACATCTTTAAATCAATCCCTGTGATTAGGGATGTTCTATTAAACAAAAAACAAAAAACAAACAAACAAACAAAAACACTTGGCCGAGTGCGGTGGCTCACACCTGTAATCCCAGCACTTTGGGAGGCTGAGGCAAGTGGATCACAAGGTCAGGAGTTCAAGACCAGCTTGGCCAACATGGTGAAACCTGTTCTCTACTAAAAATACAAAAATTAGCCGGGTGTGGTGACACGTGCCTGTAGTCCCAGCTACTTGGGAGGCTGAGCCAGGAGAATTGCTTGAACCTGGGAGACAGAGGTTGCAGTGAGCTGAGATCGTATCATTGCACTCCAGCCTGGGCGACAGAGCAAGACTCTGTCTAAAAGAAAAAGAAACACTCAATGAAGTTCAGTAGGTTGAGGCAACATGCACCCACCCCTTTCCAGTAGACCAAAATAGTACATCCCACATCCTTATTTCACCAATTAAAATTTCAGAGTACTCATCATCCTTTTTTTCCTCTGATTTTGTATTACAGGGATTCTTCCCTATTCTACTAGCAGATACTGCTGGGATGCTCAGAATCACAGCCATCTGAATCCTGTATTTTCCAACTATGCTGTAATGAAGGGCATCCATGGACCATATGAAACACTCCTCACAGCTTCCATATGTGTCAGTGCAGTGAACATCAGGCATGGCCCTCAGCAGGCAGCCCCTGCCCAAGACAACATGTGGAAGTGGATTCTGGTCTTCAGGGCTTCCAGCATTCACTTTTGTCCCCCATCTGTCTCTCTTCTCATGTAAGTGAACCCCCAACTTAACCAAGCTCTTCCTTCTCATGTTTTACAAATTGGCAGTTGTCAACCATGAGTTCTCAAGTAATATTTTTACTATTGTGGAAAGGTAACTAAACTTCCCCCTCTCTCTCTCTCTTCCAAGTATGGTGGTTATAGGAGGTCCGGGAATTAGAAGCAAGTGATTGTCTCATGGTGTTACTCATTGCTGGCCAACATCATATGTCAGTTATACTCTGGCTGCAAGTAACCAAATATCCAAAGAAAAAAAACCCCAAAAACAAAAACCATATTACTTAAATAAAAATAGGGTGGCAGAGTTGAACTGGGGCTCACTGGTATGGGACCTCAGGTTGCCTTCTCTGTGATCCTCTTGGTCATCTCCTCCCGGCCACAAGCTAATGTGGGTGGTAGCTGGAAGCTTGCAGTCCTCATATATCAATGTTCAAAATGGGAAAGGAGGACAGGGCTTCTTCTTGTGCAAGTCTCTCTCTCTTTTATCAAGGAAGAAAATCATTCTCAGAATCAAAATCTTTTTCTTCTAGCATATGCCCCTCCTTAGGTCCCAGAAGCTACGAATGGATCATAAATCAGTGCCCTGGCCACAAGGGATCCCAGGAACATGAGATTCAGACATTGTCTTCTTCTATACTGCTTGGTAGGTTCTGTACTAACCATGTCTTTTATTTCCTATATTCTGATGCTTTGATATCTGGGGCCTTGCTGACCCTGGAGGGATTGCCCTTCCTAGGGTTAGCCAATTCTTGGAGACAACTCTCCGACTTTTCAAATATAAACCCACCGATTCAGAGCCCACACATTTTTAACCACATCCTTTATGGGGCTGTAATACTCTGGACCCCTCTCTATCTGCCCTAATCACACTAGGAAATAGCCCCTATGTGCCAGACCTCACTGAAATTATTCAAACTTGCTAATCCTAAGCCTGCTTGCCTTGTCTTGCCTGTTCCTTCCTGGAGAAATCACAATAAAGACTCTTGCCCAAAACTCACTCTTATTCTTGTGACTCAATCAACCCTGGAGCTTCCCTGTGTGGAGCCTCTTGCATGGTTTGCCCACTCCTCTTGGGAACTGTGAGTAACAAACTATCTTTTCAATGGCAGTTTTTTCCTGATCAGTCAGCCTTACTGAACCTCAGATTTTTCTTTAATACATTATATTTTAGAACAGGCTTTCCTGATAACAAACCCTTCTGGAAGAGTTTTTCTCTTCCAGGGAAAAATAATAAAAGAAAGTCTCCACCTTTTCAGATAAAATAGCGTTTTTCTAATTATTTGTTGCTGCATGACAAACTACCCAAAGACTTAGTGGCTGAAAACCACAATGATTATTTTACTACCTCTCATGGTTTCTGTGGGTCAGGAATCTGCAGGATTCAGATGGACAGTTTGGCTTCAGGTTGCTCACATGCCTGCTGTCAGGCGTGCCTGGAACTGCAGTAATATGGGGCTAAAGACACTCAGTCGGGCATTGTGCTATGCACATGCATTATCTCCGTTATTCTTTTATAGCAACGCTTTGAGATGGGTACTATTTATTAACATGATTTTACAGATGGGACCATGGACTCACAGAGTTAAGTAATTCTTCAAGGTTATGTAGTTGGTAAATGGCGTCACTGCTCAAGAGGGAAGCCCCCTCCCCGCCTCCTTTCCCATCACACTACTTCATTTTGATGTCTTTGTAATAGGAGAGGTTTGAAACCATCCTGTGCATTCATTTTTTTTTCTACATTGTATCACATCCCCAGCCAAATACAAAGTCCTTGAGGCCAGGTGTGTTGCTTATCTTGCTCACTTCTTTATTCCCAAAGGCTAGAGCAGAGTCTCGTACATTAAATGTGCTCAGTAAATAGTCGTTGAATGAAGCATACGGCTTGGGTTTGATTGTCCATCTGACTAATGGGTCTGATAAGTAGGTCCTGTCTGCAATGACTCCAAGCCATAGAAATGACCCCACCTGCCTGAAGGTGGTTATTCCTCAGATTTGACTCTTGGGCAAGTCCCTTTTCCCATCGCTGGCATTTCTTGTATGCACTTCTGGTGGCTTGTTCCACCAATGAAGCCTCACTTCCCTTCATATAAGGCTCCAACTTCAATGGTGATTTCTGCATTACTGAGAATACATGATGCTGAATCCTGCGGGAGGACAGTTTACTGCTTTCTTCAAATGTAACAGTGGCCGGGTGTAGTGGCTCATGCCTGTAATCCCAGCACTTTGGGAGGCCGAGGTGGGCAGATTATGAGGTCAGGAGTTGGAAACCAGCCTGGCCAATATGGTGAAACCCCATCTCTACTAAAAATACAAAAATTAGCTGGGCATGGTGGTGCACACCTGTAGTCCTAGCTACTCAGGAGGCTGGGGAAGGAGAATCACTTGAACCCGGGAGGCAGAGGTTGCAGTGAGCCGAGATCACGCCATTGCACTCCAGCCTGGGCAAAAGAGCAAGACTCCGTCTCAAAAAAACAAACAAACAAAAAACCAAAATAAATAAATAAATAAATAACAGTGACAAATAGGAATTCAGAATCCATCTCTGCCATTCTTTCTTTTTCTCTTTTCTTTCTCTCTCTCTTATTCTCAGTTCCACCCCCAGCACGATACCAAGCTTTGGCAATGCTGGTGTATATGGTACAGTTTCTCTATTTTTCTATGCTGTCTTATGTTCTGCATGGTCAAGTTTCTCCATAATAGCATTTGTGAAAGGGAAGGGGTGGCATGGGCCACATTAGACCCCAGGGAGAGGACCCCAGACATCCTAGCTCTTCTTCCTAAAATACAGAGAAGTGTGCCCTTGGGGACCAACATCCTTTTATGATCAGAGCGAGAAGCCTGCGGGTGAGTGTATTGGCATCGTGGCACTATAACCTTATAATAGCTGCTCTTTGTCCTCACAATAAACCTCTAACCCAACCTTCATTTCACATGTGACACGGAAGTCTCTTTCCTTTCATTACTTTCACTATAGAGTCAGGTTTCCTGGGCCACCATATGGCATACTTATACCTTGTGACATGATAGCAGGGCTTCCTATATTGTATTGAGCTTCCTCAGGGACAAGATATTTTGTCAAGGGAGAAGGACTGATATCCCCAAGCTTCCTGTGGTGGTAATTCTAGAGGAATCCCTGTTTGCTGCTGCCATACCTTTTTGGGCCATTACAGATTCCATCTCAAAGAAGAATTCTACCCTAAGTGTGTGGAAGACCCAGATTTCCATAGCTTTCTGGGACATGCTGAATAAATTGTATAATATCTTGCAGGCAATTACTTTTCATAGAAAGTCTTGGGCCAGAAAAAAATAGCATAAATCTGGCTGAAGCATTTCAAAATCTGTAAGCAGAATAAATTCCAGACCAGGGCCATGGAACAGTAATTCTCTTCAGACACAATGGTTCTCACCAGCAAAATATGCTCCCCTTCCTACGTAGAAAAATGGAATCACTTGAAGGAAAGAGCCTGGAGGGTCTTTGAAGATCATCCAACACAACCCCTTCATTTTCTTTATGATTTGAAGAGGCAAAGCATTTGGTGTGAGGCTACAGCATGAACTAGCTGCAAAGCAGAAACTGGAATGCAAAGGTCCTGATGCCAGGCCTAACATATTCTCATTTTGCTAGTCAGCCCACTGATCTACCGTGAAGAACTCTGAGATTACAGCACATTAGGAACAAAAAGGAGGAGGGGCTTTTTAGAAGAACAGCAAGCTCACTTTACACTTGAACGAACTGCTCCAGATAGAAGAACTCACACTTTAAATGTATGTTGAGAATTCCCAGCCTGCCACCCGTTCTCCTAACTGGGCATCTTCAACCTTTCTTGTCATCAATATGTTGGCATTCTCGCGATGGTGCAATGAGAACTGGAATAAAGAAGGCACTGAGAGATCAAGGAACTTCAGGAGCCTGGCAAACCACTTGAGTGAAAGAAATTGAATATAAAAGGAGTGGTTTGGGCTGTGTTGGAGGGCAGGGCACGTGTTCTATCTAAAGGTATTCCTGCTCAAAATTGTAAAACGCTGTGTTGGACATGTACAACCCATGGCAGGCTACATATGACCACTCGGTGACCTCTGCTATGGCCACATAAGAAACTTATTACTGCTGATATTTCTCCTTAACAAAGGAAATGGTGCTTTCATTTGACTTTGTGACTTTGTGGAACTTGAACTTGCCCTTTGCAAGCTGGAGGATTTGACACCATGACCTTATAATGCCAGACACTTTCTTCCACATTCATCCAGGCTGTAGACCATCTACTGTACCCTGAGGACTTTGCCCTAGGACCCAGGCTGGAGAACAGGAATATAAAATGAAGGAGGTGGTGGGCTGTTGGTGACGATGTAAATTGGACTAGCACTTTGTATTTCATTTACCCGACATGGGAATTCAGGCCACCTCCAACCTAGTCACTTAGGGAATGCCTTGGAATGTACCCTGGGAGTGTATTCACAGGAAGTTCTGTTCCAGGTTGTTTGTAGAAGCAAACTGCCTCTGGAGCCATCTGGTGGGGTGGTCCAACCCTGGTATTTTCTTGGAGAATGTGAAGTCTCTGTTGGGGCTGTTTTTCAAGACTATCCAAACTTCCAAGTCTTGAGGTACCAAAGAATTCCCTGCATTCTTCCTTGATGCCAAGCAGAGAGAGCATAAGCAGAGAGAAGGTCCCCAACATTCAGCTGTCTCAGGTTCCCTAGGTCTCACTGGAGATTGGAAATCTCCCTTGGCTGCTGCCTGTCAATACTCTCTCTGCGGGGCTGAGATTTTCTCCTTGGAGTAATATTAGTAAATAGACATCACATTGTTCTCTCCATTTTCCTGTCTTATTTCCAGGCAAACATAAATTTCTTCCTTGCAGGTCACCTCTTCCCATGCAAATCAGCTTCTTAAAACATATGGCTGAGAGCTGTTCGTGGCCCAGGCCTGCAAACAGTACTGGCCTTTGAATTCCAGTTCAGGCTCATCCACGAAACCCCCCACCCCAGTACTGTCTGGAGAACTGTGGTTTGGCTCAGCCCTTGCAGTAGTGACCTCCAACTGGGATGCACTCCCTCCAGAGCAAATGCCTGACAATCCATTTGGGTGAGAGAAGAAACAAGTAGAATCTCTTTTTATCTTGTATCTAAATAATTTAGAAAGGGATTGCCACTATATAATATTGTGATTGACATGGTACGTGTACATGATTTGTGAACAAAAATATATGCACTAGAGGTTCCAGCTTAATAATTTTTTTTTTTTTTTTTTGTCTTGGGACAGTCTCACTCTGTCACCCAAGCTGAAGTGCAGTGGCACAGTCTTGGCTCACTGCAACCTCTGCCTCCCAGGTTCAAGTGATTCTCCTGCCTCAGCCACCCGAGCAGCTGGGATTACAGTCATGTGCCATCACGCCTAGCTAATTTTTGTAATTTTAGTAAAGACCGTGTTTCACCATGTTGGCCAGGCTGGTCTCAAACTTCTGGCCTCAAGTGATCTGCCCGCTTCCGCCTCCCAAAGTGCTGGGATTACAGGCGTGAGCCAGGTGCCCGGCCAAGAAAACATTTTATTTCATTTCATTGACTGCTGTCTTACAGCGTGGCTTAATGGTATTTTTAATAAAAATCAAGCATATGATTTAGAAAACAGGCTGCTTTCAAGTGATTAAACAAGACCCCAAAGTCCTACGGAAAATCTTAGTGCAGATATGGGTGGCTAAGCATTCGCATCTCTGTTCAGGCCAGGCTCTTTCATCTTTGTGTAGCGTGTCAACCTTATTCAATAATAGTAACAACCACAGCAACAATAACCCTTTATAGAGTCATTATCAAGACCCAGGCACTGCTGAAAGCATTTTATGGACATTATCTGATTGTATTTCCTTAATGACCCTATGAGGTGGAAATGAACTGTTTTTACTCACGACATTTCTGACCCCAAATGTGTGGCATCCTTTTCAACACCACTTCTCCAACTCTCCAGCACCGGCTGGGTATCCTACAATTCATGTCAATTCCAACACTGTCTTCCTGCAGTTAGCATCAGATTTCACAAATTAAGGGTTCAATCCTTCCCACAAGACTGCCCCCACTTCAGACACCAGTCACCAAGTCCCAGGTTGTCACCTGTACTTCTGACCAACTGGCTATAAATTCAGGGGGTTTCTTTAGGCCCCTCCCCAGTTTCCACAATTCGCTAGAATAGCTCACAGAGCTCAGGAAAGTGTTTTACATACTACTACTTGTTTATTACTATGGATACAACTCAGGAACTGTCAAATGGAAGAGATGCATTGGGCAAAGTGTGGAGAAGGGACACAGAGCTTCCATGCCCTCTCCGGTCCTGCCACTCTTCCAGCACCTCCATATGTTCACCAACCTGGAAGCTCTCTGAACTCTGTTGTTCAAGGAGTTTAATGGAACTCTCACTAGGTAGACATGATTGCTTAATGAGTTAGCTATTGTTGATTAATTCAATCTCTAGTCTCTCCTCCTTGGAGGTTGGGGAGTGGCGCTGAAGGTTTCAAGCTTCTAATAAAGTCTTGGTCTTTCTGGTGACCAGCCTCCATTCTGAAGCTATCTTGGGTTTTGGAGAGAATCACCTCATTAGAACAAAAGATACTCCTATCACCCAGGAAATTCCAAGGGTTTTAGGAGCTTTGTGCCAGGAACTGGGGAGAAAGACGAAATATCTTCCCATGATAATACAGGTGAGTACCATTTTATAGCTGAGGAAACTGAGAGTGAGAGAGGCTAGGTAACCTTACCCAAAGTCTCTGAGCTGATACACAACAAAATCTACAAGACAAGGGTTTAATTCCCATCTGTTGAACTCAGTAGCTCATCTGCCTAACCACTTTGCCATAGTTCTTCTGCCAGAGTTACTGTCAAAGACTTCCTCTTATTAGGTGACAGAGAACATCTACGTTTTTCTTTTAACTTTTGTGTTTTATTATAAAATCTATATATATTTAGCAGGAGCTAATTTAAAATAAGAACTCCAACATGTTGATTTGTTAGCTTAATTTATAATAGAATGCATTCTTGGGACAATAGCTGAGTCTAGTCATCCTCTTTCTGTACCTTTGTCCAGGTATTTCATCACAGAAAGACAGACAAGGTCAGTTAAAGGAAAGAACTGGAGAGGTTAATTAAATCAGATAAGGTCAGGTAAGACCAGAACGCCAGGCAGGCAAGAAATATCAAGGGCCATTTTCACAAGATGGCACTGAAGGTGAAGAAGGAAGTTCCTGCCCCTCCCAAAGCTGAAGCAAAAGCAAAGGTTTTGAAAGCCAAGAAGGCAGAGATGAGAGGCATCCACAGACACAAAAAAAGATCCACAAGTCACCCACCTTCTGGGACCCAAGACACTGTGGTTCCAGAGGCAGCTCAAATGTCTTCAGAAGAGCACCCCCAGGAGAAACAAGCTTGACCATCATGCCATCCATCGTCAGGCTCCCAACTGCCGAGTCCACCATGAAGACAGAAGACAACCACATGCCTGTGTTCACTGTGGATGCCAAAGCCAACAAGTGCCAGATCAAACAGGCTGTGAAGAAACTCTGTGACACTGATGTGGCCAATGTCAATAACCTAATCAGGGCCTGGTGGAGAGAAGAAGGCATACATTCCACTGTTTATCATGCTTTGGATATTGCCAACAAGATTGGGATCATCTAAACTGAGTCCAACTGACTAATTCTAAATATACATTGTTTCATCATTAAAAAAAAATCATGTTCTGTAAAATAGGCTTAAGAAAGGAGAAAGACATGTTCTAGGTAAGTAAAAGTTCAGTGGTTCACAGAATTCAGGTATTGGAGCTCAGGAAACAAGGCTAAGAAACCAGGGGAAGACAGAGGAGGACATTGGGCAGAAGTTCTGGATAATGCAAATAACAAACTCAGATCAAATTATGAACAACAAGAATACAGAGTTTTAGCCAGAGACCCAGGCTCTGTGTAACAACACTGGAGATGGAATCCTGAGGCAACTGATTTCTAATGCATGTCTTCTCTCAAGCCTTCCTGCCCATGGTTATATTTTGCTTCCGAGTGTTGGGAGCCAGGGAATCTGAAACTCAAAGCTGGTCATTGCACATGTGGAGAGGAGACACCAGGTGAAGAGCAGATATATGGGGAGATCCCAGCAGTAGGCATAGGAATGGAAACCCAATTAATTAGCAAAAGCTTGATTTGGGCAGTGTGCAATTAGAGAAAAGGGACATGTACTAAAATCAGAGACTGATGGAATTGCTGCCATCTGTCACAAGCTGGGGAATGTGTGAAAGAGTTTAGCTCACTTTGTGCTCAGATCAAACAATTCTTTACGGTTCTATTTTTTCATACATGGAAGGTGAAGCATGGAAGTTCATGTCTACTTATTTCTTTTCCATGATCTTTTACTTTGCTAACTTCTCATCCAGTTGCTATACCCAGCCCAGTATCCAGCCCAATAGGGGCTTGTAGTGGTTATTCTAATTTCTTGTATTACTGCTGACTACATAGAGAATTCCTTTTAAGGCTTGAGGAGGAGCCTGAACAGAGCCTGTTCTCTGACGAAAAGTGAAAAAAATTGCCCGCAGGTAATGAGCTCGAAGAATCAAATGTCTTAAGACTCTCAGGTGTGCGCTGCTTCAGAACAAAATTCAGTCAGATTTGATTACGTGAATTAATTGGCAAATTTATTTTCATTACTGAGACAGTAATTTAGTTCTAACCTGCAGAGAACTCACATATGTTTCAGGCTTGACAAGGGCTGTGGCTATTGCAGTTTACCACAGTCTGAGATTCATAGTTAATTGGGATACACTATAGTTCTCTGGTGAGAAATAAATCCAAACAAGAAAAAAATGTGTATATTAGCAGCCTGTTGTTTTCAGGGAGTTAATAGCCCTCTGAGTTGTGCATCCTACGTAAAAATGACTGTGCATTCCACACGGCAATGATTACTTTGTGAGAAAATAAAGCCGAAGAGAAAGTAAAAGTAATCAATTTACCAAATGCTATATACAAAATAAAGCATTTTTAGATGATTTCCAGTGTCCTCACTTGTTAAATGACAGATTGTTAAAATATTTACATTTTGTCTAAACATAAAGCTATTTTTTGTACATCCTACTAGAGAAATGTGTGTTAGATAAAACAAACAGTGGAATATTACTGAAAAAGTGGAAGGGGAGTTTTATTCTCCATAGTGTCTTGGGATTGCCCTCTTTGCTGTCTCCTGGATAATTTTTCTTTCCCAGAGAAACTGGATAAAATATTGCTTCCAATTCCCTTCTAGGGAGGATGGAGACTTTCTGAGGAAGAATCTTGATGGCCCTGGGAATTGAACACTGGAGAAGAGCTATGTTAGTTAAACTGCTCTACATAAGAGTTAAGTCAAGAATTTAGACTTGTGAGGGCAATTATTTTTATTTATATTTTAAATGGCTATTATGTCTCTTAAGTGTCTTTTAATCAATACATTATCCTTCTATCTTCTTTTTTCCTTGCAGTTGCGTATTGAGGACACAAGGGCCTTCATCCTACAGAACTTCCAAAAATCTGTATTTTGCTGGTTGCACTCTCGTGGTGTTAGGTATCTATTGAATTCCCTGAAATGTAGAATGTAGAATTATAGGCTGGTCAGAGCCTGGTTTGCTTTTTTCCCCATCAAGTCTGCCTCATAGGTGGTAGTACGTACTTCCATCTGGAGGTACACAATGTCCCCCTTTTGATGATGTTAGCAGCCATTGATAATCATTACCTAGATCAAGGGTAGGCAAACCTAAAAGGCAAATCTGGCCCACTGCTTGTTTTTGTAAATAAAGTTTTATTGGAACGCAGCCCATCGGTTTACATATTATCTTTGGCTGCTTTTGCACCCTAATGGTAGAGTTGAGCCTTCGTGACAGACACTATATGTCCCGCAATGCCTAAAATATTTACTTTCTGGTTCTTGGCAGAAAATGTGTATTGACCCCGATCTAGATACATTAAATTATTAGAGGACAAAAAATGATGGCATTCAAAATTTGTCATTCATTTTTCACTTATTAGCTACAATACTTTTATTTTTAAAAACTTCCGTTGTCAACTGTTGACTACTACAGGTTCTATAAGAAAGACAGAATATGTTTGATTCTTTCAACCTTCTTTTCAACCATTTTTTAGCTTGTTTTAAAACATAAAGCTGCTGGCCAGGTGCAGTGGCTCACGCCTGTAATCCTAGCACTTTGGGAGGCTGAGGTGGGTGGATCACCTGAGGTCAGGACTTCAAGACCAGCCTGGCCAACATGGTGAATCCCTATCTCTACTAAAAATATAAAAAATAGCCGGATGAGGTGGAATGCATCTGTAGTCCCAGCTACTCGGGAGGCTGAGGCTGGAGAATCCCTTGAACTTGGGAGGTGGAGATTGCAGTGAGCCGAGATTGCACCACTGCACTCCAGCCTGGGCGACAGAGTGAGACTTCATCTCAAAAATAATAATAATAATAATAATAATAATAATAAGATTGTTACTTAGCATCCTCCAAAGAAGTCCAATAGTCTAGATTTTGTTTGGTTTGATTTGTTTGAGAATTGTTATAAACTCATGAATTTAAACATATCTGATGAACTTCAGATTGTCTCAGTTATTATTATTCTTATTGATATTCCAATTGTTCCCTCGTTGGCCATTGGGTGCCTAAGCCACAGATGGAGTCCTTGTGACAGAAACCTAGCAGTGTTGGATAGTTTTCTTGATTTTTGAAATAACAACTATTTCCAGACTCACCTTGTATTTTTCCTGCCTCAGTCCTGAAATTAGCCATTTCTCTGAGGTTTCTATGTGGGAAATGGTATTTAGAGCTCTTAATCTGGGTGCTCACTATTAATGGGTTGGTCATTGTTTATAGGCCTTTTCCGTGGATGGCACTAGGAAACACATATTAAGTTATAAGATATCATGAGTTCAGAATCGTACTTCCCATTTTAATTAAAAACTATAGAAATTTTACTTAACCTGATCAATCTTACATCTGTCTATCCTTTCAACTATACTAATTCTCTCAGTTCCCAGTGACAGCAACACATTAAGTAACACACATATCTCTCACTGTATCAGTTCCCAATGACAGCAACACATTAAGTAACACACATATCTCTCACTGTATCAGCCTCAGCATAATGATACAAACTTCACCACCAACAGTATGATTCTGAAAAAGTTTCTTCCCCAGTTCTTTTAGTCCTTAGGCTATCTCACACAAAAATTTTACATTCAAATTACTATCTTTTAAAGTAATTTCTTACTTAGATTAATTTCTTACTGAGTGGTTTCACCACCCACTGTATGTTAATACATAGGAAGGCTCATTTACCTAATTTTACTTTCGATATTTAAAGATTACTTTTTGACTTCATTTTATAATCTTATAAAATATTTATATGGTTCTAAAGTCACATCTACAAAACAAGGTATTTTCAACTAAGTCTTATCCCCTCCACGCTATTTTCTCCTTCTCTTTTAAGTAACCATTTTTTTTTAAAGTTATGGTTTGCCTTTTCATTTTTTTAAATAAGCAAATGTTCTTTTATTTTTTAAAAGAGATAAACTACAGGATTTTATATATATGTATATATAGGTAGATATACATACACACACACACACACACACTTTTCTTTACCTCTTAATTTTTTTCACTGAATATTTCTTTTGTTGTCGTTGTTGAGACGGAGTTTCACTCTTGTTGTCCAGGCTGGAGTGCAATGGCGCGATCTTGGCTCACTGCAACCTCCGCCTCCCAGGTTCAAGCAATTCTCCTGCCTCAGCCTCCCAAGTACCTGGGATTACAGCTGCCCACCACCACACTCAGCTAATTTTTTGTATTTTTAGTAGAGACAGGGTTTCAGCATGTTGGTGAGGCTAGTCTCGAACTCCTGACCTCAGATGATCCACCCGTCTCAATCTCCCAAAGTGCTGGAATTACAGGCGTGAGCCACCGCACCCGGCCTTTCACTGAATATTTCTTTGAGATTACATATAGTAATGTCAACAGATAGCCTCTGAGGTTGAATTGGAAAGGAAGGAGCATGGAAGAGAGATGGCAGTGGAGGGAGAAGAGAGAACAGGAGGATCAAACAGACGGAAGAGGAATAATGTCAATGTCAATGTAATACCTTCCCATAATAAACTTCAGAAAAAAATTTTTAAAAAATATTTTTCTCTTCACTTTTACTTCCCTCCCACCACCAGTAAAGAAGCAGAGGCTGAGTTCTGGGTCTGGAGGTATAGAGCTACACAGAACGTGTGGGAGCAGAAGCTAGAAGCAAGGATACTATGAACATGTAAGTCCCTGGGAATCAGAACTGTGGAGAATGATCAGCTTTTGTAGGCCACAGAATCTGTGGCATTCCAGGCCAATGACACCCTCCTTCTGCCACAGCTGATTACAAATTAAGAGTTTCCTACAACTCCCTGCCCACCAGGCTCCAATATCCTCTTTGAGGGATAAACGGACCCATCTGATGGATGAATCACACCAATGAAGTCCCTGAATCTCCCATATCTTTGTCTCCCTGTATCAAAACTCCAGAAAGTCTCACCTGATCTCCCAGCCTGTTTTATGGATGAAGGCAGAAAGCCTCTGTGGTTATGCTGGGTGAGACTTTGACACCAGCATGTAAACTGTGGAACTGACTAAGATCAATGAATGAATCACAGCATCAAAGCAGCACCAGGGCCCTCCAGGCATAACCAAGCCTCAGTGAACCTCAGCCCCAACATGCCAGATGATGTTCCAAGACATAATTTTTCTTTGTACCACAGCCAAGAATGTGGCAGAGTGGCAGTGACTGGGTACTCACACTGATTTCCCACAAAGTAGGTGCTCCAAGGCAGTGTCTTGGTCCAGTAACGAATCTTAAGTGTGCTTCCCCCTAGATGGCCAAAACAGCTCGTGTTGTTAAGCTGATAACCCTATTTTTCCCTCCCCTGATGCAGCAGTGACACAGCCTTCAGAGGCAGTGAGTGGGGAAACCGTCTTAGCCTTTATACTCCATAGGCGGAGATAGGAATTCCTTTTCAGCTGATGTGTGTTTTTTTCCTAACCATTAAATGTGTGCTTCCATAATCAATTCTCTGATTCTCTGATCAGCGGGGTGTCCTGGCATTCAGTTCTATTCTGACGCTACCCAGAATTAGTACAGACCCACAGGTTAAGTGCTCAGTCCCACAAGACGGCCCCCACTTCAGATGCCAGCCACAAGTGACATCCCTAGGCTACCTGTACTGCTGCACTAGCTGACTACAAATTGGAGTTTTCTGCAACTGCTCTCACCAGGCTCCATAATTTGCTACAACAATCACAGAACTCAGGAATGGGAGTTATTTCCTGTTACTGGTTTATTATTAAGGATGAGCTCAGGAAATGGAAGAGGTGCACAGGGCAAGGTATGGGGAGGGAGGTGGTGCAGAGCTTCCATGCCCTTCCCGGGCTCACAATCCTCCCAGCACTTTGATGTGTTACCAACCAAAAAGCTCTCCCAAACCTCCTCATTCTGAGTTTCTTATTAAGGTTTAATTACATAGACACGATTGATGAAATCATTGGCCCTTGGTGGCTGACTTCAATCTCCTGCCCCTGTCCTCTCTCCCAAGGTGGGGCTGACATACACAGACATATATGTATATATATATATATATATTTTTTTTTTTTTTTTGAGATGGAGTCTTGCTCTGTCTCCCCCAAGCTGAAGTACAGTGGTGTGATCTCAGCTTACTGCAACCTCCGCCTCCAGGGTTCAAGTGATTCTCCTGTCTCAGCCTCCTGAGTAGCTGGGATTACAGGCGCCCACCACCACGCCTGGCTAATTTGTGTATTTTTAGTAGAGATGGGGTTTCATCATGTTGGCCAGGCTGGTCTTGAACTCCTGACCTCAGGTGATCCACCCACCTTGGCCTCCCAAAGTGCTGGGATTACAGGTGTGAGCCACTATGCCCAGCTGGTGGGGCTGATATTTTAACCCTCTAGCCACGTGGTTGTTTTTTTCTGGTGACCAACCCCCATCCTGAAGCTATTAGACCCTCCACCCTGCCAAGAGTTACCTCATTAGCATAAACATGGCTATGGTCAAAAGGGGCCCCTTTACAAATCACAAATTATACTTCTGTTACTCACAAAATTCCAGGGGTTTTGGACGCTCTGTGCCAGGAACCAGAGACAAAGACCGTCTTTGGTCTTTGGATCCATCAAGTTGCCTAAATGTATTGGTTTTACCTCCAGGTTGCTCCATCTGTACCGACCTGGCTTTTCTCCAGGCAAAAAGTCTCTTGCAATGACTGGTAGGCAGGCAAAGTGCTTTAGGAAGAGATTGATTCATTACTCACTTATTTATTTATTGTACCACAGCTGGTAAAAATTCATTAACATGTGTTGAAGGAAGACAGGATGAGGCAGAATGAGTTTGAAAGTCCCAGGATTTTTGGCTTAGAGTTCACCTCTTGGGAGGGTTTAAGAGCTAAGTAATTCAGCTGCACCCATGTATCCAAGTACACATAGGCATGGATTAGGTGTGAGGTGGAAGGTAGGGAGGAAGCGGAGCAGGTGCCAGAAGTGGGAGAGGTGGGCTGTGATAGAGATCCCTGTAGCCACAAGACAAGGACCCAGAGACGCCAGCTGAGCACCATTCCTTGGACTCCTGAAAACCCATTCACAGCCATCAGGGCCCCTGAAGTGAGATCCAGGCATCATTGAGGAACAACCTGTAGGAACTGGGATGTTCCTTTACTGAAAATCAGATTAGGAAACTGAAAAAGGAAAAAGAGGCATTCTTACTACCGTAGGCTTCACAACTACATTCTGAGCCTGGTGGTTTTGGCTTGTGTCTGTGAACAGCCAATGGGGTGGCTAGTTCTCCCAACAGTGGAAATTTGGCCTTGTCCTCCATGACTAAACACATTTCATAACAGGCAGCCTTTCCCCTACTGCTAAGTGGTTTCAGGTACTAAAATATTAAAGAAATATTTTTGGCTTTCCTAGCCAACGGTGGAGCTTAAATTTTCAACCTGCTTCATGAAAATACAAAGTGTTAAATATTAACTAAATTGGGCTATTTTTAGCTTTCTGTTCTGCTTAAGCTTTCTCTTCCTAAAGCACTTTGCCTGCCTACTGGCCCCTTGTAAGAAACTTTTTGCCTGGAGAAAAGCCAGGTCAGTACAGATGGAGCAACCTGGATGTAAAACCAAGACATTTAGGCAAGTTGATGGATCCAAGTAAAAATATTGGCACTATAAGCCATCTTGGGGCTTTCCTACAAACTATGACCCCTCAGGAGCATTGGAGTTCTTAAGCTGTCAAGTCTTTATATTTTGACAAAAAGAAAAGAATTTGAGATTATTTTGTTAGTGAAAATAGCCTTAGTACTCATATTGTTTTCTCCCAAAGCAGATGTTCCAGAGGATGAATCGATTAAGATTTCTAATTCTGCTGTTTTAAGCCATGCTTTGCCTTAATTGGCTGTGTCAGTTAGTGGTGTTGGCTTAAGACCCTGATCTCTTTAGCTAAGCCAGGTAGAACGCTGACTTCACAGGCAATAAGCAGAAGGGGGCTGGCTGAACCCCAGTTTTCTTGGGCAGAGTTGGAGATTCCCTTTTTACCCAGGAACTGGTCCAAACTACTGGACTGATGGGAGGTCAGGAAGATGCAAAAACAGCATATGGCTCTGGCTTTTTTTAAGGCCAGTCAGACAAATGACAGTGAGTGGTTTTGAGGAAAATCAGTATCAGGGAGAAAAAAAAAAAAAGAAAAAATTCCAGTACCATAAAAAACAAGCAGTCACTGGTTATCATTCTGAAATCTGATTTCAAGTGAATTTCCCACTCTGATGCCAACAGAGCACTTTTCTTTTCCTTCCTTCCTCCCTCCTTCCCTCCGTCGCTCCCCTCTCCCTCCCTCTCGCCCCCTGCCTGCCTTTTTCTTTCTTTTCTTTCTTTCTCTCTCTCTTTCCTTCTTTTCTTTCTCTCTTTCTTTCTTTCTCTTTCTCTCTCTCTTTCCCTTCTTCATTTTTTAAGACTAGGTTTCCATCTGTCACCCAGGCTGGAGTGCAGTGGTGCTGTTATAGCTCACCATAACTTTGAACTCTTGGGCTCAAGCAATTCTCCCACTTCGGCCTCCAGAGTAGCTAAAACTACAGGCATGTGCCACCAAGCCATTCTAATTTTTTTGTTTCATTATTATTATTACTTTTTGTAGAGATGGGGTCTTGCTATGTTAAGTGAACTCCTGGCCTCAAGCAACCCCCCTGCCTCAGCCTTCCAAAACGCTGGGACTACAGGAATGAGCCACCGCACCCAACCCTCAACAAAGCATCTTTCTATGAAGTACCACATGGCTAAGATTATAAGAAAATTCCACTGGTCCCATCAGCCTTCACCCCAAGACAAAGTAGTCCTGTTCTTCGACCAGCTGCAAAGACTTCTTTATTTCACTCAACTGTGGACTCAGGCCGCAAAGATACCATTGAAAGCATTAAAAAAAAAAAAAACTAAAGAGTGTGAACTTTTCCTGACCTTATTTTTGGGATGGAGCTCACAGTACAAGTGCACATTTAAAAGCCTGCAATGGAGGTGTTTGGATTACTTGCCATGTTGGAGTACATCAATGTCAGCACTGAGAGATGATCTAACCAGTGGTTCTCAACCTTCACCGTGCATGTGAATCATCTGGGCAGAATCACGTGAGGGAAAATTAAAATATACAGATGTCCAGGCCCCACCCCAGAGATTCTGATTCAACTGGTCTAGGGTAGCACCAGCATTTCTGAAAAATGTCCTTGGTGATTCTAATGTATAGTCAAAATTGAAAATCATTCCATGTTCTTTATTTTCAAGATGCGGTTACTGAATACCAGAAAAGTTAAATACTTTTGTAAAGTTGCAGCTGAAAATTTGTGGGGCTGGGATTCAATCCCAAGTACTTCTAACTTCAAATTCCTCTCCCCTTCTGCCAATGTATTTTATAGATCATATGGCCTTGATGCGGCTGAGTTGGAATATATAGACCTTAGGTCTCCTGGATTCCTGCCTAATGATTTTCTGGCTCCACCATATCAATATCCACTTTCTTTCTAGCTCTTGACTTACTGGAGTGAGAATCAACAGCAATTTTCCCCTTTCACTGAACTTCTGGATAGGCTGTCCCAGAGAATATGAAGCTAGCTTTCTCTCGAACATTAGGCAAAAGTAAAGTCAATCAAAATTTATAGCCAGGGCTCAGAAACTCATTTCTACAGGATTCTGTAACCAAGCTTCCAGAAGGATTTGAGAGTCTTAGAATCTTGGTTTTCCCAGGAATGAGCCAGTCAAAAAGAGGTCACCAGCTGAGCTAGATGATTCTGATTCCACAAATCCATCTCCTTTGTCTATCTTCTTTAGGAATTGTTCCTTGTTTACAAAGGATTATGGAAGAAAGGAGTTAATTTCTATGGCCTCTTTTTTCTTGCCTTCTTAGAGAAAACATCTTTCACTTCCAAATTGACTTGAAAATTTATGATAAGAATGAAGATAAAACAACTAGCTTACTGAGAGCTTATTGGCAAACACTTCACATGTTATATTATAAAATTTCATAGCAATCACATGACATAGGTATGTTTCTACTACATAGCTTTTCAGAGGATGACACTAAGGCTCAGAGAAGTTAAATTATTTGTCTAAGGTCACACAGCTAGCAAGTAGTGGAATTGAATTATTCACAGCTTGACACCACAAACTCTGTGCTGGGCTTTGTTGGTGTCTGCACTAGAAAGGGCTGACATGATGCCTGTGATTCTGGTCTTCATCTGTTAACCCCTTCAGCCTATGTACAGAAGGCATGGGCTGTACCAAGGACTTTCTCCTTGGTAAGATTTGCCTTCTGTCGTATGCAAAAGAAAAGATTTCCTCTTCACATCAGTGGTCTTCAGAAAATAACCTACCAAATCCAATCACTTGCCTCAAGGCTGGACAACTGTGATATGCAAAACACTCTGGAATTCTCATGGACTAAATCAGCACTAGACTTGACTTGAGACCACATTCTTCTCGATTCCTTCTGCTGCTCTAGCCTGCTTCCCTCACTTACTAACATTTTTTTTTCTTCTAAAGAGCATTCAGTATATTAAGAGTATGTGAATCTCCATCTCAGAGTCTACTTCTGGGAAACCTGAGCTGAGACCATTGGTACCAGGAGTAGTCCTAGGAAGCTGACTTTAAGGATGAAATTCTGAAGTTGGATCACTTCGAACCTTCTGCTAAAGGAGGTTATCATCACTGGTGGTAGGTGCAGAGTGATAGTCCCTGGCTGCTGTAGCAGCTCAGTTAAGAAGACTCTCACCTGTAGTGAACTGGGTGGGACACATGGTAAATACATACGGTATTGATTCCCCCAGTTCTTCTCTAAAGGGAACATTGGTCATTTACTCAGGTAACAGCACAATGAGAAAAATGGAATACCCATACCATTTGAGGGCTGTAGATACAAAGTTCAAGTTGACACTGACGCACAGGGACCCAAAACTCCATCTGGCCTCCAATAGAGTAAAAGTACAGGGGAGTCATGTAATAAATGAAGTCCTGACCCAGGTCTATCTCACAATGTCCACTGGATCCAGATACCACCCAGTGGTCGTTTCCTCAGTTCCTGAATACGTAATGGAAAGGGACACATTAAGTTGTTGGCAAAATCCTTACACTGGTTCATTGACCTATACACTTAGAGCTATTTAATAAGAAAGGTTCAGTGCAAGCAACTGAAACTCCCTTCATGTCCAGCCAAGATAGCAAATGTAAAGTAATCATTATATTTTTGGGGAAATGGTAGATAAAGATTTAAAGGATGCAGGGGCAATCGTCCTGCAAAAACTAGGTTCATCATGGAGAATAACAGTGTGCCACTGCAAACTTAACCAATTAGTACAGCCAATTGCACCTGCTGTTCTGGAATGGTGTCTTTATTAGAGACTCTGGCAAGTGGCATGAAGCTATTGATCTGGCAAATGCATTCTTTTCAATACTCATCAAATAGGAAGACAGAAGCAATTTGCATTCATATGGGATGAATAGCAGTATACATTCATGGTCTTGCCCCAGAGATATGTTAATTATCTTTCTCTCTGTCCCTATATTGTCTGAAAGGATCTGGGCCATCTGGACATTCTATAGATGACCACATTCACCCATATTGCTGACATCATGTAAGTTGGCCCCGATATGCAAGAAGTGGTAAAACACATGCACTCTAGAAGGAGAGAGAGAAATTCTAAAAATATTTAGAGTCCTGATGCATCAGTTAAATATTTATGGACCCTGTATTCTGGCACAAAATGGGTCATCCTTTCTAATGTAAATGACAGGCTATTGCACCATGTACCTCTTACCACTGAGAAAGCAGCACAGGGCTTAGGTGGCCTCTTTGGGTTTTAGACACAGCATACTACACTCTTGAGAATACTACTCTGACCCATTTATTTGGTAATGCTGATGTTTTAAGGGGACCTAAAGCAAAAAAGGGCTCTGAGGCAGGTCCAGCCTGCACTGTGAGCAACCCTGCCACTTGGGATGCTTTACGGAGTTTCTAGCAAGTCCCTATAGAGAATTCATAAGGTTTCCTATGATTTCCTAGGTTCTTGAGCAAAAGAATACTATCTGCAACTTAGACATACATGCTATTAAAACCACACGCATGTGTGCACACACATGCTCAGACTCATCTGCTACTGAGCCCTGACAGAGACACCATGAATTACCATAAGACATCAAATGGCCGTGGAGTCAGAATTGCACATAATGAACTGGAGACTGTCAGACTCATCAAGTCATAAAATTGGGGCGGCCACTGCAAGATAGGAGTGGTATATTCTGAATTGAGCTGGACAAGGTTCAGAGAGTACAGGTGGCCTAGACATCAGACCTCATGTCAGTTTCCTCTATTATATCAATGCCTCTCGCACAGCTCACACCTTTCATCTCAAGAATCATTCTCTATGTTCAGAAGGCGGAGGAGAAAATCTCCTGTACTTAATACATAAATGGACTCAGATCGGTAGGTTTGTATGAACTGGAGATGAACTGCTTCACTCTAGCCCCACTTAGAGGTGGCCGTGAAAAACAAATGAGAAGAAAACTTATCAGTGGGCAGAGCTTCAGGTCATGCTCATTGCCATCTGCTTTGTATGGAGGGAGAATTGACCTGAGATTAGAATATATATGGACTCAGGACCAATGCAAATGGCTTAGCTGGTTGGTTAAGGAAGTGGGAAAAGCAAGATTGGAAGAGAAGACAAGGAGATCTGAGGAAGAGTTATGCAGATGGACATGTGGGAATGGACATCAAGTGTGATCATCCTTGTACTGCATTTTATGCCCATCATAGAATATCCACTGAAGAAGAGGCACCAACACCCAACTGGAAAGGTTGATGCAACCAGTTAATGGCAGCCAACCTCGTTCCCTGACCACTCCATTGTTTAGTAGTGAGTGGGGTTGCCATTACAGTAGAAATAGAGGCTATACATCTGTCTAGCAACACTGGCTTCCTCTCACCAAGACCGAGACTTGCCAGGTTGGACTTCAACTGTTTAACATCCAACCTGCCAGTAAAAGAAATCAAATTGAGCAACTACATGGTTACCATGACATCAGTAAGACCAACCAGCTACTACTGTTGGCCATTCAGTTACACCGGATCCCTTCTTCTCTGGAAATAGCAATTCATCTTAATCACAATTGGTATGTATTCTGGATACCAGTTTACCTTTTCTGCCTGAAGTCGCTCTGCCAGTACCATTATTCCAAAGGCTCACGGAGGGCTTGATCTTCCAACATGTAATCTTGCATAGTACGTCCTCAGTCCAAGAGACTGGCAAAGAGTGGCACAGCAGTGGGCACATGGGCATGGTATTTGCTGGTCTTACCACATATTATACCATGTAGAAGCTACCAGCCTGGTAGAACAGTAGAATGTCCTTTGGAAAGTGCAGCTGAGGCCTCAGCTTTGAGATGACACCCTCTAAGAATGGAGATTTAAAAATGTTTGGAGTGCGTCTCCAATATAGCTATTGGAAGCAGTATTATTCTAGCGAACACATGGGTCCAGGAACCAAGCAGTAGACTTAGGAGAGCCTCCTATGACTTTCATTCCAACAGGCCCTCTTAAGGAACTTGTGCTTCCTGCCCCTGAGTGTGAGTCTCAAGTTCTGGTTCTCAGAAGGCCTGTGCTTCCATCAAAGGACCCAGTAAACATCATGCTGAACTTTAAATTGCATTTACCACATGGTCACTTTGGGTTTCTCATGCCAATAGACCAGCAATTAAAGAAAGTAGTTACCATGTGTCTTGTGAGGGGCTATAGCCTAATCATCATGAAGAGGTAGAATTCTGATTAAACAAGGCAGGCAGGGAAGTGATCCACTGGGGTACCTCTGGGCACTCTCATGCCCAATTATAACTACAAACAGGTATAGAGAAGGAAAACGATAAAATCAAGTAAAGCCTTGAGTTGAGATCAAGTACAGCAGCAGGGGTATGATTTATGCTGTTCTTATCAGTTTCCCCAGAATTTACGACCAAGCAGGATCATGGAGAAGCTGTATCCAGATGGGGGAGAACTTAGCGCCAGAAGCACCCATAGGGCTGAGAGCTAAAGGAGTGGACTGTAGTAGTTGCTATTGGTACTTATGCCACATTCCCCTTACTACCCAGCAAACCCACCCCTCAGCCCCTGCAAGTACCGTGGCTAATGGTTCACACCTGCAACTGTCCCTATCTTCCTTCTTTTGCTACTACTGTGTAGCTGCTTATGCTGCTGTTGACCCTAACGTGTTGCAACTTTAAGGAGAGTCACTTTCCTCTACTGCTGACCCCTACTTCTAACTATTCCCTAGCATTTGGGAAGAGACCCTGCTCAGTCACAATCACAGTAGTAACTGAATTTCACTACTACTACTAACTAAATTTCAGTTTAATTCAGGGAAGATGTTCCTCCTCACTCACTGGATATGGTCTACATTCCACAGCATAGAAAACTCACTCCCAAACTTCAACAGTGTCCTGATAAGGTGTGGCATGGTCAGCCTCTCAGCAACACTGTTAATCCAGGTACTCCAGCATCAAATTCAGTTCAATCCCTGCAAGTCTATCCTCTAGCACAGTGGTCCTTACTGTCTCACTTAAAGCTTCTGCATGGCTCTCAAACAAAGTGGTTGGGGGCCCTATCCTTTAACAAGGAGGAGCAGTCCACTTCTACAGGCCCAGACAATTCAAGGCTCTCCAGGGCGCCCACCCAGATGTCCTCTCCAGAGTCTCAGTATCCCACCCTATAAAGACCTAGACTTTAGTTTAGGAGACTTGCTGGGGCTGATTCGTCAACCTTTTCTCAAGTTCTGGTGCTCTTACAGATAGATCGTGAGCCTGGTTCTCAGAATGACCAGCCCTCCAAATATAAGAGAGAAGCAGTTCTTTAAAGGATGCCAAATAGGTCCTCTGGTGTTCACATTTTACTTTGAATTTTTGATGATCACCCTAAACCTCTCATTTTCTCTCTTCAAAGCCTCAGTGGTGTTCAGCCACCCAGTTCCTCAGTTCTTATAATTACCATTTCCCCCATGCTGCTCCACTCCCAGAGAAAGTGCACAAGCAGGGGCATATCCTTCTGCCTGTGTCCCAGCCCAGAGGCTGAGAAATCTTGCTCTAGCAAGAGGAGCCTGTCCTCCCAGTCGTAATGTGGCTCTCCAATAAAAGTCTGGCTATAAACATAAATATCTCTCTCAAGAACAAGCTATATATTTAAGGCACAGAGCAATTTAAATCTAATTTAAAGAAAGCAAGTCTCTAATTCTGTGTTAATCTTGTCCCTAAAAATGTTTTACCTAGTTCATATAGTTGAACTGAAAGTTAATATTGCTCAATCTGAAATTATCTACATTTAAATTAGTTCACCGATTCTAGACAGCATTGGTTACATGTTTGTTTCACAGCTATGCCACAAGAGGGTTTGTCTTCCCTAAAGATAACTTCTATCTTCCATCTTAAAAATGAGGTGAGAACTTGCAATGGCCCCAAGGACAGTTTTCTAACTTTGAAAACATAAAGATACAGCCTCTATCAAGTACCTGTTCCATTTAAAGATCAATGCATGTGTATAGACAAATTGTTACACCAAAGAAAACAAACACTACCCAAAGCTAATTACTCTTAACACGTTGATATATTTCCCACCAGTAATGTTTGCTCAGAAGACGCACATCAGAATGAATGCGTTTTTAAAAATCTCAAGGAGATAATTTATATTATTTATATTTTGTAATTGCAGTGTGAATTATTTTTGTGTGTAAATTATTTAGAAGGTTACTTCAAGGTTTTTATTTCTGTGGCTTAATAATTTGATCATTTTTAGTTTTATTTTATTCTGGTAAGAAAAAAGGACGATAGGAAAGGCTGTACCGTTCATTTATCGTTTTTGGTTTTTTAATTTGAGATTTTTTTTGTAACCTAAAATGCTCAATTTAAAAAAATGTATTCTATAGATGGTGAATGTTGAGGTTTATTGCTCATTTCTAAGAGGTATCCATGCTACTTATTGAGTAGATTTTGTAGTTTCTATATACACACTTCATCATTGCTTGTTTGACCTATCACGAATAGTGATATATCTTAATATCCTCAACTATTACTGCATGACCATTTTTCAGGTTTTGTTAAATCTGCCTTGCTGTTTTATTCACCTCATACATGTATGTACCACTCATCAAAAGAAGTGAACTTTTGCTCCCTTCAATATTTTTGTCTTGAAGTTGGTGTTTGATATTCTTGCTTGTACTTCTCCTTCCTTTTGTTTGATTTTGATTGATGTATCTTTGTCTAATATTTTTCTCTTCACGTTCTGAACACCTTTGTTTTAGATGTTCTCTTGTGGACAGTAATTGGCTAAATTTTGAAAAAAAAAAAAAAAACAACTCAAGTGTCTTTGCCTTTTAAGAGCCGTTTAACATCAGCTCTGACTACCACAAAAGGCCTATTTCATGTTCTAACATATAGTTTTATACTTTTTAAATATTGTTTTATGCTGTTTCATTTGTGACTCCTATTTGCTCTATAAACCATGTTTTCTTTGCTTTTACTTTCTTTGATGTTTATCTTTTAATGTTTCAAAAGCCTCTGGCTGCACCTTGACTAATTCTCAGAGTCAAGAAGGAAAGGATCTTTTGAGTACACAATCCTCCACGCTCTCCTCTCTCCACATTTCTCAGGCTTTGTTAATATTAGCTGACGTTTTAAACTCAGATTTTTTTCATAGAATCATGAATTTTACATTATTTTAAAAGGAGCAGATGTTTTGATTTTAGATTCATTTTACAACTAGATTTACATTTATCCTGGAGAGAACAAGATAAATATGAAGCATGTTTATCTAGTTTTAGAGCTGAATCCTGTCAAATTTAATGCAAAGTCTCCATTTTTCAGTTTGTAATATTTTAGTATCTCTCAGTGAGTTGGAGATAATCTTTAAATAATTGTTTCCTATGGATTTTTTGGAGTTCTTGTTTAATACCTACATCTTTTTTTTTATCACTTCCATTGATAAAAGACGACTTGTATCTCAACAGTTTTTGCTCCAAACTGTGACTGTTGCTCCACTACCTTGTGGGATTGATACTGCAGATGAGAAGTTAGAAGATAGCCTCTAATTTGCTTTTCCTTTTCTACATAACCCTTTCTTTTTTTTTTTTGAGACGGAGTCTCGCTCTGTCACCCAGGCTGGAGTGCAGTGTCGCGATCTTGGCTCACTGCAAGCTCCGCCTCCTGGGTTCACGCCATTCTCCTCCCTCAGCCTCCCCAGTAGCTGGGAATATAGGCGCCCGCCACCACGCCCGGCTAATGTTTTGTATTTTTAGTAGAGACGGGGTTTCACCATGTTAACCAGGATGGTCTCGATCGCCTGACCTCGTGATCCACCCGCATCGGCCTCCCAAAGTGCTGGGATTACAGGCGTGAGCCACTGCGCCCAGCCTCTACATAGCCCTTTCTTTTTGCTGAAGTATTTTTTAGGTATATTGATCCTTTTAATTTAAACAGTATTACAAAATTAAATGAACATGTTCATACTATTTTGCCTAAGACAGCATGGGAATTGCAATCCATACACAGAGATCATTTTTTTTTTTAACCTTGGCCAGTGAAGGGTTGATTTGTATTTTTTCTTTGATAATTGCTTATGCTTTATTTCTCCCCTTGATCTTTACTCCTGGTCTTTCATCTCTGTTATTTCCTTTCTTAGTATTTCCTTTCAGACCTTTCCCTCTGTATCCTTAAGCATGGATTTAATTTGTTTTGCAGCATCAACTGTCTTCTCCTTTTTTTTTTTTTTAACTTTTCAAATGATAATTCGAGGAGGTTTTCATCCATAGAAGCTCCATTCTACAAGTCTGACATCTTTGTCCTCCACCGTTCCCCTGATCCTCCTGATCTTCCAGCCTTGTGGAGAAATAGAATTGGCTTTGGGGTCCCATCTGTGCTCTGCCCACTCCGGTGTCCTTGTCCTTCCTTTCCTTAGCCAGGCTCTTCCTCTTAGGATGTATTGCACCATGGCCACTTGTCACCACTGTACGCCCACTGTTCATGGAGATTTAACCTCCAAATAGATTTTAGAAAGACAGGAGGTGGAGTGAAGAGAGAGAGAAGGGAACAACTGCACTCTTGGTGTCTCAAAAGAAGTTTCTTGGGTACTCTCCATTGGGGTCCTCAGAGTTCTGGTTTGCACCAGTCCTGGATTGCTTTTTCTTTTTCTTTTGAGACAAAGTCTCACTCGGTTACCCAGGCTGGAATGCAGTGGCATGATCTCAGCTCACTGTTACCCCCACCTCCCGGGTTCAAGCAATTTTCCTGCTTCAGCTTCCCAAGTACCTGGGACTACAGGTATGCACTACCATGCCCGGCTAATTTTTGTATTTTTAATGGAGACAGGGTTTCACCATGTTGGCCAGGCTGGTCTCAAACTCCTGACCTCAGGCGATCTGCCCGCCTTGGCCTCCCAGAGTGCTCGGATTACAGGCATGAGCCACTGCACCCAGCCCAGTCCTGGATTGCTGATGGTGTATCTCCCTCTCCCTTCAGGGTCTCCTTCTCACCAGATGAAGGTTTTTCTCAATCCATCTTCACCTGCCTCATCACTCAAGTTTTCCTCCCAGACTCAGGCATGCAGTTGCCTGCTAGTCACAGGAAAGTCCACCTTTTAAAACCGTCCACTCTGCCATCTCCGGTATCTCCCGAGAATCTTTGAGAAACTGCACCAGAGGCTGCTGCTCAGATGCCCTTTTAGAGTAGGAGTGTGGTTACTGTTCTTTACGGAAAAAAATGAACAAACAATATCAAACTAACTGTGAAGAAAAGTATGAAGGATGTAGGAGGTATCCCATAGGAAGTAAAACTTAAAAACCAAGTTACTGGAAAGGCAAGGGTGATGTTGGTCCTCAGGAATAAACGGAACCAGGGACTTCAACACTGCTACAGTTCTTCTTCATCATTACCTATATTTATGTGACATTTCATTCTCTCTCTGTCTCTCTCTCCTGTTTTTGTCTCTCTCTCTTCCTCTCTCTGTCCCAATTCTGGATCAATCTATTGTAGCCAAGGAATAAGCTTATCTTAAAAAATGTAACCCTCCATAGAAACCATGTGTTTAAAGTGGAGGAATAAAATTTGCTGAGAAAGGAGTTTGCATTTTTAGAATAATCACGGGGAGAAAATGGACAGAAAAAACAATCAAACAACCAACGACCAAATAACTGAACAAATAAAAAAAAAAAAACGTGTCCACTACATCATCCTCTGTTCTTGTTCATTAAAAATTTATTTAATGATACATACATACATGCTTTAAAAACTTACAGCATTGCAGTAGTGATAATGAAAATCAGCAGTCCCAAGTCTTATTCCTTCCCTGTACCCTGCCCCCTAAGACAACTGCTTTCATCTTTTAGCCAATGTTTCTAGTCTAAACCTCCATATTACCAAATACTATATTGGCACTGCTATATTTCTTAATATCATAATTGTAGACATTATTAAATTTTTAATTGAAAGTGAACATCCAATTCTTTTACATACTCACATACGCTTATTGTCCTTTCTCTACTCTCAGTATAGCTAAATCATGCTTATTGGCAAATTCAGAAGTTTGTCCTTATGTTATTAATATTGTGATAGTGTAAGTATTATTCATTACTAAGCCACGTGGTATACTGTAAATAAATATATTTGTCTTTTTTTTTTTTGAGACGGAATCTCGCTCTGTCGCCCAGGCCAGAGTGCAGCGGCTCGATCTCGGCTCACTGCCAGCTCCGCCTCCCAGATTCACGCCATTCTCCTGCCTCAGCCTCCCGAGTAGCTGGGACTACAGGCGCCTGACACCATGCCCGGCTAATTTTTTGTATTTTTAGTAGAGACGGGGTTTCACTGTGTTAGCCAGGATGGTCTCCATCTCCTGACCTCGTGATCCGCCGGCCTTGGCCTCCCAAAGTGCTGGGATTACACCGCGCCTGGCCATATTTGTCTTATGTAATGTTTTTCCCCTTGCAAATTTGTAATTGTCTTAACTTTTTTTGTTTTTTTATCATTACTACTAATACTTCCCCAAATATGTAATGCAATTATTAAACTACTAATTTTTATTTTTCCTCGTGGTCAAGAATTGATGCTAGGGAAAGCTCAGAAGTCATTGGAATGGCATAATACTGGAAAGAACGCCTTTCCTGATTTCTCAGAACCAGAAATAATTTCTCCTTTGAGAATTCCCATTGACTCTATCTCTCACGGTCCTGAACCTTTCTGACTTATCACAGCTATTTGTCTATGCATCTTATCTTTTCTACTAGACTGTTTTTGCTCTTTGAGGGCAGGATCTATGTCGAATTCATTTTCCCAAGTTCCCAATCCAGTGTTCTTATGAGAGGCCACCCCATAAACACAGAGAGAATAAATAAACTCTGCAATTCACTCTAATATTTTTACATTTTTTCTGTGTTCATGTTGAATAGGTACAATGATGCTGATGGAGGGAGATTGAATTTCATGAACTTAATCCATATGCTGTGTTGAAATACTTAACGGAGAGTTATATAAAGGAAAGTTAGTGGCTTTAAGTAGCTTCTCCAGTAAGTAGAAGAACTAGGGTTCGAAACCAGGTGTAACTGTAAATCCTATGCCCTCATCCACCACATGCCAGGCTCAGATCAAGGCCAAAAAATAGGTGGCTATACATTAGCATGTTGCTCGGGTCTCTAAGATGTTTCCCATTTTTATCATGGTGGTGCTAACCTTTTTTTGTTCCATATAACCTCAAAGTCTGTAATTTTAAACATGAATATCCTTAAATTCTAAAAAGATTTCATTTTTAGTGGATGCGAACATTCCATCTGAAAAGCTTCTAAAACCAGTGTTTGCCATCTCTGAGCCCAGGGTACTCTTTAAAAAATTGTAATAGAAGTGAGCACAGACACCTTCCAGGATTTGTAAAGACATGAAAAGAGTTTTCTTCAATGAGGTATGGCCTGGTTTGAGCTTGTTTTCCATTTGTAAATCCCTGAAGACAAACACCTGCATTCTAGGTCATTTCAGGAAGAACGAGGATCCCAGAATTGTAAAAAAAATCTTTCAGCATTTGGTGGTTTTCTGTCGAGTCTACCAGTAGAGGGCGCCTAACCATCAGCAATCTTCTCAGAAACTTCCCTCCATGCGTTCAGGCACCAAATTTATCTTGTACTTTTTCAAGCTGCCAATTAACAGAATGGGCAAACCCATTGTCTCTTCATTTTGCAATTGTCTCGCATTGTGTAAATGAAAATGCCTGCCTGCGGGGTGGTGGGGATTTGGGGGGCTGTGTAAGAGAGGAAAACACAGCTTTCCCTTCACATAGAAAATTGGAATAAATTATAGACAAGATGTTATTAATTCTGGCACTGTGTTTACCTGGTTCATCCATCGCAATTTGGCGACTGGCATGCGGCTTTCTCAGCTATTTATAAGGTCTTGTATATGATTATGCCAAATGTGTTTTTTTAACTCATCCCTATGAACTTATGCCAGATGTCAATGAATTATACAACCTCAGACTGTTAGCAGAGACAACGGTGATCATTAGTAAACACTGGTCAGTATACAGATGAGTAGACTGATGCCAGAGGATGCAAAGGTCTTCGCCAGGAATCCCCAGTTAGTTAAAGAAGAACAGTGGGTACCAAAACCCACTGCTGACCACGCACCCAAAACCACTTATTTAATCCTTTGGATGGGAAACGCATTTAACACTTCTGAGTAGGAAATCCCCTGTAACCAGTACCTGCGGGAACCCAGGTCATAATGTCAGAGCCACTGGAGCAATGAGATTAATTTATGAAGATTTTTCAGAGGGTTTAACTCAAATGCATACACGTGGATTGGCTTTAGTACTGGGGTTTAGATTGGCTCTCGCTTATGTAGCCCATTTTGCCTTCTTAACTTCTCATGCATGCCTTTGTCCTTCTGAGCTAATATTTTCCACTTTTTTCTACCCTAGGCCACCTCTAGGAGACAAGGTTTTAAAGGGAAAGTCATACCTGTTACCATGATACACAAAATCCTGCATGATCTAGCCCCTAGCTACTGACTGATCTGCACCAAATTCTGCCTGTACTTTGACCCCCTGAACTAGTGCCCTTCATTGACACTGTAAACTCATCCCTGCCGTAAAACCTTTACATAAGCTGTTCCCTTTGCCTGCAGTTTTCTTGCCTCAGATCTTCTCATGGCTGGGTGTTTCCCCTCCAAATATCAGCTCTTCCACCATGAAGCCATCCCTGACCAGTGGAACTAGGTGGTCACCCACTGATGCTTTACTCCATCAACTTGTGTTATTTATGTCGCCCTTGTAACTCACTGGTAATTTTTTCAATTTTGTGTTTACTTTTGTCTTTCAACCCACTCCCATGACTAGAATGTGTATTTCATGAAAGCAGGGACCTCATCTTCCTTTTTCACTATTTTCTCTCCAACCCTCTGAACAGGTACTCAAGTCAGGCTACAGAGAAATGTTCCTCTGAGCTGTGCGTAGGGAACCTTTCCTTAAGCCTGTTGTCATACAGCATCCACAAGCCACTTTCTCTTCAGAGGGAGTTCAATGTCTTCACGGCCTTTGGAGGTTTCTTTTCTTTGAGTGGGCTGCAGGCTGCAGTTGTTGCTAACTCTAAGGTTTGAATGGCTTTGGGGTGTACCCACCTCCTCCTCAACATGTAGACAAATCTGGTCTGGCTGCGTAATAAGCACAAATCACCTGCCTTTGCTGACTCTCCCTTGGGACTCCAGAAGTCCCTCACTAAGGTTATTTCCGCCATAAAACTCTATGGAGCAGAGTCACATGGAGGGCATAGACGAGTTGTGGGTGATGAGTTAGGATATTATCTGGAAATTGACTTTAAGGGAATGAGCAAAAGCAACTTAATCAGTTAGTCTCATGGGACTGTGAAACATCTTGGGATATCCAAGGTATGTGATGAGGTCTGCCCACTCATTAAAATTATTAGATCCTCTGGGAGGACAAGTTTAATAAATTTCCTTCGTGTCTCTTAAAATAAAACCTAATGTTGTTTCTTTTGGAAGAACGAGCAAGGCCCTTCTCTCTGCTCCGTATCTCAGACTTGTGCTACAATTGGTGGGGCGAAATTAGGTGTTAAGAGGAGTTTGGGAGGGTCAAAAAGAAAGGAATTCCACTGCATGTAACTGTACAGCCATCACGATTTCTGCCCTCTCTCTCTTCAACCCACGTCAAGGAGCAGAGGTACAACTGAATACTCAGTAAGGTGAATATTATTATTAGACTTGGGTATCAATGGTGTCTAATATTATTATTATTCCTAATAATTAGGACTAATAGACACCATTGACTGAATGCTTGTTCTGTGCTAGGTGCCATTCTAGATGCTTCCTATAACTGGTTTTATCTAATTCTCACAACAGTCTTATAAGGAATTAGTTTTCCATTTTGCAGATAAGAACACCAAGGCTCAACGAAATTTAGGGCTACTATCTCAGGCCACTTAGATGGTGAAGTCATGATTCAAATGTGGTCCTAGTGCCCTCCACTACTTCACAGCGTTTCCCCATACTACAATGCTGTGAGCCACCAGAATGTCTCTTTCTACAAGCACTGACTCTTTAGGGATTTACGGAAGCCAAAAAATTTTAAGGGGTCACTAGTGATCTCACAGTTAAACAAACTAAAAACACATGAGTCATTCAGACTGAAGTGTGCATGTTGGTTACACTGTTGGCAATAGAGACTTCATGGTGATAGAAGATATTGCATTTCTTTATTTTCAAGCTCTAACACTCATCAGTTCAAGTTTACTACTTTTGGTTATTTATTTAGCAAATATTAGGTGCTTAAACTGTCAAGACCAGTGTTGAGCACTGGTTATAGGGTAGTAGACAAGGTCAACATTGCTTCATTCTCTGAAATAACTTAGTTTAAAATTCTCATTGAAGGAAAATAAAAAAAAAAACATAACTCACATTGTCTAAATTTCCTTTAACTTGCCAGAAAATTGTTTCATCCTTAGCAAAAGTTACTAAGAAATGACTTCTGTTGTCACATTGGTTCTGGCCCTTCTCTTCAACTTGTTTCTGATATCACTCACAAGATGTGTATTTATAATAAAAGGTTCCACTATGGGGTGGCCTCTGACAGAAAGGAAGGCAGGTGGAATACTTACCCAGCCCTACTGGCCACGCTTTACAAAGACTAATGACCAGGCCCCCATTGATTCTATTCTTCATAGGGCCCCAGAGCTGGAAGAGGTCATTGCTATTCTTTAAGAGCCCCAGTAATAGAATAGAAAATACAGGTCAAAATTAAAAAATGGAAATTTAATTAAAATGAAGAACTGAATCTCCAGATTGAATAAATCACTTTCAGGAAAGTAGTGACAAATGCTACCAACAGTAGATATATTCAGGTTATGCTAATGAAAGTCAAGGCTAAAGAAAAACTAGAAAAAAACTTATGCCTTCTTTAAAGCAGAAAATTATCATGTAGGTCTCAGGTTTCTCCACAAAGACCATTTCAACACTGTAAGAAAATGGAGTAGTGTCTACAAGTCTAAGAGAAGGAAGCACGACCCAACACTATTATACCCAGCTAAGTTGTTCAGGAGTGTAGGTAGCATGCAGTCATTCTCAAACACAAAACAACTTAGAAAGTATTGTACCCATGACTCCTCCTTGAAAAAAAACAAAACAAAACAAATTTTACTTGATGAAATTTAGCAACCAATGATGAATGGAAAAGCTAGTTACTCATGCCTCTGAGGAGTTTCCAGACTTAGGAAGCAAATAGTGTTGCTTGGATATAAGATCTTGCTGAGCTTTATGAAAACTGTGTGGGATAGTAGAGAGAGCCCGGGATCCAATCTTGGTTTTATCACCAACTTACTGTGTTCAAGAATATTTCTCTTAACACCTGGGCCTTAGTTTTCTGCATCTGAAAAATGAGACTACCCTAGCTATGTACTCTCCATATACAATGAAAGACACAAATTTAGACATCCCCAAATAATGGTGCCATTTCTCTCCCATCAAATTCTGCATCTGCCTACAACCCTGGATTGGTATTCTTTTTTGATTCCTGTTTACACTCCATGTCAGTGACATTTGGGGCATTCCACAGTTGGTTATCCCTCTGGTCAGTTTACTGCTTAGTCAAGGCTTTTGTTAAAAGCCAAGGCTCATTCAATTGAGGCCTCATCTTGCTTGCTATGACATCATTAATCATGGACTTGGCTGGGCAGCCACTCTGGGACTTGGCTGAGCCCCAGCAGCTGTATTGTTAGCAGAAGGTTGCCCTGAAAATTGTGATGCTGCTTTTCTTCCTGGGTTTGCAGCAAAAGCTTCGTTTGCTGGCAAGGTTTTAGGGAGGACATTCGAAGAGAGGACTTTTTAGCTCTACAGTTCTTTGCTTTCACCTTTCCTCTGATGGGGACACTTGTGAGATCTGTGTCTCTCGAGTTTTCTTACCACACTGACAATAAAACAGCTGTCACTGCCTTCTGTACAGCAACAGATACAGAGATTAAAATGGTGAGAGGAGGGACAGGAACGCTGACGCCTGGCATAACTGCCTGTTCTATGGGTGCCCATGACATCCTGTGATTCTTTAGATTAGAGCACTTGCCACAGTATCTACTTGTTGTATCTCTCAACAGGCACAATTCTGCATTTTATTGGTATTGCATCACTAACACCACATTCCTGCTACATAGGAGTGCCATTAATATTTGCTAAATAGCTGAACTAATGGATGCCAAGGCAAGGGAATCACAGGGGGAGAGTTAATGATAAGCAATGTAGGTAACACAGGGTTTATTTATTCATTGGCACAAGTAATTCATTTTTTTGACCCAGCACACTGGAAAGAGTGTCTACAACGGACACACTCAACATCAGATCCTAGCTATCCTTCTATCTTATACCTCCATACTTCTTTACCCTACCTTAGCCCCAACAGCCAAGGTGATGAACGTAGTCCACTGTCCATCATCTTTCTATGGACTGGAAACCATTTGACACTAGGTTCTTATTTAGCCACATGGATACTGTAGACTATTGCTTGTGTGACTGCACCAGTTATAGTAGAAATGATGGCCTGGCAGCATGCTTCTCTCTTGTATTGCTCATTTTGGAGCCAGTGCCCAGATTTTAAACTTCCGCTCACTTATTTAATGAGCACATTCTTTTTGCCAGGCACTGTTCTGAGCACTAAAATGCCTCAGACTCAGTTATCTGCCCTCAGGAGGCATTAAACCTAACTATTGACTCACGCCCTCTAGTAGCACTTCTAATAACCTAATGCCTTTGGGTCGACTTGCTCATCTTCCTTTCTAGGGCTTTTTTCACTGTAATGATGGCATCTGATGAGGCAATATAGATATAAAAATGTACATGAGTTTATTTATTTGGAGTGGCCATAGCCAAGGTCAATAGGAATATAATAGGCCAGTAAAACCTATCATATATCTAAATAAACAGGACCAATTTTTCCTTCTGTACACAAAGTTCAAATTCTCCTCATAGTCTCATTTTTAGTATGTGGTACAATCTCTAATCCCCACATAATGTCTCCCCAAGGTGGAATTAGCTGGATTAGCTGGACTGTAATTTCTTTCATGACTCTTTATGTCATTTGCGTGGGACTCTTCCCATCATTAGAAGGGGCTGTGTTGAAGGTACCCAAGACAATGCATGCAAGGTGGGCTCTTGGTGACAAATATTTGCATTTTGTCTCCATTCTTGAGTCACTGCATTCACACCAAAGTTTTAAGAATAGAAACATTTTGCAGCTTCCTCCTCTGGTTTTTCCAAGAGGTCTTATTAATAACCTGTACCATCTTCCTTCAATTTACCAATAATACATTTCATTCCCACTTCCCAAACCTGGGTATTTTTTCCCTCCTGCAGTATAATGGATTCCTCCTCTTCCCAATACTACCTATCCAATATTTATCACCTCTAATTCCATGAGTTAAATTAAAATGAACTTCATCTTTAATACAGGGACTTTCTCCAAATTTCACATTATTCCAATGATGTCCCTATTCTATAGTTTCCTATGACAGAAAACTTGGAGTTATCTTGTTTCTTTTTCCCGTCACCTCTGTTGAATATTTTCTCGAACATTCTTTCTCTAACCTCTTTCTCCAACACTACTGTAATCTCTTCAGTCCATAAACACTCATGCAAATGCACACACCTGACCACTACCACCACACTGCCTTACATACAGACCATGGCCATAGATTTTTAGCTGATCTCCCTGCTAGCACACTCTTGAAATGCTAAAGCATCCTGTGCTCTACCCCCAAATTCAACTTCCTGAAATCTTGCTTTCTGTAATTCAAAGTCAATACTTAATGTCTCCCATGGTGTTAGCCCATCTCTTCCTGCCCGTGAGACTGCCTCCATCACAAACCACCTCCTCTCAGGTGCTACTTCTGTCCATGTCTGCCAATGTTAATTTCTCCTTTCATTAAACTCCTGTCAACATCGTGTCTTTCTTTCACTCTTAATAGCTTTGAAATCATTTTCATGTGTTAATCTTGTCCATCTTCTCCTCTGGTATCCTAAAATTCAGGAGGTCTGCAAAAAATAATTTAGCATTCACTTCTTTAATATTTCATGTATTTTAATCTTGTTGCCCCAAGCCAGATCTAGGCAAATTCATATGCCTTTTAAAAAATTCCTGAGAGAGAGTCCTCAGGTGAATTTCTTCCTTAATCTTCTGAGTCACTCTTTAACTCTGGTTTTGGACAACTCCCCTCTCCACCTTTGAATTGCCTAAGAATTGCATCCTCACCAGTGAGCCCAGCCTCTCCCCCTCCGCATCCTCTCTAATCTGATTCTGATTCCACCTCAGCTGGGACAGCTCAACTTGCATCCTCCCATCTTCCTCCCTGACCTCTTCATGACTGAGCCGCGTAAGAGCAATACATACGAACAACTACTAATATTTATTTAGCTCTAACGATGTACTCAGAGTGTGTTAAGCACTTTCTCTCATTTAATCCTCACAAAAAACCCCTCTGAGGTAGGTAAATGTTTTCTGGAAAGAAACCACAGAGGGCCTGTGCCACTTCCATGGAAACAAAGGCTGTTTTCAAACACTGTTAAGAAACTGTTTCTATCTTAGGCTTTCAATGACCTGGATTGTCCATGTGTGGAAGAGGGAAAAAAAGTAAGAGAGAGAAAGAAAGAAAGAAAAAAATTGCTAAGGGAAGCTCTTCTTTTAATGCATTGGTTAATTAATCAATTAATTTTGGGTTATGCACAGGCACTTTCTTCTCTGTGATTAGAAGGGAAAAAAAGCAGGACTTTGTGCTTCTGGGGAATGCTCTGATACTGAAAGGTGCAGGCTTTTGCTGCTGAAGTTTCCCTTTTCTCCCCAAGACCCATCCGTAGGTATTTCAGTGTTGAATAAACAGGCCTGCACGTTGTGTGCCCGGCTCAGGACACCCTGCTGAGAGTATGTCCTTAATACCAACAATGCTACACATTTATTCTAAGCTGACCCCACTGACCCTCAAAAGTTTGTTCCCTCAACTGGGTCTCCTTGGTCCTTTCATTCGCCTGAATTCCCTACACAAAGCCCTTGTCACATTCACAGTTCTCTTGCAACTAAACTGGGATGGGAAGAGAGGGGGAGTGGAAAAGAAGTTGAAAATAGCCAAACCTTGATCCTCCACCTAAAAGAAAGTGAGGACATTTGCATGTTAAACCATCCGCACACATTTCAGCTTCCTCTCACCCACACCCACCCCCGTTTTAACACATTCTTTTCTAAAATCCTGAGAATTGGGGCCCACATCCCCATCTGTAGGAACTAGAGGTCAGTGTAGATAAGAAACCCCACTGCGAAGAAAGCTCTTTTCTCTCCTTTACATTTGTAATTATCAAGAGTTTTAAAAAACATTTATATTCCAAATGGAAGGCTCTGGCTTTTAGAAGGAGGAGAGAAAAGATACTTTTGGCTTTAAGGGTGCATTTTATTCCCGGTTTCTGCCCATGCCTCCTTCCCACCCCTGGGCTGTTTGTTTATCTTTGATCTGTGGAGGCAGTATTTCAAGGAAGAATGACATCATTGGCTGTGAAAAAATATTTTACGTTTTTCCTCATCGTTTAATTATCAAATTCTTCTTTGCCACTCACCCACCAGGAATGGAAACTGCCTATGAACTTAGGATGGACTGGCTTACTTCAAAGAAGAGTCTTTCCTAGCCAGCCTCTTCTCATTTTTCTTTGTTATTAGTTTTATCTCTTCAAACCCAATGTAATGAGAACGCTCCCTTGAGTACAAGTAAAGCAGATAAAGAACTCTGAGGGTACATTTGTGTTTTTCCACATGTCTCCATGAGGGGAAAAAAATAGGCCAATACACACTTTATTTCATTAGCATTCACACTTGAGCCGGGGGAGACTCACTTTAATTTCCCATCATGCATCGGCTCCCACAGCCCTTTGACCCTAGAAATCGCCTCTGAAGATGGGGAACAATGGTGAGAACCCTTGTGATATTTGACATCCTGATGAACGGAGATTATTTTGTTGTTGTTGTTTAATCTAGGGGAAATTCATGTAACATAAATTTAACCATTTTAAAGAGAACGAGTCAGTGACAATTAGTACTTTTACAATATTGTGCAACCATCACCTCTATCTAATCCTAAAATATTTTCATCACCCCCAGATAAAGTCTCATACCCATGAAGGAGTTTATCTCCACTGCTTCCTCACTCTTAAGATCTTGGCAATCACCAATCTGATTTCTAGAATGTGTTTATCTATTCTGGATATTTCCTATAAATAAAGTTATAAAACCTGTGACCTTCTGTATCTGGCTTCTGTCACACAAGACAGTGTTTTTGAGTTTCATCCATGTTGTAGAATGTATCTGCATTTCATTTATTTATATGGCCAAATAATATTCCATTGTATATACCATAGTGTATATATTCATTCTTTTCTTGATGGGCATTTAGATTGTCTTCAACTTTTGGCTATTGTTTTCCACTACTGTGAACAGTGACACTATGAACATTCCTGTATAAGTATTTATTTGGGTTTATTTATTTATTTTGAGATGGAGTCTTGGTTTGTCACCCAGGCTGGAGAGCAGTTGTGTGATCTCGGCTCACTGCAACCTCTACCTCCCAGGTTCAAAAGACTCTCATGAGTCAGCCTCCTGAGTAGCTGGGATCACAGGTGTGCACCACCATGCCCAGCTAAATTATTATTTTTTTGTATTTTTAGTAGAGATGGGCTTTTGCCATATTGCCCAGGCTGATCTCAAACTCCTGGCTTCAAGAGATCTGCCCGCCTCGGCCTCCCAAAGTGCTGGGATTACAGGTGTGAGCCACCACACCCGGCCCCTGTCTTTAGTTCTTTTGGTAATTTATCAAGGAATGGAATTGCTGGGTCATATAGTAATTCTATGTTTAACTTTTTGAGGAACTGCCAAATTATTTCCCACAGTTGCCGAACCATTTTACCTTCCCACTGCAATGTATGAGGGTTCCTATTTTTCTGCATCTTTGCCAACATTTGTTATTTTCCTATTTTTTTTTGTTTTGTTATAGCCATCCTCATGGGTATGGCACCTAAATGTATTGTACATCCTAGTGGCATCTCAGTATAGTTCTGATATTCATCTTTTTACCTACTAGTAGTATTGAGCATCTTTTCATGTGATTTCTGGCCATTTGTACACCTTCTTTGGAGAATGCTTATTTAAGTCATTGGCCCATTTTTAAATTAAGCTGTTTGTTTTTACATTGTTGAGCTATAAAAATTCCTTATGAATTCTGGATACTAGACCCTTATCAAGCAAATATTTTTTAATTTGATAAAGTCAAATTTATCTATTTTTTTCTTTCATTGCTTGTACTTTTGGTGTCATATATAAGAATCCATGGCTAAACCCAATGCTATGAAGATTTATCCTTATGTTGCCCTAAGGGTTTGATGGTTTTAGTCTTTGTATTTAGGTCATTGTTCCATTTTGAGTGAATTTTTGTATGTTATGAAACAATCCAAGAGTGGAGTCTAACTTTATTCTTTTGCATGTGGATGTCCAATTGTCCCAGCACCATTTGCTGAAGGGACTGTTCTTTTCTCAGTCAATGGTCTTAGCATTCTTGTAAAACATCAATTGGCCATAGTCATATGAGTCTATTTCTGGAATCTGAATTATATTCCATTGGTTTATATGTCTATTCTTACACAAGCAGCACACTGTTTTTTGTAATTTATTTTCAATTTACAAATAATAGTTGTGCACATTTATGGGGTACAATGTGATGTTTTGATCTATGCATACATTGTGAAGAGATTCAATCAAGCTAATTAACATATCTATCACCTCCTCAACTTATAATTTTTTTTGTGGTGAGGACATTAAAAATCTATTCTTTCAGCAATTTGAAATAGATAATACGTCATTATTAACTGTGGTCACCGTGCAGAGCAATAGATCACTAAAACTTACTCCTCAGTCTAACTAAAACTTTGTACCCTTTGTTCAGCATCTCTTTTTTCCTTAGTCACCCCCGCTCTGCCACTCTATCCCCAGCCTCTGGTAACCACCTTTTTATTATGTTTCTATGAGACTGACTTTTTTGGATTCTACATATAAGGGGATTACACAGTTTGTCTTTCTATGCCTGGCTTATTTCACTTAGCATGATGTCTTCCAGTTTCATCCAGTTTTCGTGAGTGACAGAATTTCCTTCTTTGCAAAGGCTGTATACTATTTCATTGTTTGATTGCTATAGCTTTGTAGTAAGTTTTGAAATTGAGAAGTATGAGTCCTCCAAATTTGTTTTTCTTTGTCAAGATTGTTTTGACTATTTGAGATGCTTTTCAATTGCCTATAAATTTGAGGATTAGGTTTTCCATTTCTGAAAAAAAGACCACTGGAATTTTGATAAAGATTCTGGTAAATCGGCCGTGTGCAGTGGCTCATGTCTGTAATCCCAGCACTTTATGAGGCCAAGGCAGGTGGACCACCTGAGCCCAGATTGCACCACTACCCCCCAGCTTGGGCAACAGAGCAAGACCATGTCTCAAAAAAAGGCTGGGGGTAGTGGCTCACACCTGTAATCCCAGCACCTTGGGAGGCCAAGGCTGGTGGATCACCTGAGGTCAGGAGTTCGAGACCAGCCTGGCCAACACTGTGAAACCCCATCTCTACTAAAAATGCAAAAATTAGCTGGATGTGGTGGTGTGTGCCTGTAATTCCAGCTACTTGGGAGGCCGAGGCAGGAGAATCACTTGAACCCAGGAGGCAGAGGTTGCAGTGAGCCAAGATTGTGCCATTGCACTCCAGCCTGGGTGACAGAGCAAGACTACATTTCAAAAAAAAAAAAAAAAGATGATGATTCTGGTAAATCTAGATTACTTTGGGTAATAAGTCTCATTTTGAGAGTATTTACTTTTCTAATCCATGAACACATGACATTTTTCCATTAGTTAGATCTTCTTTACTTTCTATTGGCAAAAGTTTGTAGTATTTATCATACAAGTCTTTTACACCTTTGGTTAATTTATTCAAGGGAATTTTATTCTTTTGGGTGACGTTGTAATTAGATTTTAAAGAATTCTACTTTTCCATTATTCATTGCTGGTGTATAGAAACACAATTGATTTTGTGTGTTGATCCTGTAGCCTGAAGCTTTTTGCTGAATTTGCTTGTTAGTTCTTGTAGTTCGTGTGTGTGTGTGAATTTGTATTTTCTTTATATAAATCATGTCATTTGAGAATAGAGATAGTTTCACTTCTCACTTTCTAATTTGAATAACTCATTATTATTTTTATTGCTTAATTGTTCTGGCTAGAACTTCTAGTGCATGTTGAATGACAGTGGTGAAAGTGGGAATCTTTTTCTTGTTCTTGATCTTAGGTGGAAATTTCAGTCTTTCATCATTGGATATGATGTTAGCCAGCAAGTTTTGATAAATACTCTTTATCATATTAAACAAGGTCCCTTCTATCTGTAGTTTTCTGATTGCTTTTTTAATTATAGAGGGCATTGGTTTTAATTAAATGCTCTTGCTACATCAGTTGAGACTAATTAATTTTTGTTCTATTAATGTGGTGTATTGACTAATTTCCTTTTTGAACTACTCTTGTTTTCCTGATGTACACTCTTCTTGGTCACGGCATAGAATCCTCTTAATATTCTGTTGAATGCATTTTTCTTTTAAAACACATAGGAAACAAAGAGAGGCGTTACAAGCTAATAATAGTATTAATTTTTACATTTACCTACGTAGTTATCTTTACCAGAGTTCCTTATTTCTTTAGATGAGTTCAAGTTACTAGAGTCTTTTCAGTTCAACCTGAAGAACTTCCTTCAGCATTTTTTAATAAGGCAGGTCTGCTAGTGACTAACTTCTTCAGCTTCTGTTTATCTAGGAATGTCTTAATTTCTCCATCATTTTTAAAAGGACAGTTTTGCCAGTATAGAATCCTTGGTTAATTTTTTTCTTTCAGTACTTTCAATATTTTATCCACTGCCATCTTGCCTCCATGGCTTCTACTGTAAAATTGTCTATTGATTGTATTGAGGATCCTTTATATGTGACAATTCACTTCTCTTTTGATTTTAAGATTGTCTTTTTGTGTTTGGCTTTGACAGTTTAATTATAATGTGTTCTGGTATAGATTTGAGTTGATTTTACTTAGAGTTCATTGAGCTTTTTGAATGTGTTGCTTTATGTATTTCACCAAATTTGAGAAGGTTTCCTGCCATTATTTCTGCCATTTTTTTTCTTCACCTTTGTATCTTTCTTCTCTCTCTGGGACTTTCATAGTGCATATCTTAGTATGCTTGATAAGTGTTCCATTGGCCCCTTACATTCTGTTCATTTTTTAAATTAGTTTTTCTTTCTGCTTTTGAACACGAATAAATCCAGTTGTCTTTTTTTCCTAGTTTTTGCATTCTTTCTCCTGTTTTCTCAAATCTGCTATAAAACCCTTCTAGTGAATTTTTCATTTTAGTTACTGTGACTTTCAGTTACAGATTCATTCTTATACTCTATCTCTTCATAATCCTTATTTACCTTTATTTATCTTTCTTCTTTATCTATGGATACTCTGTATTTTTTAATACATCATTTTCCTGGTTTTATTTGTTTGTCCATGCTTTCCTGTAGTACTTTGAATATATTTAAGACAATTTGATCAATGAGTCTTTGTCTAATAAGTTCAATGTCTGGGCTTCCTCAGGGAAAGCACCTATCAATTTGGTTTTTCATCTGAATGGACCGTATTTTCTTGCTTCTTTGTGTGCCTTGTAATTTGTTTTTGTTGAAAAATGGAAATGTTTAATATTATAATTTAGTGACCCTGTGATTCAAATTACCCATTTTCCCTATGGTTTTCTGATGTTGATTGTTAAGGGCTATGGCCATCTGTTTGGTCATGTTTTTCAAACCATTTTTTCTGAAGACTGTAATTCTTGTCACATGTGTTCACTGAGGTCGCTGTTAAATTATCCCAGCAATCAACAAATGACTTTATAGAAATTTGATTATCTAGAGCCAAAAAGAAAAAAAAAGTTATTCCTCTCTCAATCTTTATATTTTGACTCTTAGCTGAGGCACTCCTTCACTGTTAAGTCAGGCTTCCTACAACTCTACCTTACCCTTCACCTCCTGCTTGCAGGAAGCTCATAATTTGTCAGAAGTGCAAGTCAAGATCTTCTCAGATTTTATCTGAGTATGAATCCAGTCCTGGCCTTACATGATGTGCTCTATCTTCCTCAGTACATTCAAAGGCTTTTCTAAACCTGTGTTCGCTCAAGAACCTCCCTCACTAGCCTTCTCTTTCCTGTGCTCTTGCATTTGCCTGCTGCTTGCTTTGTCATCCATTGATCCAGGTGGGCATTGGTAGTGTATGTTTTAAATCTTTCTGCAGAGACCATTGCTGATGCCTCCCAAAAGCCAGATCCAGCCTGAGGAAGTGTGTCAAAACAGGACTGCCAAACAGGTAAAAGTGCATAACCACTGAAATTTAAAGAGTAGGTCAATATTATCTTCTTCACACCAGCAAGACATACCAGGAATGTGAGTTGTAATCATCATGACTGCTGCCACAGTACTAGGGAACTAAGAATGGTAGGCAGGCAAGCAACAATGCCACAGTACTCTTCGTTAAAATTCACTTACTTTTTTATTTTTTTGTATTTTGCCAAGGACTCTCCTGGTTGTTGCGATTCTTTTATTAGAATCCAGAATTCTAAAAGAAGTTGATTCTGTCATTTTTTTTTTTGCCAACTATGGCCATTTCAGTGGAGGGACCATTCTTTGAGCACCCTACTTTGCCATCTTCCCTGATGTACCCCCTAATCTGCTTTCATCTTTCTTATTTTGTGGGCTCCCAGAGGAAATGGCAAACCTATTGAACTTCCTTTCCACAATGTGTGTGTATGGTGGGGGAGGGCATATAAAAAGAGAGGTATAGTAGAAGAGAGGGGTTGTGGAAGAGGAGCAAAAATGTGAAACTCAATTTAGGACTTCCTTCTAAGAGAAGCTGTAGTTAATCTCTTTCTCTTGCATACCTTCAAAGCCCACTATAATCAAAAAATATATATTTTGTTAAGGAGGTATAAATTACACAAATGCAAAAAGGACTGCTTGCTCTCAGACATGCTGCCAGAACAAAGGACGCTCTTGCGAAAATGACAAGTCAGTGCTCTTCAAATAATGTTTGATCTCTTCATGAGCTCCTGCCCAAAAACAAATTAACTTCAACTGCATACAATAGTGTGGATGAATCTCACAAAGCTAATGTTGACAGAAATAAGATGAACAGAAAAGCATACACACTTATTATCTAACTTATACACATTTCAAAAGCAGACAAAACTATTCTACGGTGCAAGACATCAGGTGGTGGTTACTATTGTGAAGGTCAATGGTCAGAAGATGCTCCTGGGGTGGCGTCTATAGTGCTGGTAATGGGACGGAGAGCTGGCACCGCATGTTCAGTGGTGCTCCAGCAGGGAAATATTGCATAACATATTTATAGACAGAACATGACCATAAGAAAAGTTGGTCAGCCATGCAAACACAGAAAAAAGAAATATACAGAATCCAAGCAAATAATAGGAAAGAGTATTTTGCTTAAGTTCATACTTTAGTTGGGATTATTTTGATTGTACCTATCAGAAAATCTTGACTCAAATGGATGAAATAATATTGAAAATATACCTTTAAATAAGTACCTTGGCTCCAAGATTAATTCAATAATGTAACAATTAACCACAGATTCAGATTCTCTGTTTTCTTCATTTTGCCTTCTTTACTAAAATCCCCCTCGTATTCTTAATATAGCTGTTCACAGTTCCAAGTATCACATATGAATTGAACATGACATGACAGAGAAACGAAACATGAAATCCATATTATTTCCCTGTATCTTTTTATCCATGAAGAAAAAAATGTCTAAATCTTCAAGAGTATTTGCTTCAAGTGGGAACTGCATCATATTTCACTCCTAAACCATTCAATGGCCTTGAATTCCATGTTTTGCGCTGTTTGTCTACATCTGATTTCTTTTCAGTTTACATTTTCCTGGTATCATGGCACCTTTATTTTCAACTAGAGCCATGTTTCTTTTTTAGAAAAATCAGATTATCTTATTAAAGAATTTAACTAAAATGTTCAGAAAAGGCAAATACATATAGAGAGAAAGTAGACTCTTTGTTGCCTGGGGCTGGGATGGGAATGGGTAGTGAGTAACTGGAATGGGCATGACAAGTCTTGTGTGAATGATGCAAATGTCCTAAAATTACATAACTCTGTAAATTTTTAAAAAATCTTTGAATTGTATTTTTATGTTATGTAGATTATACATCAATAAAGCTGTATTTTAAAAAGTATTTAATTCATTCTCATTTGCTACAACAAATTTTTAGGTCCTCATTCATCTTGTTTTGAATTTGGTTTTATTTACTTACTTATTCATTTATTTATTCATGTTTTCTTGAAGTAGCTTCCCCTGGTTTTGTTATAAGGACCAAATTTACTTGATCATGTTTCTTTAGTGGTCTTAAAATTTTACCTTATGATTTTATTTTATTGTTATTCATAACAAAATCAATTTCCTCCTACATACCAATATAAAGACAGAGACGGTAACTACTTACTTCACCTTATAAAAGATGAGATGTAAAATACCTTACTGATTACCTCTCACTCATTATCCTATCACTTCCTAGTTTCAATAAATAATTCTGGAATATTCTGATCAAGAAAATTTTCAAATAAAATCCATACTACACAAATCCCAGATACATTCAGTTTTATAATTATGTTACACCTCCTTTCAAAGATTTAATTATTTCACCTATTTTATTGCTCACCATCACTTCTTTTGTATCCTGTTTTATCTGTTAATTTCTTAGTTCAGTATATTTCTCAATAATTTTAACATTTGATTAAGCAAATATCTATTAAGAATTTAATATGAGCCAAGTATTGAGGAAGGCTCTGGGGTTATAGTAATGGAGAGGATTAATTTCCATACATACAATGGTTATTATACATTAAATGAATGGGTATCGTATTTGAACTTTAGCATTCTTACATATGGAATGAAATTTTCAGGAATGGTAAGAACTATGTGTTGTATGTTCTATTCATTATTATTATTATTTTTAATTTAGGAGGTCATTAGGCTGGGTAGCTCCAGTGCTTTAAGTAAGCAAACTGAAGCTCAATGTAAATAGTAAAATGAAACACGGGACTTTACCAATCAGAAAACAGCAACTAGCCTCTTAACTAGGGTCTTTTCACTTTAACCAATCAAATAGGCTTTCTTTCTCTTACTTCCACATCAACCTGTAAAAGCTCACTGCTTATGCTATTGCAGCAGAGCTCTTGGAACCTCTTCCAGTTCTGAGTGATGCCCATTCATCAATCTTTCTTTGCTCAAAGAAAGTCTGTTAACAAATTTATTTTGTTTAAAGCTTTTTCTTTAACGTGTTATATGTCCAAGACTGTATTTCTGTTGTTCTCCTACAAATTATAGTTTGACTGATTATAAAGTTCTGTCATATTTTCTTCTTCTCAAAATATGGGACATTATTCCATTCAGCATTATAAAAGAGAGCTTTCACATCAAGCCAATTTTTTCCTCTTTTAGGCAATCTGATTTTATTTGAATTTTATTGCTGTTGTATCTCCTCAATACACACACACAATCATTATTTGTTTTATCTTTGGAATTAGAAAAATATTTGAATGAGAATGTGGCTGAATTAGGGTCTGTTGCTTCTACCTGGGAATTAGTGAATCCTCTGAACTTAAAAGAATTTTCTTTAATTCATTCTCTATTACTTCTTCTGGTATTTTCTCTATTTTGATAAATATATGCTATAAAATATATAAATAATCTCAGATCAGTTTTACTGTTATAGCTAAGCCATGCTGCAGTTATACAAACTTCAACATTTAGTGGCTTAAGTTTTACTTCTTGCACAAGTGAAGTCTGGTGTATTCAGATCTTTCAGGGTGATTCCCTTCATAGCAAAGATCGAGAGATCTAAGATTGCTTCTATTTTGTATTTCTACTATCTTAACGTGTGACTTCTATGGTGGCTGTAGAGGATAAAATGAGAATCCAGAGACTTTCTGCTGCTTCTTCAGTCCTGCAGCACATGACTTCAGCTGGCTGGCCAGAGCTAGTCCTGAGCTCCAACCTGGGGAGCACATGGAATATTGAATGAGCACCTCATGAGGTCATCCCTACATCCAGATGACTTGTTTTACTTTCAGAAGTGTTACAACCTTTTGATAAATGAGAGGTTCTATCAAGGGGGAATTTGATCAGATGTTTTAGATCTGTCCCCATTTCAGTTGCTTCCTATGTCCCAAATGTTCAGATTTGGGGAGAGAAGTCTATGCTTGTCCAATGTTGGAAGCTGAGATGGGTTCTCTCATGGATCATATAGGCCCCATATGAGTTTTTCAGGTCTGAATGAAGAGGGAAGTGAAGCCTCTAGTTTGATTTCTGTTTTCTTCAACTAGGTCAGAGCTTCAGCAGCTTTCCAGGGGTGAATATGTAGCCCAAATATGAAAGATGCCAATGTCCAAGCTAACTGCAATAGGGAGATTCAATTATCTCCAGAAAATTCACAGAAGAAACGCTCACGATCAACACACACATTAAAAATCGTTTCTACCCCACTTTCACCTGGGTGGCTACTTTGTCTCTAACTGGCCGTTTTGTCCAGGAGAGCTGGCAGAACTAAATGGCAGGAGAAAATCCACCCAGCAGGATGTATGAATCCCAATGTCAGGTCCATTTCCTAGGTCACTGGTCATCACTCACTGTCTGCCTCCCCCAGAGCCCTCACTACCAGCCACTGCTCTTGGGAAATGTTAAGGAGAACTTGTCCAGTGTTTTTTTTTTCCCCCCTTACTTCCCAGGAGAGTTTTTTCTTCATATGTGGTGAATCGCCAGTTGGCCAAATCTTTCCTTGGCTTGGTCTTATTCATAATATAGAGAGCAGAAATACTTTTGAATTTCTACATATGGATAGAACTCTTCCATAGTTTCTAATTCTGATAGAAAACTTATATTTCTTGGCTTATATATTATTTTTAATATTTATTTTTCTGATTAGAAAAAATCAGAAAAAAAGAGTAAAATGGTTGTTGCAAACAATCCAAACATTTCCAAAATGTGTAACCTAGAAAATGGATGTCGAGTTGAAAGGGTCAGAGATAAATAAAGACTTAAATGTTTATTGTGTGACCTTACATTGCTTAAATTTTATAAAATCTTTATACTTGTGAAACTGAAAATATACACATGCAAAATTTAATGAAAGTCTTAATTTCCAATGTAACTGCTATGGTCCTTTATATACATACTTACATACCAACTGGTTCATTTGTTAACTTGCATACATATATTTACATATTTATTAATATATATTTATTATATTTACTGATATGGTTTGGATCTGTATTCCTGCCCAAATCTCTTGTTGAATTGTAATATCCAGTATTGGAGGTGGGGCCTGGTGGGAAGTGATTGGATCATGGGGGCCGGTTCTCATGGTTTAACACCATTCCCCTTGGTGTTGTCATCACAATAGTGAGTTCTCATGTGGGTGACACTTCCCTCTTCATGCTTTTGTTTGTTTTTGGTTTTCTGTTCCTGTTAACAGTTAGTCTACTGAAGATAATGGTTTCCAGCTTCATCCATGTCCCTGCAAAATTAAACTAAAGAGCTTCTGCTCAGCAAAAGAAACTATCATCAAAGTGAACAGGCAACCTGCAGAATGGGAGAACATTTTTGCAATCTATCCATCTGACAAAGGCCTAATATCCAGAATCTACAAGGAACTTAAATTTCTAAGAAAAAAACAAACAACCCCATTAAAAAGTGAGTGAAGAATATGAACAGACACTTCCCTTCACACTTGTGCTCCTGCTCTGGCCACGTAAGATGTGTCTGCTTCCCCTTCGGCTTCCATCATGATTGGAAGTTTCCTGAAACCTCCCCAGAAGCAGAAGCCACTGTTTTCTCTGTACAGCCTATAGAACTGTGTGCCAATTAAATCTGTTTTTTTTTTTAATTACCCAGTCTCAGGTATTTTATTATAGCAATGTGAGAACAAACTAATACACTTATAAATGTTAAATTTATTTTACAGAAATGAGATACAAATTATATAACTAGTTTGATCTATTTAATATTTTTTCTTTTCTTCCATGTCACTATCTGTAGACTTTTCTCAGTACTTTTCATGGCAGTATATTGTACTCTTTCATTGTTTCAACAAGGATCTGGATTGAGGAGGGATTAAATATATGTTCTGAATTGTTATGTTTTCTGGAAATCTGTCTTATGACTGTTTCACAGTAAACCTCCTATTCTCTTTAAATAAAGAAGTTGATAGATTACAAATTTCCAAGGGAGTTTGGTTTATATCACTTGTGACTGCTCTGTTCTCATGAGATGTACTAAACCCTTTCGCTTTCGGTAATCAGTCCTCACATACATCTCTCAAACTGGTATTTTTTTTTTCTTTTGAGACAGAGTCTTGCTCTGTTGTCCAGGCTGGAGGGCTGGAGTGCAGTGGTACGATCTTGGCTCACTGCAACCTCTGCCTCCTGGGTTCAAGCAATTCTCCTGCCTCAGCCTCCTGGGTAGCTGGGATTACGGGTGCAACACCACCAGGCCCGGCTAATTTTTGTCTTTTTAGTAGAGATGGGGTTTCACCATGTTGGTCACACTGGTCTCGAACTCCTGACCTCGTGATCAGCCCACCTCAGTCTCCCAAAGTGCTGGGATTACAGGTGTGAGCCACCGCGCTGGGCCACATCTCTCAAGCTTTCTTCCAAGATTCACTATTATAGGATATTCTGTTTGGACATGATGTACATAAATACAGTCTTCCATGTGGTCCTTTTCCATTACTGGCAACAGAAGCCAAAGAAATAAAACCTACAACAGCAACCCTGAAGGTAGAAGGATAGTGTTGAAGATAGGACAACAGAATCATACCAGCCTCACCAGGAAGCTTCTGCCTATGTATTCTCATCCATCCATCTTTAGAGCCATAAGATTCAGATAACTGATGAGCTGAAACATGTAGTGCCCGCCATGCTGGAATTTGCTTCTTTCTGGATCAACCTATGTTGCCGTTTCACTTGTTTTATGATAGAGTTCACCTCAGTATTTAGATTTTGTTTAAACATTAAAACAGTGAAGACAGTAAAAATAAACACTTCTCTTTAATGCCAAAGGTGAAATTCAGTTCTCAGCCAATTAAAGAACCCACACACAATAGATATGCTGTTTGCTGAGGAAGTGCTTTTGGAGAATCGCCTCTTACTTGGTTTTAGCTCTGTGTTTAATAGCAATCAAAGTTTGTCTTCTCAAAAAATGTGCCACAGATAAAAAGCATTGTGTTCACAAAATAAAACCATGGACAGAATCCATGGATGTGTAACCAGAATGTAACCTAGTTCTTGTGACAGTGACTTCAGGGATCTTTCGTCTAAGGCCATCTTCCCCTGAACTTGTCTTTGTGTTAAAGGCTCACCTGATGCCCAGTGGAGACCCACCTGAGCCTTCTTTCTTCAGCTTGTTTACTTGTATAACCTTTTCATTCTCATCCTTAACACATATCAAGGTGTGTCTGTGCCTCATGACTGATCTTCAGGTGAAAAACAGCTAACCTCATCACCTAATCCATGTTGGCCACAAAGTCTCCACAGTTTTTATTGTGAAACTGAAGACATAAAAAGAATAATTTTTTAGACAGTGAAATGATGGCCTGGATTTTCATACTCTTGAAAACCTGTTCATTCATCCATTTTGCACTTCATTCACCAGTTAGAATGCATAGAGTATTGTATTATTCTTATGGCGCCTCAACTCAGGTTATAATTCACATCCAGGTGGAAAAATTAGAGACTTGACTTGGAGAAATTGTCTTTCTTTGCTCAGCTCAATACCTATGATTGTTCCTCAATCAGAATTTGCTTCATTCCTTCAACCCTATACAGTCTAGTCTTTTTGTCAGCTTATAGTCCTCAGGAGGGAGGGATGAGAAACTTTATGATTGGACTGAGATACACTGAATTTAATTTAAAAATGGATTCTCTGAGGCCATCTGAGACTTCTTTTAAGTCTTCTCACCTTGGATCACTTGAGGCTTGCAAGATTCTTGGCCCCACTGATCTCTATCACACACATCAGATGGGTTCTAGTCTTGAACTTGTGTCTCCTCTGTCCTCTTCCTTCCTGGCTCAAATTTTATAAGCCTGTCTTGTTTGGGATCTTCTTTTCCCACCTTCCTGGTGCTTCTCTTTGTCTTGTCCTTCTCCTCAGCCTCCTTACATTCACTTTGCCCTGGATAGAATCCACAGTATTTATCATCATTTAGTGTCATTTTGTCCACCTATAGGATGACCCAATATAAATTTTTGTTTGAAATAACATAGCTTTTCTCTGTTACCCACAGTAATACCCAGACTATGCAGATCTTGATGATGGCTGATTTTGTAAATGGTAGAAGGCAAGTACCAAGGATTTTCTTCTGTTTCTAGTTCACAAGTGCATTTCAGGAGGGGCTTCATGAAAGTGTATCTTGTGGGAAAGCAAAGCATAGCAGGATAGTGGAAAAAAATAGAGTGGAAGAAAAGCATTCAAGTTCCCCTCCCCTTACAAGTGATGCCCTCCATCTCTTGCGTACAGAGTAGTTTTGACTCAGCATTCAGGAAATGACAGTGGCTATTTTTGCTTAGACAAAATAGGCCCTTGGGCTTTGGCCTGAAGCTAGTAGAAACCCGTAATGAATAAAAAAGAATGCCCCCATTTAAAATTAAAGCAGTATCACTGCCTGTGTCCGAAGAGCTGTGCTAGGGACTAAAAGCCTACAAAAAGCTGTGTAACATCAGCTATCTCCGTTTAGGATATGCACACTGAATTGAGGAGGTATTTATGGAGAAAAAATTTTAGACATCCAATCCCATGATTATGATGATCTAATAATTAGAATTTGTAGGACTAAAAAGGTAAGGTCTACTTTATGAAATAATGGAAGCAGCTCAAAGCAAATGTAAACAGTTGAATCCTTTGAAAGAAAAAACTAAAAACAAATAGATGACTTAGATGCACACTGACTAAGATTCAATGCAGAAGACAGGCCCTGCCTTCCAGAATAAAGCTAATGAGGGCAGCTGCAGTCAGACTCCATAGTTTAGATAAAAAATGCACATAAAACCTCAACTTGGCGACACCAAAGAAAGTCTGGCATCAAATGACTTCACAGTTCTGAGATATGCATTTGCTCCTCCAGTTGCTGATAAGTGGAGTGGGTGTGGCAAGGCTCATTCCTGACTAGACTATAAACAATCCAAATTATGGGACACTTGGAATTGAATGAGCTCATAGCATTGACAGTGAAATCAGAGAAAAGGATTTCTAGTTACAACAGTGGTGGACATTATCAGAGCTCAGTCCCCTATTAAGAAGACTATATCCTAAGAGGATGTGCACCTAGTCCTGGGAGGTGCTAGGTGTTTCAGTCAAACATCAGGCAAGAGACAGGAGAGTCCTGAAATGGACAGGACATCTGTATCTTACATAGAAAACCTCAGATACTACAAACAGACCAATCTCTGTTATTTATATGTAAAGAGAAAGAATGGATGGAAATAAATATAGTGTAAGAAATTCTGGAAGAATGTAGGGATAGATGTTGAACCTTTGTTGGTCATGTAGTCAGAAGACAAATGGGCATTTAAAAAAAATTTTAGAGTGGCCTATTTTATGACAGACAGAAGGTACTTAAAACTGATGACAGGATGGTTTATCTCATGAGAAAGTGAGGTTAGGGAGGAAAAAAGTTTAATAACAATGAGGGGTTCACATATATGTTTGTAAGACAACAAAGACAGGAGAATGAGGGTGTAGGAAAAGAAACCTCCAAACGTTCCAATCTACTGGGAACATGAGAAAAAGAGGAGGAGAGATGAAATGGAACAGAGAATCAAGGGGAGGGGAGTTGGGGTGTAGGAAGAGGCAGCTAGACAGACAGAGACAAGAGGACTTTGCCGAGGACTTGCTGAGACTTTTGGGACAATGTAAAATGCTTGGTGCCCAAGGATGCTTACCCTAAATTGTGCCTTGAGATATGCAAATTCTGAGAGGAGGTGCAGAGATGATCCTGATCAGAATCAGGATCCTGATTCTTTTCAAGAATCTATAGCATCAAGATAATTTGACAAAATAGAAAAGAAATAGTCTTCATGTTATTTTAAGTGGAAAGAAAAGTCATTTTGCTCTAACATTCTCCACTATATTGTCAGGTCATCAATTTCCCTTCACATCTGAGAGGCTCACAATAAACTATTTCTTGTAATAGCTGGAGATTATACACATTGTAAAATTTCAAAATATTAATTAGTTACTAGACCTGTATTAAAAGAACTGTTTTTTCTCTTTGAAGGCTTGCAGACCATGTAGCCTAATCTTTTGTGATTTTTCTCCCCAAAGCCAATGGTAAACTTAAAAAAAAAAAAATTAAAAGATTCCCTCATTTTCTTTTGTTACTTTTTAGAACTAAATTTCTTTTGTGATTTGGTCATGCAAGCTTTGTAACTTCTACAATAAGGCTTTTCTCTATGGAAACAAAAACAATAAAAATAACTTTTAAAATGTTACATGCAAGACACTGAAAATGAGATTTTTAAAAGGAGAAAGGATCTGGGATACAGGGAACACAATTCCTCCCAGGGCCATTTGCATCATAAAATGTGATTCATCAGCCATTACATCTGCATGGTTCTCCAACTGATGGACACTGATTGCAATAACCAGGGGACGTTGCTATTCATGGTGCGTAATGAGCAAGTCTCTGAGACACACTGCCAGTCATGGGTCAGGCAGAGGTTTGGGGTTTCAGAAAACTCAGAGATCCAAACACCACCACCAACACAGCGCCTTGCAAAAAATAAACCCAAACCAAACAAACAAAAACACTCTCTCCTTTATTTCCAGTTTTCTCTGATTTTGGAGAAAGTTGTTGATAGCTGTCTGGTATTTTGCATATAGAATATATCTTATGTAAGAGTTCAGATACTTCTTTCTATATACTTCTTGAAGAGTTTAGAGGCTCGAGCTCAAAATCTAACTAGCTTGAAACAATAAAACCCTCAAAAGATTAAATACAGCCACTAGTCCATTTCCAACACTGTAGCCTGTCTGAATCAACTACTTTCCTCGCCATTTATAGAAGATACATAGTCTCTGGAAGTTTAACAGAACTTAATTGAAGGTGTTAGAATGTGTGCTCATATATTTCTTCCAAGGTTTGCTCAGTTTAGATTATGCAAACACACCCAGTCTTTGCAGAGGCTGTAGGTTATTTTCAGAGACTTCCATTAGTGTCACTCTTTTAACCTTATTACAAAAAGTAAAGTTTACAGCATAGAGTTGAAGGTTAAGAAGTGGTTACTTAATACTTTACAGATAGACTTACTTTCAAGGAGTTCATATTTCTGCTCCTGGTGCGAACTACCATGAGCAAATAAAGCCACATTTTTCAAAAAAATTATTTATTTTTTTCTTTTGGTAGAAAATTGTCCATTTTTTGTTGTTGCTAAAGCAAAAGTCTGATGTGAGTAAAGTGAACCATGCCTCCAAATGACTCCAAAACTAAAGAAAGATTTACTCAGTGCTTCAAAGGGATTCTGTAAACTTTTCAAGGTTTTGCAAACTATCTTCAGATTATTGATCTGCAAACACATGCAGGTGTGCAGGCACATGTACACATAGTAAGTACGTGTCTGGTTGAATTATATGGTCAGTTAAGTTAAATAACAAGGCATTTCAAACAATAAGTTGACTGATTTTGTATTTTGACTAGTTAAAATTCTTAAATGTGTTATTTTGTGAAAACTTAGACATATTCATGCCGCATTGTTAGAAGTTATAGTGGTTCCATAGTTGGTGATTTTTTTCTCCCAATGTTTTCTTTCAAGTTCAATGAAGTTTTCTTTCTTTGATTCCCCCTTTTTGCAGCTGATTCTTAAAAAGAACATTATTTCTTCTTCTGAACAAGAACTATCCATTACATTTAAAGCTTATTATTTAAGGCATTTACCCATGGAGCCCCAAGGGACTATTTCTAAGTAGAGACAACTGCTCCAAATGTCCCTAGATTTGTTTTTGTCATTATGCAAAGGAAAACATAAAAGAGAAGAATGAGTCCTCAGCGCTTTGGGACATTTATTGATCTTGCTGGAGGATGAGCTTCAAACAACAAGTCTTCCTCTGAAGACACAACTTTGTTATGACCAGATGCTTTTGAACATGTGAATTAATCCTGCATCACTGCATGGATGATTGATGTTTTTACTCTGAAAGCTCTGGGGCCCCTGTGAAATTTCTGAGGTCCAATGATATTGAGACAATGATAACCTTGGCACCATTGATTTTGCTGTGAATTGGGATCATGTTGCAATATGTGCCATGTCAAAGATATGTACTCAAACAATACACTGTGCTATTCTAGAAAACTCAGCAAGCTTCTTCTCCCTTTAAGCAACAAAAGCTCAACAAGCTAACAGAGCAAAGCTTCCAGTGGAGATCTTTACTCTTTGATGTATGCCACATGTGTCTTCAGACTACAAATCAGAGCCCTGAGCTTCTTGGCTGGCAGTATACTTCATCAGTATTCATCTTTGTGGGAGGCCACATAATTAATAAAAAAATGAATCAAGAGTCTCTGGGTGAAAAAAAATCATATCAAGCTTGTTTAAACAAATAGGGAAATTTATTGGGTCAGTAAAAAGGAAGCATAGAGGTGCATTTAGCTTCAGGCAAGGCTGGAACCAGGGCTCCAACTAGGTTGGTAGAGTATCTTCTCTGCTCTGCTTCAGTTGGTTTGCTTTCTCAGACAATCTCACCCAATGTGGCCACAAAATGACTACAGGTAGCTTTAGCTAACATGCTTCCAGTTTGGCAACCCTCATGGAAAGAAAATGCACTTTCCTAGTACTTCCTGCAAGTGTTCCATGCTGGATTGTCTCAGTTTAAGCCTGTGTCACCCTAAAGGGAGAAAGGAAAGTAAAGGAGCATGTATGGGTTGTAGCCCACTTGAATCTCATGGGCAGAATATTTTCTCAAATGGATGCCACACAGGAGAAACAAAATTCCTTAACCAAGCATCTCACAGCAGGGAATGTTGCACCATATTCACAGTTTATTCTTGATTGGTTTTTAATAAAAGTTATAAAATATGAATGTATATTAATCCATTAATTTTTAAATAATAAAATTTGTCTAGACTATTAGCTGACAGAGTATAACGTAACTCAAAACTTATGGCCAGGTGCGGTGGCTCACGCCTGTAATCCTAGCACTTTGGGAGGCCGAGGTGGGCAGATCATGAAGTCAGGAGATCAAGACCATCTTGGCTAACACAGTGAAACCCCATCTCTATTAAAAATACAAAAAATTGGCTGAGCGTGGTGGCGGGTGCCTGTAGCCTCAGTTACTTGGGAGGCTGAGGCAGGAGAATGGCATGAACCCAGAAGGCGGAGCTTGCAGTGAGCTGAGATCATGCCACTGCACTCCCACTTGGATGACAGAGCGAGGCTCCATCTCAAAACAACAACAACAAAAACTTATACTACTTGTCACATTTTTAAATGTGCATAAATTTGCTTGTAATTTCAAACTACATGAAAAGAAACAAATATGTCTCGAATTTATCCTGGATAAAAGGAAATTAAATTAGAAATAATGAGCCACTCAGAAAAAAATAGCAAAGAACACTATTTGAAAAAATATTTCATAAAACAACCAAAGATTTAGTCAGAGGCAATTTCATTGCCTTGTAATTTTATTAAAATAAAAAGAAAAAAGTAAACATATTCATTACCAAAACTAGGTCAATGAAGTAAAGAAGAAAAGTGAAAAGAAAAGTAATGAATTAGAAGACAGAGCAATAGAATTGATCAATTCAGAACTTATTTTTTGATGTATCATGAAAAAGTGACAAAAATTTGTTGTATCTAATAAAGTATAAATGATATGAATATAAGAAATATTTAACAAAAGTACAATATAAAATTTTGAAAAATTTATATATACTAATAAAAATTCTGTTTGAAATAGATATTTTGCAGATTAGTGACCAAAACTGACTCAAAAAGTGAAAAACTATACTAAATTAGTGGCAATGACAGTTTATTTAATTTATTCTAAAGAACTATCTGCAAATGAGATCCCCGGCTCAAAAAAAATTTATGGGCAAATGTTTACATCATAAATAATTCTCATGCTATATAAATTGTTTCACTTGATATCAAAAGCTATTATCATCCTACTTAAGATGTCTGCAGAAACCTGAAAAAGATGCAACAGAAAAGTAGATACATATTTTAAAAATTGTAAAAATCCTCAAAAGTATAATTAAATATCTCAGAGTATTTCAAAAGTATAGCACATCAAGCCCAAGATAGGCTTTTTCTAGTAATGCAAAGATGGTTCAATATCTGGAAAACTTTTAATATAATTAATCATTCAAATAGGTTAAAAAGTTGAGGACTTCATAAAAATTTTAAAGGCTTTTTTTTGGTAAAATAAGACATTTATAAATAAACATTGGGATACATCTTTAATATAATAAAGATGTTTTCCCCAAGACCTGCTCCTATTTCAGTACTCTTAACAAGTCCAAACCAAACTCTTATTTTTCTCTTATAAAAAGCTAAGTTGTTCATATCCTTCGGATCAACGATTCTACTCTTAAGACCTTACTGTTTGATATATTCATATACATTCGTGATAAAATATATATGTTTGGAATAGCAAGGAATTGTACACAAACATGTCTTTCAGTGGGATACATGCTGGTTAAGCACATGCTACATAGAAAAAAATTTACAGCCACTTAAAGTAATGTCTACGAACTGATGTGAAAGATCTCCAAGACAGTATATAAAATGCCCCCCTCTTTTCTCTCTCTCTCTCCTCTCTCTCTCTGCCTCTCTGTCTCTCTCTCTCTCTCTCACACACACACACACTTCAAATAGTAAGAGTTCAGAGAACACATATAATGAGATTCTATATTACTCAAATCTATTTTATTTCTGAGTTTCAGAGAGTGAGAAGAAAATCAGAGGGTTTATAAAACACAACTTAGTTAGATCTATTTGGATTCCAAGTTCTGACCATGACAGTCTTGTGTGTATACACATAAGTGTATGTGTTTATGCAGATAGAATTAATTCTCAGGAGAATATACTATCAGCTAGATTCTGATTGCAAGGGAAAAAAATTCAATCCAAGTTTGCAACCAGGGAATTCCTTATCTCTTATAAGCTGAAAAGTATAAAATTAGACTTCACATATAACTGGGCAGGGTTCAAAACCATACTATCAGTCTCTGATTTCCTCCATATCTTGGCTCTGCATTCTGTTTGTTGGTTTTATTCTTGGGCTCTACGTGGTGTGATTTCTAACAGCTCCAGATGACATCTTGACTATACCAAATTTAAAGTTTTTTTTTTTTCTTGCTCAGTAGTTGAGATAAAACTCCTAAAATTGAGTCTTGTTGGCTCTTGTTGGCCTGACTTGTATCATATTCCCTTTCCTGATGCAATTTCTGTGACTAAGGAACCTCATCAACTTTGGGTTAAAATCAAATCCACAAAAATTATATGAACTGAGTTAAAGTGGGATGCTTTATGCAAAGCTAAATTATTAAAGATGCTGCATGGAAAACAATTATTTACTGCAGTGCAAAACAACAACAGCAACAATAACAAAAAATAGGAAGACTGGTTGTCTTTGGTAAGAGAGATAAAGCTATAAATGGAAGGAAGGGTTTCTTTTCTCTTGTGCTTCATTTATGGTTTTCCTCCACGTGCATACATTATTTTTTCAGTAGTAAAAAACAACTTGAAAATATTTATGGAGAGTGAAATAATGGTAAAATAAAATCCCTACATCACACCATATACTAAGCATACATTCTAGATAAATAATTTATACTATCCAAAGCAATCTGCAGATTCAACACAATTCCTATCAAATTACCAATGTCAGTCTTCACATAATTATAAAAAACAATCCTAAAATTTATATGGAACCAACAAAAAAGCCCAAATAGCCAAAGCAATCCTAAGCAAAAAGAATAAACTGAAAGTGTCACATTACCTAACTTCAAATTATATTACAAGGCTATAATAACCAAAACAGCATGATACTAATATAAAAATAGACATATAGATCAATAAAACAGAATGGATAACCCAGAAATAAAGTCATATACCTACAACCGACTGACCTTTGACAACATCAACAAAAATATACACCTGGGAAAAAGATAGCCTCTTTAGTAAATGGTGCTGAGACAAATGAATAGCCATGTGCAAAAGAATGAATCTGGACCCCTATCTCTAACCATATAGAAAAATTAACTCAAGATGGATTGAAAAAGTAAGACCTGAGAAGATAAAAATCCTAGAAGAAAATCTAGAAAAATCTCTACTGGACATTCACCTAGGCAAAGAATTTATAACTAAGTCCTCGAAAGGAAATGCAACAAAAGCAAAAATAGAAAAATGGGACTTAATTAAACTAAAAAGCTTTGCACAGAAAAGTAATTGACAGAGTAACCAGACAACCTACAGAAAGAGAAAATATTTGCAAACAGTGCATCTGACAATAAGCTAATATCCAGAATCTATAAGGAACTGAAACAACTCGACAAGAAAAAAAAAATCTCATTAAAAAGTGGGTGAAGGACACGAACAGACAAAACAATATTTTTTCAAAAGAAGGCATACAGATGGCCAAGAAACATATAGAAAAAAAGAAGTTCAACATCACTAGTCATCATATAAACGCAAACTAAAACCTCAGTGAGATGCCATCTTATACCAGTCAGCCTTGTTAATATTAAAGAGTCAAAAAATAACAGATGTTGGTGAGGATGCTTATACACTGTTGGTGATAATGTAAATTAGCACAACCTGTATGGAGACCTCTATGGAAAATTGTATGGAACTTTCTCAAACAACTAAAAATAGAACTACCCTCTAGTAATCCCACTGCTGGTATTTACGCAAAGGAAAATAAATCATTTTATCAGAAAGACTTCTGTGCTCATATGTATATCACATCACTCTTTACAATAGCAAAGATATGGAGTCAATGTGAGTGTCCTACAATGCATGATTAGATTTTTTAAAATGTGGTAATACTACTTGGCCATAAAAAAGAAGGAAATTGTGTCTTTTGCAGCAACATGGATGGAACTGGAGATCATTATCCTAAGAGAAATAACTCAGAGACAGAAAGGCAAATATAGCATGTTCTCACCTACAAGTTGGAGCTAAACAATGGGTGGCTTCAGCTTGTAAGTGACATATAGAGTGGAATAATAGACATTGGAGGAGGGTGGGAGGGGAGTGAGAGATGTAATACTATCTATTGGGTACAATGTTCAATGTTTGGGTGATGGATTCATGAAAATTCCAGACTTCACCAGTATGCAATAGATCCATAACAAAACTAACTACATGTGTACCCCTAAATCTGTAAGAATAAAAATTTAAAAAGTAAAACATATATTAAATAGTTTAAATATGAAATTACTCATTTAAACTGTGCTGAAGAATATATAAGTAAATACTTATTAATTATTGTATTCAGGGAGATCTTCAAAGTGAGCCACAATTGGCAAGGTCCACAAGAAAAATAATGATATTTCCAACCCATTTTTACAGTAAAATAAAACAAAAATACCAAAAAAACCCAGCTGAATATAAAGCTTGTAAGGTGAATACCCTTTTAACCACCATCCACGTATAGAAATTTAACTTTGCCGCCCATACCAGAAGCCCCTCGGTATGCCCCATCTTAATCTTAAGCCCCTTCTTTTTCCCCACAAAGTAACTCCTATCCTCATTTCTATATCATTATTTCCTTCCTTGTGTTACTTTACAGTTTTATCACCCACGTGTTCAACTCAAGACACAAGAGTTTAGTATTGCCCATTAAAAAAAAGGATATGTCTTCTAAATCTCTTTTACTACATAGATTTTCTTTTCATTCCCTTCTTCCCTTATGATTTATTGTTGAAGAACCCAGGCTGTTGGACCTGTGCAATTTCCTGCAGTCTGGATTTTTCTGATTTTGCACCTGTGGGGCAGTTCACCATGCCCTCTACCCTCTGGAGTTCCTGCATGTTGTCCATTAGACTGAGACTGGATCAGCCTGATCCCAATGGTAAGACTGTAAGTGGAGCTGGGCTCTTTCATCAGGAGGGACATGATATCTCAGTCTCTTTTTTATGATGTTGAGCAACTCTTGATGCTTACAACTTAGATTCATTAATTCAATGGGATTGCAAAATAGTAATATTCTATTATTTATTTGTCATTTATTAGTGGAAAACATTTACAAATAGGTACTACCCCTCATCTACTACTGGATGCCTTAAGTGAAAGTTCATACAGAAAAGACAAAATAAATGTTAGGTTCTTTTTCTTGATTTACCAGTTTTAAATAATTAATATGTTCCCTGCTCATCTCCACAGGTGACTTATTAGGTTTAGGTTTTTAAAAATATGTTGTTATGAGTTCAAGGATTTAAATTTTTGATGGGTTTCAAGCCATTGCAATTGTTATCAAAGCTCAAATTGTTCACTTTTGACCTGTGAAAATGTCTTCAAATTAGCTTCTGCTTTCTTTTCTACATGAGTCTTGTAGTTTGGGATAGTACCCACACATTTGGTGTAAAAGATATTCCAGGGTAATCCTGTACAATTCCTGCCACAGATGTGGATCAGCTGTTTCTCGAAAGACAAAAACCAACCAAACAAAAAACCTTGATTTCTTTTAATAGAAAATAATATTTCAAGATCTCTGTGTGGACTCTAGGGATGTTCTCTATTACTTGATTGCTCATTGTTTCTAGATCTCTTCAGTAAATAAAACTAGAAAATATGTATATAGCACCTGTAAAATAAAACATCCCACAAATTCATACAAATATTTACAATCCAAATTTATAAGTACAGGCTTTTTGAACAAGATTTTTGTTTGTATTGTGTGGCTACCTTCTTTCTTCAACACTGAGAATCATGGTTCTTAAGGACACAGGGGATCATAGAATTGGAATATCCATAATGATTAATTTACCTTATTACACATTACATAGACAAAAGCCTCAGTTTAACAATATATTATAGCCATCCATTATAGTTTTTGAGAATAGCTTAAAAAGTTGGTTTTGTCCATAATCTCAGTATTCTTTCCCAGTTTTTGAAAAGAATTGAATAAAATTTGAAACAATTTATAAATATTTGATAAATTTAAAAAATTAATTTTATTCTTAATTTATAAATCTATTATATACTATACATTCTATAATGTAACCCCTTTAACTCTTAGTTCTACTAGTAACTATATGTTTATGCCCCAGTCCCTATTCCCATGTGACCTGAATCATTTTGGTTGTCTAAAGCTGGTTTTCTGGCCAGGTACAGTGGCTCATGCCTGTAATCCCAGCACTTTGTGAGGCTGAGGCGGGTGGATCACTTGAGGTCAAAAGATTGAGACCAGCCTGGCCAACATGGTGAAACCCCTCTCTACTAAAAATACAAAACTTAGCTGGGCGTGGTGGTGTGTGCCTGTAATGCCAGCTACTCTGGAGGCAGAGGCAGGAGGATTGCTTGAACCCGGGAGGCAGAGGTTGTAGTTAGCCGAGATCTCGCCACTGCACTCCAGTCTGGACGACAGAGTGAGACTCAGTCTCAAATAAATAAATAAATACATAAATATAAGGAAAAAAATAAAGCTGGTTTCTTGATTACTCCTCAAGAAGAAATCATGGGAACAAAATTCCTTGAGTTCTTGCAATTTGACAGCCGATGATCTATGCCCTTTATACTTAAAAGTCATATTTGCCAGATATAAAATCTTTAGCTCACATTTTTTTGAGTTCCTCACATGTATTATTCCATTTTATTCTGGCATAAATTATTGCTGTTAACAGTCAGATCATCTATTCTTTGCCTTACTGTTGTTTTGTACTCCTACAAAGCATATGGTAATTCTATGTTTAGCACTTTGAAGAAAAGTGACTGTTTTTTAAGATGTGGTAATTTTATTAGAATATGTCTTTATTGTGGTCATTCTGGGTCAATATTTTTTTTTTTAACTTTTAAGTTATAGGGTACATGTCCAGGTCTGTTATACAGGTAAACCTGTGTCATGGAAGTGTGTTGTACAGGTTATTTTGTCACTCAGGTATTAACCCTAGTGCTTATTAGTTATTTTTCCTGATCCACTCCATCCTACCACCCTCTGCCCTCCGATAGGCCCCGGTGTCTGTTTTTCCCCCTACGTATCCATGTGTTCTCATCATTTAGCTCCCACTTGTAAGGGAGAACATGAGGTATTTGGTTTAATGTTCCTGTGATAGTTTGCTAAGAATAATGGCTTCCAATGGATCAACTCTTAAACACGTGGTGTGTTCTCGCAATACATACCGTGGAATTTTTTTAACTTTATAAAAAAGTTTTTTTGATTTATGGTTTTTGTTTTGCATTTTGATTTTTTTCTTTGGGAACTCTCATTATCTGTTTATTGAACACTATCTTTACCATTGTCCCTTTCTCTTAAATTCATTTTTATCTTTTCCATTATTATTTTTACTCTTTCCTTCCTTCTACCTTCTTGGTGTGTATTTTACTCTTTTTTCTAGTTTCTTAAAGTGAAAGCTTAAATTCTTGATTTGAGGCCATTTTTTTATTCTAATATACGCATTACTTCCAAGGAAGCAGTTTTACCTGCATCCTACAAATTTTGATGTGTTAGATTTCATATTTTCTCAGCTAAAAACATTTTCTATTGTTCTCCTGAAATGACTTCTTTGATCCATAGATTATGTCCAAATGTGCTGTTCAATTTTCAAGTATTTAGAGATTTTTCCTTTGTCTTTCTGCTGTTAATTTCTGATTTCATTCCATTAAATTTAGAGACCATACTATGTATAATTTTAATTATTTAAAATTTGTTGAGGTTTGTTTAATAACCCAGATATGATCTATCTGGCTGAATGTTCTGTGTGCCCTGAAAATAATGTGTATTCTGTGGTTATGAATTAGAAAGTTCTATAAGTGTAAGTTAGATCTCATTTTATGACAGTGTTGTTTATTTCTTCTATTTTCTTGCTGATTTTCTCTCTACTAGTTCTACATATTAGTGAGAGAGGAGTGTTGATGCTTCCAACAGTAATTGTGGATTTATTTCTTTTTTTAGTTCTTTCAGTTTTTGCTTCATGTATTTTTAAAGTTCTGTTGTTACATGCATAAACATTTAACTTTGTTATGTTTTCTTGGTGAATTAATCTCTTTTATTAACATGCAATGTCCCTCTTTAACCCTGCTAATGATTTTTGCTCTAAGATATACTTTGTCTAATATTAACACAGCCACTCCAGCCTTCTTCTGATTTATATTTGCAAAGCCTATATTTATCCATGCTTTTAATTTTTTAATTTTTAATGTTCCTACAATGTTATATTAAAGTGAGCTTCTTGTACACTCATAACGTAGCTGTGTCATTTTCAAATTAATTCTGACAATCTCTGTCTTTAATTATTGTCTCTAGATCATATACACGTAATATAATGATTGACATATTTGGATACAGGTGTACCCTTTCACCGTTTGCTTTCTTTTTACTTGTTTTTCCCCCTTTTCTCTTTCGTTTCTTCTGTGATACGTGAACATTTAAAAACCTTCCCTTCTAAGTTATCAATTGTATAGTTTAGAATATCTCTCTATATATACATATATAATATATATATAGCTGTTTTACCAATTGCTGTAGGGATTAAAATATGCATAATAATAACAGAGTTCTCAGTCTATTTGAATTAATGTTTTATGTAGAAATTTCACCACCCCATAGATCCCTTTACTTTACCTATTTTATGTTTTAGTTGCCTTGTATATCATTCACTGAAAATTTCACAAGACAATGCTGTGATTTTTGCTATTAGCTGTAAAGCATATTTTAAACCTAAGAGGTGAAGTCCAGTCTATATTTGCTCAAATATTTACTATTTCTGATATTGTATTTTTTCAATTAAAAAAATTCCTTATTTTCACCTTCTATTTCTCTTAGGGCACTCTTTGTTTTGTTCATTTTTTCTGTGTTTCTATGAGTTTGTATTTTGATTCTAATTTTTTACATTTTTTTTCTGAGTTTTGGCACCTCATTGCTGAATATTGCAAATTCTAATTTATGTTGTTCTTTTATGATATTGTATGACACACTTAAAGTCTTTTATCTTGTTTTTAAATGAAATGTTATGGTTTTGATATGTTCAAAGGCATGCTTATGGGATGCTTTAATTATCTGCGGGGATATTATTTGGCTTCTCATTATCTTTCACCTAATAGTAAAATTTTGTGGGAAGCTTTCTGTTTCTAGACATAATTTAGTCTTGGACTAGTCCTCCTACCATTTATAACTATAAAATTGTTACTATATATAATGAGGAAATGGCTTTCAGGCAGTGAAAAACAGGCAGTATAAGACTGCAATCATTCGGAAAAGGGAAACTCGTTAGAAACCCTATAATTGCTTTGTTCTTTTCCTTGAGACAATTTTCCGAGTAAAGAGGGAGCTGGATTCTGAGCAGAACCCAGTAGTTTTTTAACCTGGTAGGTAGCTGATAAGAAATAATTAAAAATTCAGAGCAGCTGAAGTGTCTAGGATCTGTGAGGGCAGCAGAGCTGAGGGAGCTCTATAGAGGGGCAGCCCCTAAAGTCTGTTTAGAGGAGTCTCCTGTGAGTCTGTAGCTACACATAAGAGAGCGACTTCATTCAACAGAGATCAGTTGATTTGGGGCTGAGATACAACAGATACTAGAGATCAAGCTATGCTAGGGGAAGAGTACTGCCCAGGGATGTGAGAGCTATGGTCCTACAGAGTAGAGAGATTTTCATAATTCATCAACATCTTGGCATCCCACTGAAACACCAGAAAAACTATATCTTCAGAGTGAAAACCAAGCTTTAGAATGAAACTTGGTCTAGAGCCACCCTAGCTAAGCATACAATCAAGCCCAAACAGACAGAATCTGACGTCAGGTCCTGCCAAGTTAGAGGTTCCTCGAAAGCCTACAAGCATAAAGTAATCAGCCAGTAATTTACCTGCTTAGCAGGACAAGAATGAATACTCTCTAGAGATCATTAACAGAACCCAGAATCTCTATTACATATTTTTAGAGTACTTGTATTATCCATTATGGCAATTATTTTATTTAAAAATAATGATTCACATAAAAACAAAAACAAGAAAATATATTTTAATAAAGACAAATTTGTTAAAGAATTAAATAAAAATATGATCTCAGATAATGAAAATATAGGGAATCCAAGCAGGAAAAAAAGTATTAAAAATGGAAATTCTAGAACTGAAAAGGACAAAAAAAATTTAAACTACTGGATAGACTTAGGAGCACATTAGAGATGGCAAAATAAATACTAACCCTGAAGACAGACCAATAGAAATTATCCAATCTGAAAAAGAGAGAAAAAATTAAATGGACGAGCCTCAACAAGGGAAACAGTATCTAATGGTTTGATATAAATGTAATTGGAGATCCTGAAGAAGAGAGTTATATTTGGATGGAAAACAAAACTGAAAAATATTGAATAAAAATATTTGAGGAATAATAGCTAACAATGTCAAAATTTGATGAAAAACACTCATCAACAGATTGAAAAAATTCAGCAAAATCCAACTGCAATAAGTATAAAAAGAATGGTATCTAGACTCATCCTAGTCAGACTGTTGGAAACCAAATTAAGAAAAAATGTTGAAAGTAGTAGGGGAATAAAGGAGTTTATAGAACACTTTATGTACAATAATCCTGCAATAAGAATAATCGTTGACTTCTTACTATAAGTAATGAAACTGGGAGATAATGGCGTAACATATTTACCATACTGAAAGAAAATAATTATCAACCTAGAATTTTATATCCAGAAAATATGCAAGCAAAATGAAGATTTTTTAGGTAAGTGAAAACAGAACGTATTGTAAGCAAACTTGCTTTCTAAGAGATGCTAAACTATGTCTTTCAGGCTGAAGGAAAATGATATTAAATTGCAACCTGGATCTATCTAGAATGGAACGCACTGGTAAATATTCATAGTTAGAAAAATATAGAATATCATTTTTTCATAAATTTTCTTAAATAACCAACTGATTAAATTAGAAGTAAATACACTGAGATAAGGGTTACAATATACATAAAAATAAAAGATAACAATTGCATAAAGGATGAGGGAATGAGTAAATGGAATTGTACTGTTGTAAATATATTACATTTGTAAAGTAACAATGAAAAGCAAAAAGTAGGGAGTATCTGGTCTGAACTGAGAATAAAAAAGAATAAAGCAGGAGGTGTGAAGAATCAGGAATAAAGTGTGAAAACATACAATATTCATTCTAAGTAGACTGTAAGATAACAATGCCTAGCTAAAAGACAACAAAGAGGCGTGCCAAGGAGGCAATAAAGGAATTGTAATTTAACACTAACACTTATTCAATTAATTCAACAGAAAACGGGAAAAGAGAAAACCAACAAAAACAAGAAATTACAACAGAAGATACAAAAAAATACATAGCAAGATAACAGACTTAAACCTAACCACATCAGTTACTACATTAAGTATAAATGTACTAAATGCCCATAGTTAAAAGGCAGATATTGACTAAGTGGATAAAAAGGAAACACCAAACTAGAATCTGTCTACAAACTAGAAACTGCAGATTTTAGTTATAAAGATACAGATAAACTGAAAAGAAAAGGCATGTAAAAGATATGCTTTGAAATAATTAAGCCCAATAATTCTAAATATATCATATATAATTAGAAAAATGAAATATACATTTAGAATTATGCTAAATATATATTTATAATTATGCAAAGTATATATATTTAGCATAATTACAAATATGTACATATTTAGAATAATCCTAAATATAAACCTATATATAGGAATAATACTAAATATGAACATACATATTTAGAATAATCCTAAATATGTGTGTATATATGTGTGTGTGTGTGCGTGTGTGTGTATATATATATGCAACTAATGACAGAGAACAAAAATTCATGAAGCAAAGTGACATGACTAAAAGGAAAATAATCATATCTATAATCATAGTTTTACACCACTTTCTCAGTAATTTATTAAGAACAAGTAGCAAAATGAGAATTCAGGAGCCTAAATTGGTATTTACAGTATCCTACATAGCAAAACTACAGTGAAAAACACTATTTTCAGCAAACGTGGAATATTCATCAAGATATGCCACATACTGGACTATAAAATGTCTCCATAAATGTCAAGAAATTGAAATATTTCAGATTATCTGATCCTGATAGAATTAAATTAGAAATCAATAATAAAGTATTTCAAAATCCACAATATTGAGCATTAGATAAAAAACTCTTCTAAATAATTCATAGACTAAAAAGGAAATTATAATATTAGAAAAATGAAATTAAACACATTTTTAACCAAAATGATAATGAGAATACAACATATCAAAATTTGTGGAATGGCACTTAGCAATGCTAATTGAAAAACATATAGCTTCAAATTCCTGCATTAGGAAAAAAGTGATCTTTTTTCCAAAATGGTGAATTAGAGGCTTTCGGCATGCCTCAGCCACTTGGAAACGGCAAGAAAGTGCATAAAGATCAGTTCTGTGAGCTTCAATTCCAGAAGGAAAATGGGAGTCCACAGGAATCAGGAAGGTCACTCCAGAATCCAGGGAGGAGAATGTGGGCAAACAGTCTCATGATGGCATCTGGCTAATAAAAGGGAATGCATCCCCAGTATGTGAGAGAGGCAGAGAGCCTCCCTCATTCCACTCCCCGACCTTTTCACTGGGCATCCGAGCAACCCAGACTGAAGGAGAGCACTCTGCTTCTCCAATGCCCTGGAGTGAACCTGGGGAGAGGCTTGGAAATGCCGTGAGGGAAAGACACTGGGAAAAGCTGCAGACATTTTCCCAGGCCTGAAACAGACAGCAGAATGCCCTTGTTAATCTGGGTGCATACAAAGTCACCCATTCCCTTTGATGACCTGGTAACATGGCCATGCAGACAATTTGGTCTCAGCCCAGAGACTGGAGTGAATGCTCTGAAGCTAGGTAGGGTCCTAGGTAAGGTCCTCCTCAGCCAGAACAATGGAAAGCATCTCAGCAGTAAGCACTGGATTGTGCTCTCCCTCATCACAGGGGCAGGAAGAAAGCTGCTACAGCTATAGGTTTCTCCTGGGCGATGAGACTTGCAGTTAGGTTGGCAACCTGGAACTGGTCTGTGTATGCCATACTGGGTGCCCCTGTCTGCTTCTCTTAGATCGTGATGCAGTAAGGCCCTCTCTGCTTGATGCCAAGGCAGATTTCCAATCATTCAGAGAAGCTGCTCATCTGAATCATCAGCCTGAATTGCCCCACCCGTCCTGTGCATAGATTTTGGTGCAGAAGGGCCCTCTCCACTCCATACTCAGGCAGATCTCCAAGCATTTGGAGGACCCACTCTCCTGGATTTAAAGTTTAGTCTACACCCCATCCCTGTGCAGAGAACTTGGGACCAAGGAGTTTTCCCAACTCCCCACCCAGGCATAACTTTTGGTGCTTGGTGGTCACCCACTAGATCCTCCGTTTGTGCTTGCCATCAGCAGACCGGTAGGCCAACCTACAGGTCCAGCCCTGTCCATATTGGTCCCCACCAGCCAGGGGCTGAGCAGTGAGCTCATACCACTGTGCACTCCTTGAATCAGCTCTATGCCTGGGGCAACAGAAAGCTTCTCCCAGTAAACAAAGATCAAGTATATACCCAGCAGTGTTGACTGCAACCAGCTCTTACCTATAAGTGCCATCTACTGGCTTTTATGTTGAACTGCACAGCCCAATATAAAACCTGCTGACCTGAGTGCATAGGGCTACAGAAACAAAGCCAAAATACCTACCCAGCATTCTCTACAATCACATTCTTTAGGAAAGGAGGAGAGGAAAAAGGAAAGAAAAAAGCAATAATATTATAGGGAAAGAATGAAAAAGAAAAAAATCTACCCACACGAAAATAATTACAAAAATTAGAATTGCCAGCTTCTCCTGATGAGAAGGAACCAACATACGAATTCCGGCACCATGAAAAATCTGAAAGTGGTGATACGACCAAAGGATCACACTAGCTCTCCAGCAATAGTTCCTAACCAAAAAGGAAACTCAGAAATAACAAATAAAGAACTCAAAGCATGGATTGCCAGGAAGCTCAACAAAGTGCAAGTCAAGGTTAAAAATTAGCACAAAGGAACTTCTGAAGCAACCCAAGAAATGAAGAAAGAGATAAACATCTTCAATCAAAATTAATCAGAGCTTCTGGAATTGAAAAACTTACTTAAGGAATTTTAAAATACAATTGAAAGCTGTATTAATAGACTGGGTCAATTAGAAGAAAGAATTTCAGAGCTTCAAGACTGGTCTTTTGAATTAACCCAGTTAGACAAAAATAAAGAAAAACAAATTAAAAAAATTAACAAAGTCATTGAGAAATATAGAACTATGGAAAGTGACCAAACCTATGAATTATTGGCATTCCTAAGAGAGAAGGAGAAAAATTATACAATCTGGAAATCACGCTTAAGTAAATATTTCAAGAAATCTTTCCTAATCTTGATAGAGACGTAGATAGCCAGATATAAGAAATCTAGAGAATATCTGTGAAATACTACACGAAATGAACACCACCAAGGCCTATATTCACCAGAGTGTCCAAAGTCAATGCTAAAGAAAAAAATAATACTGGTAGCTAGAGAAAAAGATCAGATCATTTACTAAGGGAATTCCATCAGGCTAACAGCAGACTTCTCAGCAGAAAACTTACAAGCTGGGAGAGACTGGGGACCTATTTTCATCATTTTTAAAGACAAGAAATTCTAACCAAGGATTTCATATCCTGCCAAACTAAGCTTCATCAGTGAAGGAGAAAGAATATCTTTTCCAGACAAGCAAGAGCTAAGGGGATTCATTACCAGACCAGCTTTACAAGAAATCCTTAAGGGAGTTCTAAACATGGAAAAGAAAAAACAATACCTGCTGATATGGTTTGGCCGTGTCCCCACCCAAATCTCATCTTGAATTGTAGTTCCTATAATCGCCACATGTTGTGGGAGGGACCTGGTTGGAGGTAATTGAATCTTGGGGCAATTACCCTCATGCTGCTGTTCTCGTGAGTTCTCACAAGATCCTATGGTTTTATAAGGGGCTTTCCCCACTTTGATTGGCACTTCTTCTCTCTCTTGCCACCATGTGAAGAAGGATGTGTTGCTTCCCTTTCTACCATGATTGTAAGTTTCCTGAGACCTCCCCAGCCCTGTGGAACTGTGAGTCAATTAAACCTCTTTCCTTTATAAGTTACCCAGTTTCAGATATTTCTTCATAGCAGCATGAGAATGGACTAATACAGTAAATTGGTACTGGTAGAGTGGGGTGCTGCTATAAGGATACCCAAAAAATGTGGAAACAACTTTGGTAACAGGCAGAGGTTGGAACAGTTTGGAGAGCTCAGAAGAAGACAGGAAAATGTGGGAAAGTTTGGAACTTCCTAGAGACTTGGAGGGCTCAGAAGACAAGAAGATGTGGGAAAAGTTTGGAACTTCCTAGAGACTTTTTGAATGGCTTTTACCAAATGCTGATAGTAATGTGGACAATGAAGTCCAGACCTAGATTTGTCTCAGATAGAGAAGAGGAACTTGTTTGGAACTGGAATAAAGGTGATTCTTATTATGCTTTAGCAAAGAGACTGGTGCCATTTTGTCTCTGCCCTAGAGATCTGTGGAGCTTGAACTTGAGAGAGATGATTTAGAGTATCTGGTGGAAGAAATTTCTAAGCAGCAAAGCATTCACGAGGAAGCAAAGCATAGAAGTTTGGAAAATGTGCAGCCTGACAATGCAATTGAAAAGAAAAACCCATTTTCTAGGGAGTAATTCAATCTGGCTGCAGAAATTTGCTTAGGTAATGAGAAGCTGAATGTTAATCACCAAGGCAATGGGGAAAATGTCTCCAGGGCACATCAGAGACCTTCATGGCAGCCCCTTCCATCAGAGGCCCAGAGGCCTAGGAGAAAAAATGGTTTCTTGGGCTGGGTCCAGGACCCCCCCTGCTTTGTGCTGCCTTGGGATGTTGTGCCCTGCCTCCAACCCTTGGCCACTTCCAAGTGATGTTGAACCCAGGGGTGCACAGAAATCAAGAATTGAGGTTTGGGAACCTCTGCCTCAATTTTAGAGGATGTATGGAAATGCTGGGATCTCCAGGCAGAAGTTTGCTGCAGGGGCAGAGCCCTCATGGAGAACATCTGCTAGGGCAGTGTGGAAGGGAAATGTGGGATTGGAGCCTCCACACAGAGTCCCCACTAGGGCATTGCCTACTGGAGCTTTGAGAAGAAGGCCATCATCCCCCAGACCCCAGAATGGTAGATCCACCAACAGCTTGCACTGTGTACCTGGAAAAGCAGCAGGCACTCAAAGCTAGCTCATGAAAGCAGCTGGGAGTGGGGTTATACACTGCAAAGCCACAGGAGTGGAGTTGCCCAAAGCCATGGGGCCCCACCTCTTGCATCAGCGTGACCTGGATGTGAGACACGAAGACAAAGGAGATTCATTTTGGAACTTTAAGGCTCATAGGCGGAAGGGACTTGCCTCATGTCAGATGTGACCTTGGACTTGGAGTTTTAGGTTAATGCTGGAATGAGTTAAGACTTTGGGGAACTGTTGGAAAGGCATGATTGTGTTTTGAAATGTGAGGACATGAAATTGTGGAGGGTCTGGGGTGAAATGATATGGTTTGGCTGTGTTCCCACCCAGATCTCATCTTGAATTGTAGTTCCCATAATCCCCACATGTAGTGGGAGGGATGCAGTGGGAAATAATTGAATCACGGGTGCAGTTACCCCCTGCTGGTGTTCTTAGGACAGTGAGTGAGATCTCACAAGATCTGACGGTTTTATAAGGGGCCTTTCCCCCTTTGCTTGGCATTTCTTTCTCTTACCACCATGTGAAGAAGGATGTGTTGCTTCCCCTTCCATTCTGATTCTAAGTTTCCTGAGGCCTCCCCAGCCCTGTGGAATTGTGAGTCAATTAAACCTCTTTCCTTTGTAAATTACCCAGTCTCAGATGTTTCTTCATTGCAGCATGAGAACATACTAATACACCTGCTACAGAAACACACTTAAGTATATAGCCCATAGACCCTATAAAGCAACCCCAGAATAGATCCTATTGTGAAATAAGATCAAAACCTCACAGATCAATATTAACCTTGAATATAAATGGCCTGAATGCCCCTGCTTATAAGGCACAGAATGGCAAGTTGAATTAAAAAACAAGATTCATCCATTTTCTGTCTTCCAAGAGACTCATCTCACACACAATGACTCCCATTAGCTCATAGAAAGGGTTGGAGAAAGATCTATCACACAAATGGAAAACAACAACGAAAAAAAGCAGAGGTCACTACTCATATATCAAATAAAACACATTTTACACCAACAACAGTAAAAAAAATGACAAAGAAGGACATTACATAATGATAAAGGGTTCAATTCAACAAGAACACTTAACACTTCTAAATAACATACCCAACACTGGAGCACCCAGGTTCATAAAACAAGTACTTTTAGACCTAGAAAAAGACTTAGACAGCCACACAAGAATAGAGGGGGACTTCAACACCCCATTGACAGCATCAGATGGATCACTGAAGCAGAAAACTAACAAAAAAATTCCAGACTTAAGTTCAATGCTTGACTAAGTGGACCTAATAAACATCTACCAAATACTCCATCCATCAATTGCAGAGTATACATTCTTCTCATCTGCACATGGAACATAGTCCAAGATTGACCACATGCTTATCCATAAAGCAAGTCTCAATAAACACAAATAATTGAAATCATACCAACCATATTTTCAGACCACAGTAGAATAAAAATAGAAATAAATGCCAAGAAGATGTCACAAAACCACACAATGACATGGAAATTAAACAACTTGCTCCTGAATGACTTTTGGGTAAACAACAAAATTAAGGCAGACACCAAAAATTCTTTGAAATAAATGAAAACAGAGACACAACATATCAAAATATCTGAGATACAGGAAAAACAGTGTTAAGAGCAAAGTTTGTAGTACTAAATGTCTACCTCAAAAAGTTAGAAAAATCTCAGATTAATGATCTAACATCACATTTAGAAGAACTAGAAAAATAAGACAATACTAACCCCAAAGCTAGCAGAAGAAAATAAATAACTAAAATCAGAGCAGATCTGAATAAAATTGAGATCTAAAAATCCAACACAAAGAATCAAGGAAACAAAAAATTGGTTATTTGAAAGTGAAAACAAGATCAACACACTGCTAGTTAATTAACCAAAGACAGAGGGAGAGAGAGACAGAAGATTCAAATAAGCACCATCAGAAACAACAAAGGTGACATTACAACTGATCCTACAGAAATACAAATGATCCTCAGAGACTATTATAAACACCTCTATGCCACACAAACTATGAAATCTAGAGGAATTTGACAAATTCCTAGAACCACAAAATCTCCCAAGATTGAATCAGGAAGAAATTGTAACTCTGAACTGGCCAATATCAAGTTCTGAAATTCAATCAGTAATAATAATAAAAAAAAAATCTCCCAAGCCAAAAAAAAGACCCGGACCAGATGGACTCACAGCTGAATTCTACCAGACACACAAAGATGAGCTGGTACCAATTCTACTGAAATTATTCCAAAAACTCAAGGAAGAGGAGGAGGGACTCCTGCCCTAACTCATTTTACAAGGTCAGCATCACCCTAATACCAAAACCTGGCAAAGATACAATGAAAAAAGAAAACTACAGGCCAATATTCCCTCATGAAGTAGACATACGAATCCTACACAAAATACTAGCAAACCAAATTCAACAAAACATCAAAAAGTTAATTCACCATGATCAAGTAAACTTCATTCCTGGGATACAAGATTGATTCAACATATGCATATCAATATATGTGATTCATTACATAAATAGAATTAAAAACAAAAAAGTGATTATCTCAAAAGATAAAGAAAAGTTTTTGATAAAATCCAGCATCTCTTCACAACAAAAACTCAAGAAACCAGGCATTGAAAGTACCTAAATAATAAGAGCCATCTATGACAAACCCACAGCCAAAATCATATTGAATAGGCAAAAGCTGGAAGCATTACCCTTGAGAATTGGAACAAGACAAGAATGCCACTCTCACCATTCCTACTCAACATAGTACTGGAAGTGCTATCCAGAGCCATCAGGCAAGAGAAAGAAATAAAAGACATACAAATAGGAAAGGAAGAAGTCAAACTATCTCTCTTCACAGACAATATGATTCTATACCTAAAAGGAACCTAAAGACTCCACCAAAGGGCTCCTGAATCTGATAACTGACTTCAGTAAAGTTTCAGGTTACAAAATTAATGTACAAAAATCAGTAGCATTTCTATACACCAACAACATTCAAGCTGAGAGCCAAATCAAGAATGCAATCCCATTTACAATAGCCACAAAAAATAAAATACCTAGAAATACATCCAACCCAGGAGGTAAAAGATCTCTGCAAGGAGAACTATGAAACACTGATGAAAAAATCATAGATGACACAAAAAATGGGAAAACATTTCATGCTTCTGAATTGGAAGAACTAATATTGTTAAAATGGCCACACTGCCCAAAGCAATCTACAGATTTAATGCTATTCCTACCAAACTACCAATGTGATTTTTCAAAGAACTAGAAAATTCTATCCTAAAATTCATATGGAGCCAAAAAGGGCCTGAATAGCCAAAGAAATGCTAAGCAAAGAGAACAAAGCTGGAGACATCACATTACCTGACTTCAAACCATTACCCAACTTCAAACTAAACTATTGGGCTACAGTAACCAAAATAGCATTGTATTGGTATAAAGACAGACAGACAGACAAATGGAACAGAATAGAGAACCCGGACATAAAGCCACACACACATCTATAGCCATCTGATCTTTGACAAAATAAAAAAAATGGAAAACAAGGAAAGGACTTTCTACTCAATAAATGGTGCTGTGACAGCTGGCTAGCCATATACGGAAGAATTAAACTAGATCCTACCTTTCACCATATATAAAAATTAATGCAAGATGGATTAAAGATTTAAATGTAAGACCTCAAACTATCATAATCCTAGAAGAAAGCTTAGGAAACATCATTCTGGATATCAGCCTTGGGAAAGAATTTATGACTAAATCCTCAAAAGCAATTGCAATGAAAACAAAAATTGATGAGTTGGAGCACAGGAAAAAAAAATCTGCCAATAGAGTAAACAGACAACCATAGAATGGGAGAAAGTATTCACAAACTATGTACCTGACATAATCCTAATATCCAGAATCTATAAGTAACTTAAACAACTGAGCAAGCAAAACCCAAATAATCTCAGACGAAAAATAAAGAAAACAGCCAGGTGCGGTGGCTCATGCCTGTAATCCCAGCACTTTGGGAGGCCAAGGCAGGCGGATCACCTGAGGTCAGGAGTTCAAGGCCAGCCTGGCCAACATGGTGAAACCCTGTTTCTACTAAAAATGCAAAAATTAGCTGGGCGTGGTGATGGGTGCCTGTAATCCCAGCTATTTGGGAGGCTGAGGCAGGAGGATCGCTTGAACCCGGGAGGCAGACGTTGAAATAAGCTGAGATCACGCCACTGCACTCCAGCCTGGGTGACAAGAGTGAAACTCTATCTCAAAAAAAATAAAAATAAAAATAAAAAAATGAAGAAAACAACAAAGGCAAAAGTTGATTTATTACAAATATTGGTAAAATAAAAATCTTTAGCAATAATATTCAACAAAAAATGTTGGAGTAATAGAAATACAGAAAATTGGAACTAGAATCCAGAAACAGATTTTCACTTATAGAATAACTTGACACGTTTCAATGTAATTTGTTTTCATCTTTGACATGACAAAAATCCGTATTTTATAATTTGTTAACAGCTTTATTGAAATATAATTCACATACCATAAAATCCACCCACTTAAAGTATACAATTCAACGATTGTGCTATATCGCATTATTAACCTTTAAAAATTATAGTAATATATAACAAGATTTGCCATTTTAACCATCCTTAAGTGTACAATTTAGTGGCATTAATTATATTCACAATCTTGTGTAGTCTTCATCACTATCTACATAAAAACTTTTTAATCATCCACACATAAGTCTGTCACAATCAAGCAATAACGCCTCACTCCCCTTCATCCCTAGCTCCTTCACAGCCTCTAATCTACTATGCTAGATAGTTCATGTAAGTAGAACCGTACAATAATTTTCCTTTTGTGTTTTATTTCACTTGGCATAATGTTGTCAAAGTTTATGCATGTTGTAGCATGTTTCAGAACTTTATTTCTTTTTATAAAATACAGTAATCTTCCGTTATATGTAGAGATAACATTTTGTTTATCCATTCATGTGTTTATCACCTGGGTTGTTTCTACCTTTTGGCTATTGTGAATAATGCTGCAATTAACATGGGCATACATGCATCCATTCAAGTCCCTCCTTTCAAAAACACTGGGTATATACCTAGGAGTTGATTTGCTAGGTCATATGACATTATGTGTTTCGCCTTTTGAGGAACTGCAGAACTGTTTTCCACAGTGGCTGGACCATTTTATATTCCCACCAGCATTGTATGAAGGTTTCAATTTCTCCACATTCTCACCCACACGTGTTATCATCTGACTTTTCAATTATAGCCATTCTTATAAGAGTGAAGGGCTATCTCACTGTGGTTTTGATATGCATTTCTCTGATGACCTATGATGTTGAACACTTTTTCTTGTCTTTTTTTGGTCATTCGAGAATCTTCTTTGAAGAAATTTTTATTTCTATGTGTTGCTTATTTTTTATTTGGGTTATTTACCTCTTTATTATTGAGTTGTGTCATTTATATATTTTAGACATAATTTCCTTATATGAATGACTTGAAAATATACTCTTCCATTCTGTAGTTTGTCTTATCACTTTCTTGATAATGACTTTTGATACACAGAAGTTTTTAACTTTGATGAGGATAAATTTACCCATATTTCTTTTGTCGTCTGTGCTTTTGATGTCATATCCAAGAATCCATCACCAAATCCAAGATCATAAAGATTTACTTCTACGCTGTCTTCCAAGAATTTTATGATTTTAGCTTTTTAAATTTAGGCCATTCATCCATTTTGAGTTAATTTTTATATATGATGTTGAGGTAGGAATCTAATTTTATTTTATTTTATTTTTGCACATAGAAATCCAAATGTATTAGCACCGACTTTTGAAGGTACTATTCTTTTCCCATTTGTTGGTCCTGGCACCCTTGTTGAAAAATCGGTCGTCCATTGATATGTGTGTTATTTCTGGATTTTTAATCTATTCCATTTTTCTCCTTGTCCACACTGTTTTGATGAATGTAAAGCTTTTAATAAGCTTTGATGTTGAAAAGTGTAAGTACTTTAATTTTGTTCCTTTTCAAGACTGTTCGGCTACAGAGCACCCCTTGTAATTCTTTATGTATATGAGGATTGTCTTTTCCATCTCTGCAAAAAAACTGCTGCTAGAGATGGCATTAAGGGCTGGGTGGGGTGGCTCATGCCTGTAATCCTGGCACTTTGGGAGGCCGAGGCGGGTGGATAACAAGGTCAGGAGCTCGAGACCAGCCTGGCCAAGATGGTGAAACCCCATCTCTACTAAAAATACAAAAATTAGCTGGGCGCAGTGGCGGGTGCCTGTAATCCCAGTTATCCGGGAGGCTGAGGCAGGAGAATCACTTGAACCCAGGAGATGGAGGCTGCAGTGAGCTGAGATCGAGCCACTGCACTCCAGCCTGGGCAACACAGTGAAACCCCATCTCAAAATAAAATAAATAAATAAATAAATAAAGAGATTGCATTAATCTATAGGTTGCTTTGAGTAATACTGACATCTTAACTGTGTTAAGTCTTCCTGCCTGTCAACATTGGGGTATCTTTCCATTTATTTTGGTCTTATTTAATTTTTTTCAGCAAAGTTTTTTATTTGTCAATGTACAAGTCTTTTACCGTTTTGGTTAAATTTATTCCCAGGTATTTTATTCTCAATGTTACTGATTTTTGGGTTTTAAAAATGGTGTTAAAACTGGATATCTATTTTAAAAAGGATAAGCCATGCCTTCTACCTCACATCTTACAAAATTACTTGAAGTGAATTACAGACCTAATGTAAAAACCAAAACTGTAACATTCCCAGAAACACAGATGGGAGGAACTCTTGCAAACCTGGGACAAGAAAGGATTTTCTAGGATACAAAAAATATTGACCATAAATGTGAAAACTTTTGTTGTTTAAATGATACACCCAAGAGAATTAAAAAGCAAGCCATACTCTTAGAGGAAATATTTGCAACTCATATATCTGGCAAAGGGCTTTGACCCAGAATTTATAGAGAATTCTTACAACTCAGCAATAATAATAAGAAAACCTAAAAATGATCAAAATACTAAGTAAAGTCAATGGGAATGGAGAAGTAAGGACCTCTGAAAACCATCTCACTCATAAAAGCAATAAGAAAACTGGCAAAAATGCTCAGAATCAGTTTTTTCAAAACTCTGGAAATTAACCAAAGGCTTGCTTGCAGCAATCCAAAGAGTCTCACACACACACACACACACACACACACACACACACACACACACACGTCTTGGTAAAAACAATGAGCTTTGTGTTATTTTATTTTAATAATATGTAGTCCCATTCCCTCCTCTCCTCTTGAGATTGCCTGTAGTTTCACATAGGACAAAATCAACCCTCCGCAATCACAGCCCCAGGAAGGAGTAGAATGCAGTAGGAACTCCTTCAGAGTTGCAGTTTGAGAATTGTTATTTGACCTGTCGGATGGTTTCCTGGAAGACCTCACCTACCAGGTTTATCTTTCTTGCACTAACCTCAAGGTCACTTAATGTGAACAGACTTAGGGCATTTGCCAAAATCAATCAGAGTTAATTGTTAAACATCACAGCTGCCTGAAGAAATGGATACTGTTTGGACAAACAATGGATTGGCAGAAAACTTAAAAGGAAAAGCTGGGGTATGAGACACCCAGGGGGCTTTGAAAAGCTCCAACATATTCTGGGACTCTGGAAGGCCATGTGCACATGCAGGGCTGTGTGTAAACCCAGGACTGTACACATGCTTAGAAAGGCCCAAGAAGGCCTTAAATCCTCACCTCTGGCTGACCTTGAGGCTCTGCATTAGCAAAAAGTGAAGACTAAGGCAGGGCTGTCAAAATTGCATGGCTGAGTGTTAAAGGCGTGCCCCAACACACAGTTTCTCAACAAAGACTGGGAGACTTACTTGTTACTGGCATTAAAAAAAAATGTCGGTCCAATCATTGACTGACTACTAAGCTAACCAAACACAGATTTGAATGGCCACACACAACAAAGAATACAGACTTTGAAGAGTTAGTTCAGAGAGGTCACTAAACCAATAAGCAGCAGGAACAATAAACAGCATAAACAGCAAACTCTGTAGAAGGGGTAGAATCTGATTTCGAGTTTTCACATATTATTAAAAATGTTCATTTTTTAACAAAAAATTATGAGACTACAAAGAAACAAGAGGAGATCAATCTCTCCACTTCAGAATAATTAACTTAGAGCATAAATTCTACTTCTCTAAAAGTAGACAGTAGCATTGTCTCTAAATATGATGCGTCATTCTTTGTTTTCTAAACTGGAATTACCTAGTTCACAGAACTACAAACAGTAATCTTGTAGTTGCACCAAGTTACTGAAGCAAGAAAGAACACAGAAATACAGTGCAATGAAAAATGTTTGTTGTAGAATGCTAGACATAAACAAAATTACCTCATTTATTTTAAGGACCATTATCCTATTTCTTTTTTTCTCTTTAGCCAGACCATTATTCTATTTCTTTTTTCTCTTTAACCCAGAAGTGATGTTCTAGTAATGATAATCACAGGGTATAGATGTGGTCTTTATCTCATGGATATTTTTATCTGGATTGCTAAATGCTCGCCCTTTTCTGAGAAAGGTATAGTCAAACATCCTATCACGCTCTCCTTTTTATTGTCCAGAAGGTCCAAGAAAGGGACTAAGGACTCTCTGAGGGACCAAGGAAGAGGCCCTCTGAGCTAATCATTAATAAAGGTTGTCTTTAAGAAGCTCAACTTGTTTTGGGCCGGGTGCGGTGGCTCATGCCTGTAATCCCAGCACTTTGGGAGACCGAGGCAGACGGATCACCTGAGGTTGGGACTTTGAGACCAGCCTGACCAACATGGAGAAACCTCATCTCTGCTAAAAATACAAAAATTAGCTGGGCGTGGTGGCACATGCCTGTAATCTCAGCTACTCGGGAGGCTGAGGCGGGAGAATCACCTGAACCCAGGAAGCGCAGGTTGCGGTGAGCTGAGATCAAGCCATTGCACTCCAGCCTGGGCAATAAGAGCGAAACTCTGTCTCAAAAAAAAAAAAAATCTCCGTTGGTTTTGACACTGAACAATGAGGATCGTGGTTTTGAGCTTCATTCTGTTCACAGACAATCTCATTTGCAGATGATAGCATAAGCCTGTCCAAATTTATTACTGCAAATGATGCAGCCAGTGTATGGAGGACTCAGGACTAATTCCTCTCTCAGAAAACCAGCAGCACATCCTAACAATGTGCTACTCATCTCACTCTTTAAGGCACAGCAGATCACAAACTTGAAGATTATACAGAGAAAGAAAGCCATAGATCCCACAGCCGAGCAACTTGAATCCGAAATATCATATCTGCCTGCCTACTTCTCTGAACTGACAAAACTACAAAGAGTATACATTCTGCCATTAAATTCCCCAGACCTTTAAAAAATTCAGCCAACTATTTAACTACCCTGTTGTAAAATCTGATGTTAAACCACCACCAAAAAGTTTGAATTACACAAGTTTCCATAAAAGCATTTTTCTCACCACACATTCACTTTATTATCCTTTTTATTGGAGGACTGAAATAGTCGGGTCTCACGTCCTCACTGCCATCTGGCCAGAACAGCTAGTGACCTCGGTCAAGGTTTATGCTGACAGTTGAGCATAGAGTTTTCTTAAACAGCACTTTTCCCAAAATTTACCTTATGGCAATGTGACTCTTAAAGCTAAAGGTTCATATTTGATTTAGGGATAATTAATGAGACTATATTATGGCACCAAAATGCATTCAATGGGAACGATGAGTAGGTAAAGCATGCAAGGCTGCGAAGGTAGACATGGGGCAGAACATGGTTGGGGAAAGGGTTGGTACACAGACATAAATCCTGGAGAGAATTTGTTTGTAGCTCTATGAATGGAGGTGAATTTGCTTCCACTCCCATCCCCAACTGAGGGTAGAAGCGAATGTACAAATCAGAATGCCAATTATGTGTCAACACCAGGCACACACTGTCACATGCCTTTTCTCATTTGTGGCATATGAACCTGGAGTCACAGTTTATGGTTTTCTGCTATCTGGTGGCTTTGGCTGGCATATTAATACTTACGTAGAGCAGGCAAAGAGGAACAGACTTTTTTTAAAAAAATCTATTCTTCTCATCAAATCTTATGATGACTATCTACCATAAAATGAGTAGATAAGTGTCCAAAAAGTGTTGACAAAATTAAAAAAAATTTTAATTTTGTAATAATTTAAGTCTCATAGATTAGATACCATTTTTCAAGAATCAGCTGTAAGGATTTTGGCTTCCAATTTATGGCTATTCCAGCTGCATCTGAACTTTCCTTTAAATATTTCCCTTTCCCTTTTCTTTTCATTAGGGTTCTACCAACAAGCAGTTTTGTTTCTGAAGTGAAGGACAGTTATATGTATATTTTTTATGAATAAATATACATTTGTAAAGAAGCAAAATCAAGAATAGGACTAAATATTTATGAGAATTCAAGTCAAAATGAAAAATTTATCTTTTACTACCTTATAAAACTCTTTAAATGATACAAATTTTTGAAAAATAATAATTTGAGTCAATAAGACATCACAATACCTGTTCAATGAGTAAAAGATTCACAAGCAAAATATCAAGAAGATATTTTATTACTAAATTCAAGAAAATATTTATCACACTAGGTATTTATCTTTGTATAGGCTAAAGCAATAAAAACAAAATAAAGCCCCAAATGGCTAAATTATTAACTGAAAATAATCAAATCTGTTTTATTTCCACAATGCCAGACACTAAAACTTAGAAAAATGAAAATCATTGATTCTGTTCTTATGTTGTGAAATTACCTAGGTTTCTGCTTTGTTTCAACAAATCTTTAAGTGCCTATTGTGGACCATAAACTTTCTAAGTATCTGGGATACAGAATAAGGTATGATCTCTTCCTTTGCAAAGCTTAGAATCTGGTTGTAGAGATAATGCTGAGCAAACGAGCCCACAAATAAATAAGAACTTAGAACGCCCATGAGTAATCTGAAAGAGTAGCGGAAGGTATTAGTGATGGCATAGAAGGGAGGAGTGGGCCATAACAGGCAGGTCAGAAAAGACAGCTTCAAAATGTGCCACTTAACACAGGGAGCTCAAAGAAGAAGAACTCAAGTCAGCTAAGGAAAGGATTTGAAGGCGGAAGATAGGTTCATGTAGAGGGACCGTCACATATACATCCTGAGTTCAGATGGAACATGTCATGCTTGTGCAACTACAAAAAGACACTGTGGCTAGATTACAGAAATAGCATGTAAGAAAGTGTGGATTGAGATAAGACAAGAAAGGTGAGTTCAGCCAAGGAAGGTTTTATGGATTACATTAAGATTTCTTGCCTTCAACTAAAGCCTGGGAGAAGCTTAAATATGTTTAGAGTCGTTTAATGGGAATAAAATCCAAGGAATAAAGTTAATTTTAAATTTCACCAAATTCAAAGCAGCACAGGACTTAACTTTAAACTATTTATTAAATCTACTCTAAGTTCTATGAATTCCAGTTGGTAAGATAGCAAAGGGAAAATTACTTAAAAATATATTGCATAAGCTATGAGTCACTCTTCCCTAAATGGACACATCATTACAACTTCTATTTCATAGATTTTTTTTTTTATTTGGAATGTTCCCAATCTTTTTTAGTATATTTGGTCCTGGATTTCAGTAATGGTTGACAAACCTGCGTAGAGTTTTGTAAGTTCTGGGGAATGGTTAGGCCTGTGACCCAGATTGTTAAGAACTTGGAAATCTATACAAATTCATTGCACATAACTACAAAGACAGAAAGAAGGGAGGAAAAGAAGAAAAGGAAGCCAGCAAGCGAGCAAGAAAGAAGGCTGGGGGAGGGAGGAAGGGAGAGAGAGAAGGAGGGAAAAAAACAGGGACACAGTCAAAAAGAGAGGATTAAAAAGAAGATGGAGAAAGAAGAACAGAGAGCAAAAAAGCAAGGCAATATAGCAAATCCAAGAGTATGTTGGGAAGGAGTATTGGCAGGTGCTATCAACTTTAATCAAATGGAAATGTTGGCTAAGTTTTGAAGAGAATTACATCACTGAATAAGACAGTGATTTCAAACAAGCTTGGGACCCCAACTATGATCAAGAGGTGGTATTCTGATGTCCTGTTTAGAAGTGGTCACAGTGGGACAAGAAAAGGGAGAACTTCTCAGAAGAAGAGAATTGTTCCAAGGGTTCTAAGGGCTCCAAACCAGTAGACAGCTCAGTGAGAAATGCAGAAATGGTCTATAACCTCAGGGGAGAGGTCTCCGCAATGATTTCCCAGGGAGATTTCAGAATTGCCATCGAGTGGTGATTGCTCTTTTTTTTTTCTCATTCTCCCTATTTCACTATTTTATATTGAGTATGTGTGGAGATAATTTGTCTTTTAATTTCAAAGGGCTCTAGACCAAGAGGAATCACCTTCAGTCCTAATAGAGAGATTGTGAATATCACTTAGAGATTCCAGACACCAGACACCATGGTGGATGCAGTGAATTTTGTTTCCTGTGAAGAGAAGGTGTGTTCTGTTTGTGAAAGAATATTTTGTGGGAAGAAGAGCAGATAATAGTAGGTATCAGTGTGGTCCACGAAATATCCGTTTTTTCTTCTTGCTGTGAGGCAGTATGCCTTTCCCTGCCCTCTTAAGGTTGAGTTTGGCTATGTCTGACTTGCTTTAGCCAATAAAATAGCAGATGTGATATTATTTCTCTTGTATATATAGCTAGCAGTGCAATTGCTGGGTCATATGGAGACTTTACATTTAGCCTTTTAAAGAACTACTAGACTCTTTTCCAAAGCAGGTGCAAGATGTTACATCACCATCAGCAATGAATGCAAGAGTTTCTTTAAATTTCTTCACATCCTCACCAACACTTGTTAATATCTTTTTTATTAAAGTCATGCTAGTGCGTATTAGACTGTGATTTAGATTTGCATTTCCCTGATTACTAATGAGGTTGAGCATCTTTTCATGTGCTTATTGACCATTCATATATCTTTTTTGAGAAATCTCTATTCAGATCTTTTTCTATTTTTGGAGATCTGTTATTATCCTTGTGTTGTAGGAATTATTTATATATTCTAGAGACAAGTTCCTTATTATATACAGTTGACCCTTGAACAACCCAGGTTTGAACTATGTAGGTCCACTTACATGTGGATTTCCTTCCATCTCTGTCCTCCTTGAGACTGCACGACCAACTCCTCCTCTTCCCCCTCCCTCCTCCTTAGCCTACTCTACATGAAGACAAGGATGAAGACCTTTATGATGATCCATTTCCCCTTAATAGTAACTATATTTTCTCTTCCTCATGATTTTTAAATAACATTTTCTTTTTTCTAGCTTACTGTATTATAAGAATGCAGTATATAATACATACAACATACAAAATGTGTGTTAATCAACTGTTCATGTTATTAGTAAGTCTTCAGGCCAACAGTAGGAGATGAGAAGTTAAGTTTTTGGAGGTTCAGAGTTGAATGTGGATTTTCAACTGTGTTGAGGGTTGGTACCCCTAACCCTTTTGTTGCTCAAAAGTCAGCCGTATATGATTTGCAATTTTCTGTCATTCTGTTGTCTTTTCACTTTCTTCATGATGTCCTTTGAAGCGTGAAAGTTCTTAATTTTGATGATGTCTAGTTTATTTATTTATTTAATTTTTAGATGGAGTCTCACTCTGTTGCCCAGGCTGGAGGGCAGTGGTGCGATCTCGGTTCGCTGCAACCTCCGCCTCCCGGGTTCAAGTGATTCTCCTGCCTCAGCCTCCCGAGTAGCTGGGATTACAGGTGCCCACCACCACTTCTGGCTAATTTTTTTTGTATTTTCAGTAGAGACAGGGTTTCACTATGTTGGCCAGGCTGTTCTCGAACTCCTGACCTCAGGTGATCTGCCCGCCTCAACCTCCTAAAGTGTTGGGATTACAGGCATAAGCCACCACGCCTGGCCCAGTTTATTTATTTTTTTCTTTTGTTGCTTTTGCTTTGGGTTTTTTTTTTTTTAATCGCCTAATTCAATGACATGAAGATTCACATCTGTTTCTTCTACATGTTTTGTAGTTTCTTCTCTTACATATAGGTCTTTGATTCATTTTGGGTTTATTATTGTATGTGGTATGAGGTATGGGTCCAACTTCATAGTTTTACATATTCAGTTATCCCAGCTGCATTGGATAAAGAGACTCTTCTTTCCCCCATTAAATTGCCTTGGTGCCATTGTCAAAAATCAATTAACCAGAAATGTGATAGTTAGTTTCTTGATTCTCCATTCTATTTCATTGATCTATGTCCTTATGTCAGTACCCACTATCTTGATTACTTTAGCTTTGTAGTTAAGTTTTAAAGTTGGGAAGTGTGAGTACCGTAACTTTTTTCTTTCTTAAAGATGTCTGACTATTCTGGGTCTCCTGAATTTCCAAATGAATTTTTGGACCAGTTCATCAATTTCTGTAAGCAAGCCAACTGGGATTTTGATAAGGATTATGTTGAATCTGTGGGTCAATTTCAGAAGTACTGTCATCTTAACAATGACAAATCTGATTTATGAGGATGGGGTGTCTACTTAGTTTTCAATGTTTTGACATTTTTTATAGATTACAACAATGTTTTGCACTTCTTTTGTTAAATTTATTTCTAGGTATTGTATTATTTTATGCATACATTGAATCACTTTCTTAATCTTTTTTTTTTTTTGGCGTTTGGGTGGGGGAACAGGGTCTCACTCTGTCGCCCAGGCTGGAGTGCAGCGGAATGATCTTGGCTCACTGCGACCTCCATCTCCTTGGTTTAAGCGACTCTTGTGCCCCAGCCCCGCCAGTAGCACGAATTACAGGCATGCACCACCATGCCTGGCTGATTTATTATTTTTTTTAGTAGAGATGGGGTTTCGCCATGTTGGATAGGCTTGTCTCGAACTCTTGACCTCATGTGATCCACCTGTCTCTGGCTCCAAAAGTGGTAGGATTGCAGGTGTGAGCCACCACACCCAGCCTGAATCACTTTCTTAATTTCAATTTCAGTTTATTCATTGCTACTGTATAGAAATACAATTACTTTTTACATATTGATCTTGCATTCTGCAACCTTGCTGAGCTCATATATTAGTTCTAATCAATTTTTAAATGGATTCCTTGGTGATTTTTATATAGAAAATCATTTCATCTGCAAATAGAGATAGTTTTATTTCCTCTCTTCCAATCTGGATGTCTTCTATTTCATTTTCTTGCCTAATATGCTCCGATTAGCCTATCCAATACAATGTTAAATAGAAGTGGTGAGAATGGACATTCTCCTTTCCTGATTTTTAAGTGTGAGGTTAGCTGCGAATCTTTTATAGATTCTCTTTATCAGGTTGAAGAACTTTCCTTCTATTCCCAGTTTGTTGAGTATTTTTATCATGAAGTAGTATTGAGTCAAATTTTTTTGTGTTGACTGAAATGTGTTAAAAAAATTTTAATTCAATATTTGTTTTATCATTGAGTTTCCTTTGAACCCAGTTTGAGAGATTTGTTTAAATGACATGATGACCTCAATACAGAGATACGCAGGCTACTGGTAGGGTTAAGATCTGAAGGTGTATAAAGAGTGCAACTAAATTTGTATGTGGCACGGTATGAAAAATTTTCACAAACCAGCTGAAAAATTACATTGAGTAGTGTTTTAAAAGAATAATACATCATGAGTAGGAATGCTAGGAGAGCTCAATATATGAAGATCTATTAGTATTATCTTTTATAAGCAGAAGAGAAATGCCTGAAGACTTAACGATCATCTCTTGATGATAAGAAAACATTTGGCAAAATTTCCATTTACAATAGTTAAAAACATTGCAGTATCTAATGCATTTCTGGCCCCTGCTCACTAGTACCAGTAGCACCTCAAGGTTGACATAGAAAATGTAAAATAAGCATTTTACTTAGCACTAGAGGCATTTCTATTAAAAATTGGGTGCTCATTATTTTTCCTATTATAGCCATTATTCAATATTGTGAAAATCTCAACAAACGCAATTATACATGAAAACAAAAACTTGCAAATACTGGAAAAATGAACAAAGTATTATTTTCAGATGCTCTCATTGTCCACCCAGGTAATCTAAGGGCCAAGTAGGAAAGTGCCAAAGTAAGATTTCAGTAAGATTGCCTGTGAAAAAATGAAATGCCAATATCTATCCAATCAATATATCAGCCATATATAAAGAGAGGAAACAATGGGGAAAACGCACTTATAATGGATAGCGTAATTATAATATGATGTCCAGGGAAAGATGGAGCCATGAGAAGTGGCACCTGTTTGACATGGTCAAAGGTGAGTTAAATAGCATGAAACCTGAATCGCACTAAAACTAGAGAGATGTGTCATAGACATGCCTCAAACTTTGAGGAATTTTCTATAAAACACAGTGCAGATAACACATTTAATGAATTCACTAAAACTAAGTAATAATTTTTTGTGAGAAAGAAGTGTAGTACCTAGGGAAATAAGTAAAGAAAATCTTGGCAGAAGGCCACCAACACCTTCTAATTTGGAGGCACTAGTGTTCTGGCAGCAAGAGCAGGAGTAGGAATAACCCTGTCTGGAGACCCTCTTCCTGCTACAGATACAGCTGCACCACAGACCTGAGAGCAAAGGTTATGGGGCCGCCATGTCAATGCTGGGACAGTCTCCAAGTGGCCAACCACTTCCCTGCACATCTAGCGCTTTCTCCAAAACAGGGGCTTTGACTCTCAGTTGAGGAAACTCATGAGGAAAAAGACATTCATTTGACAACATTAAAACCACAACAACCATGACAATTCAAAAGCAATTCAAAATAACATGAATATATTTGCAACACAATCAGATGCAGAGCTAATATTATTAGTATGCAAAGACCCCTGCAAATGAATTAAAAGATCACCCAGTAAAAACGGGCCGGGATGGATGAGCAGTAAACTCACATCCACCCAAACACAGAAAGACCAGTATGCCAGTATGTGCCAAGACGCTCCCCTTCATTAGTAATAAAAATATTTAAATGTAAACATTGAGAATTCATTTATTTGACACATATTTTCAACAGTATAATACTTCAAAGAGTACGTATTGCCAATGGGGCGAAAATCGGAACAACTTATCTAGAGGAAAGTGTGGCAAATATTTCAACAGTCTTGAAAATGTTCTTATCCTAACCCAGTAATTCCAGTGCAGGAAATTTAACTGTAAGGACATGAGCATAGATTTAGTTATAGGAATGTTCACTGCCGTGCAGTGCGGTTTGGAGAGTGGAAATTTGGAAACCACTTACATTCCTGACAAAATGAATTGCTTTAAAACATTAGAGAGCCGTCATATAAATACCAAGGAACTATGAAAACACAGCACGTGAATATTGATATTCAAAGAAGAGCTCCATGACCATTTTAAAATCCATCTGAAAACATGGTTTTATACACTTGCACACGTATGAGAAGCCAGAGTGCGAACTTAGTTTTTCCTCTTGATGGTGCATTATTACTTTGTTGTTCATTTTTAACAGCAAAAGGAATAAAAGTTCATAAATAGATAAAAACGAACTAAATGACATTTAGGAAAAGGTGGGCCCAATGAGAAAGGAATCCGTTATTTTTTCGGTACCAATCATGAGGACACTTTTTTTTGTATGTCCCAATCAAAGAAAAAGTGTCAGACTCCAGATCTTGCCTAGCGAGGAATTTGTTTGGTTTGGACTTCATTCGATGTGTCAAGGAAACTGTTTATTGTCTTTCTGAGGGGCCTTTCAAGCTTGAATCCCAAATAGGTAAGGCTGATTGGATAATGCCCTGCTTGCTCAAACATTTGCTGACTTGAATCTGCTGCTTTTGATGGTGGTACCCATTGTCTGAACTGCAAACAAATCAACCTTTAACAATGCATCCAACCGAACAAAACAAGGAGGTGCAGCAGCTCTGGTTGTGGAGAGGTTTCTTGAGTGATGGGCTTTGCACTGTCTGCCTCTTTGACATAGCTAAAGACATCTATAAGGGACAGGGGAGAAGAGGAAGAGTTTAAAGGTTCTTGGGTAGGTAGCCCAGGGTAAAATGTGGAGTCTATAATCCTTGCAGATTTCAGTGTGAATGCTAGCCCTGACTCACCTCATTCTGTGCAATGGGATTACAAGAGCACTAAAGCACTATAGGTGGAGGCACTGGCAAGGTTGTTAACAGATCTGATCAGGCAAAAAGAACATCGTAAATGGCACAAATTCCTGGAACCAATAAAAGTTACCTGGGCTTTATAACACAAAGCATTTTACTTGTGTTATCTTAAATTCTCACAATAATATGGTGAGGAAAAAAAGAGCAGGAATTTTTCCTATTCTTCTGATGTAGAAACTTAGAATTTTAAATGATTTGTTCAAGGTCAGATAGGGCTTCTGGGTATCAAAAGAAAGTTTTCTAAAATCGTAGAATAGGGTTGTTTCCACCTATTATTTTGAATTCACACAGTAACAAAAAAACTTTGTGTGAAGAAGCTTTGAATGTCAGAGTAAGAAAGTGGCAGGGGAAGGGGTACAGAGAGAAAAATGAGTTGCATTCTATTTGGGGAGGAATAAATGAGCATGTCAGCATGATGTGGCTTGCTTGACTCTGCTCCCTATTTTTTGTTTGTTTGAGACAGGGTCTCGCTCTGTTGCCCAAGCTGGAGTGCAGTGGTGTGATCACGGCTCACTGTAGCCTCAACTTCCCAGGCTCAAGTGATCCTCCTACCTCAGCCTCCCCAGTAGCTAAGACTACAGGCATATGCCATAATACCTAGCTAATTTTTATTTATTTTTTTGGTCTCACTATGTTGCCCAGGTTGTCTCAAACTCCTAGGCTCAAGTGATCCACCTGCCTCAGCCTCCTGAAGTGCTGGGATTACAGGTGTAAGCCACCATGCCCAGGCCTGCTCCCTCATTTTTTCAACTGCTATGTATTGATCACCTATAACGTGCCGAAAATTGGGATGGAGCTTTCAAGTATGTGCATACAAGCATGTCTGGAAGATGGAATGGCTTTCAAAAATCATCTCAAAACATTCCATTTCAATAATATAAAATGATATCTCTTTCATATTACTACTGACTAAATAATTCTTCTTTATCCAGAGATATATTTTAAATGCTAAAAATCTTATTTCTGAGTATAAATTGAAAACCACTGCTGACTAGAAAAACTTCCATTGAAAGAGATTTTTACCCGTACTATAAATTAGAAAGAATCTCAAATGTAGAGTGCAGGTACAATAATGCATCTACTATGCTTTACTGGTGAATGAGGTCTTGTCAATGGTTGTATGACAGTTTTTTTCATAAAGCCAATTACAGTTTCCATAAACAGAGATTCCTAGCAATCTCTCATAGATGTTTCTATCAGTGAAATGATCCTCACACTGGATGTCTGCACATAGTTTACAGTAGTAATTGTCATAGTTATGTCTTCACATTTTGACTGATGGCACTATTTTCCATAGTACTTATTACATCAATGCATAAAGGTAATTTTCACTAAGATAGATAGATATGAAGAATGAAGATAGATAATTGCAGGCAGTGAAAACCTAAATATAAAATACTTGTTGAGTTGCAAAAGCAATAAATGCTGATTATAGAAAAAGTTAGATAATATTGGATTGAAAGAACAAGACTAAAATCGCCAGTATTGCTGTTACCCCAGAATCCCACTGTTAGAATTTTAATATATATAATTCTAGAACCTATTTATGCGTGCACAAATCAATACGTGAAAAGGCCTGTACCCTATTTAGTTCTTTAAATTTCACCATTAGATTAGCATGTAGGCAAAAACATATTCTCAATATGAGGAGGCTTCAAATTTTCTACTGTATAGATGTACCATAATTTATCCATTCTCTTATACTTATTAGCATAATTTTCTAGCACTAGAACTTTTGGGTCAAAATTTACAAACATTATAAATACGTTTAAAGTACATGTTGCCAGTTGTCCTGCAGAAAAATTATATTTTACATTCTCAACAGCAGTACATGTAAGAGCTTTGGTTACTCAAACCTTAGCCTGCAGTGGACTTCTCAAGTATTTGCCAATCTCATTAGCCAAAGTAATAGCCTTCATATTCAGATTTTCTTTTCTCTGATGACTGGCAAATGGCCTACTATTTATACCCTTTATATAATTATTCCTGTGACCTCTTTTTATATTGGTGTGAACTCTTCCTATAAGAGATTATCAGCCCCTTGCCATGTGTAGCCAATGCTTTTCCAAATCTGACATTTATGTTTCAGCCAGTTGGCCTTTTGATGTCAGCCTTTCCTCTCCTCATGACTCTCAGTTCTTGTTTCAGAGAGGCCATGGCTCCCTGTGCTTTGAAATCTAAGATATATTATCTTCCTCGGCATACCATTGCTTTAAAACCTCAAATGCCATTCCAATTTCTATCTGTGGTGTGATTTTCTCTTTTCTTCATCTTTGTCCAAACTGTTATGTGAACTCTGCTAACCAGTCAGGATAAGTGGCTTGCACTTGGCCCTGCAACCCTTCTTACCTTCACTTGCCCAGTGACTGAATCTGCTTCTCAAAGTCAGAGGTAGGAAGGCAGGTTGTGCATGGCTTCAAGTCCAGCCCCCAGTTTATAACAGGATCTAGTGTATCCCTGCACCTTCAGGAGGACACATCTTCCTCTTTTCTCATTACATGGTCCTCTTCTTCTCTGATCTAACATAGGCCAATTATCAGCAGGCATCTCCACCACAGTCCTTCCTATCTCTTCCCCTACCACTTGACTTGAAGCTCTTTTCTTCTCTGTAGGCACTGGGAGTTGCCTATTTTGCAGCTTCTGCTTTATTCCTAAATGTTTTGTGGGATCCTCAATCTCTGTCTGGTTGTAGAAGTGCATCAGGGCTAGAAGGTGGGAGTAGCAGATCGGGGGAGAAGAGGGAAGCGAGGCAGAAAACTACCGTATTTTGATAGTCCCAGGGAGCAGCACCAGAAAACAGAGGAGGCCAGTTGCCCCATGTTTTGGTCAATACTCACTCATCACCTGTCCCGATTCAAGGTACCTTCTACCATTTTCCGTGACCTCTTGTTTTCATGATTGAAAGTTCAACCATGAGCTGAAGTCTGAGTAGAACTTTTCTTAATCCACTTCTTTCTGTCTTATAATTAATACCAGTTCTTCAAAGTTTCAGGCATACTTAGTGGAGAATTCAATGACCTTCATAGTTATTTTTGAAACAAAAGCAGAGAATAACTGAAGTGCAACAACTGTTAACATGTATCTTCTATCCACAAATGGTCTCTGGGCCTCTTCTCCCACTTCCTGTGTAATGGTTTACTTTTATAGAAGATTCTCACTGCATAAATAGATATTGTATCATGGCCCTTAGGTTATGGGGAACACAGGTAAGGCAGATTTTAAAAAGTGATTCATGTGCCACACCTTTTGAAAGGATTCTTATACAGGAGAGACTGTACAACATATAGCTAGGAATAATTTTTTTAACCCTGAGGTAGTGGGCTAATGTAAGAAATAGCATGTTTGGGAAGGTAAAGGGCAGATTTCAACTTTCTAATTCGAGAAGAAATGAAACAAACATCTGAGCATCCACCACTTGTGTATTAGTTATTTATTGCTGTATAATAAATGATCCCAAAACTTAGTGGCTTAAAACAATGAGAAACATTTATTGTAACATGCAATCATGAGTTCAGGAGCAGCTTGGCTGGGTAGTTCTGGCTTGGGATCTCTTTTGTTATTGCAGTTTGATGTCAGCTAGGGTTACAGTCATCCAAAGGCTTAACTGGGGCTGGAGGACTCTTTTCCAAGGCAACTCACTTACAAAGCTGACACTTTGGTAAAGGATTTTGGTGGGAGGCTTCAGGGTCCTCCCCATTTGAATGTTTTCATAGGGCTGCTTGAGTGTTTTCATGACATGGCCTGTATCCAAGACGAGAAGGCAGAAACTGCAATGCCTTTCATAATCTACTCTGATAAGAGAAGGCTAGTCTTGGCCTCACAAGACTAGCTGTGATTGAGTGTAGAAGGACACCTCACAAAAACGTGAACACCAGGAGGTGATTATTGAGGGCCATCTTGGGAGATGGCTACCAAAATACGTCAGATCCTCTTTTATTTCTTTTTATTCCTATCCATTTTGTGTAACACATGGAAAAAATAAAGCACAGAAACTGGTAAGTGACAGACATAGGATTTAAACCCAGAATTCTCTGGCACCTAAATCCATGCTCTACCCACTGCAGTGGGCTTCAGAGCAGGTGGCTGTGTCTCTGTCACCTGGGATTCTGGAGGAGGAGCCTGAGGCAGTAGTAGTCTCAATGCATCATGGCTTTCCAGGGTTAGTAAGTGCCTGAGTAGGGGTTCACAACCAAGGATAGTTGAGTTTAATTTGTAGCTTGAGACCACATGGAATGTATGAAGGGAGGACATGGAGCAGATTGGCTCTGGAATGAACTACAGGTTGAATGGGCAGGAGAGGTGACCAGGAGTAGAGCAGAAGAGTATGTGCATTAGAACAAAGGCTAGAGTGATCTGCATTGTCTAACAATCACTTTAAGGGAATGTAGGGCCTGTGGTTATGGGGATAATAATGAGGAAGATAGTTTCAATCAAATTGTGTGTAAGACAAAAATGAGGCTAGGGTAGATATGTCATCTGAATCCAGGTGTGTCAACTTACTTGGTAACAAAGGAGCAGCTCCAGTTCTGTTTACAGTGTGAGAGTACACAATGATTATGCTCCAAAGGGCCCCTCTGACACAAAGCTAGTTGCCCGAAACAACCTTGAAACAGACCCATGATCTCTCTTCCAGGTAGTTCTCTTCTGAAATTGGGCATGTTTTGGAAAGAATTTAGCTCCTCTCCCTTCTGATGTTTCTCATTTGGAGAGCTAAGTGGATTTTAACTATGACTTGTCTGAAGATTATCTGCTTGGGAAAAATGGCTCAAGCCCCTGAAAAGTTTCCCATGGAACATGCCTAGTGAGAAATGCTTAGCTTGCGGGGAAGTTGATCTTTTAGAGGTAATGATGCAGTTCAGGCTCTATTACCTGCTTTAAGCTTCAGAGAAAATATTCTTTAAATGGAAACAGATTGAGAGGGCAAATGGCAAACCTGTGGCTCTTGAGCTCTTCTTCCCCATTAACCAAGGCTAAAAGGCAGGCCTTGGAAATCCCTTTTCAAGAGCTGCCAATGACATAACTTCATTTTAATGTACTACAAGTTCTTACGGGCACATGCTTGATTTCATTTTTTCATCTGAACTTCTGATGTAAAGGAACCCAGTGCAACTTTTAACTTGGCCAATGTCTGAAAACCAGGCTGCTGGATTCTGAAGTACATCATCAGCAGAATGAATTCTTTTCATCTTTGTTCTCTACTTTTTATTTGCCTGCATAAAGGAAAGAGAGTCCCTTTAATGTTGTGTGGATAAAAGCCACAAGAAAGAGATAAAGCATGGAACATGCACGGGGCCCTCGGGGTAGACAGAGCAAGGAGTTTTGGATGGCTCTTTTCAACAAAGAAAGGCATATTGCTAGTTTAGACAATTACAGACAAGACAACTGTGGTTTAATTTGCATTAATTGAGAACTGTCCCATTGTGTACAAGGAGATTTTGGCAATGACAGATGAAGACTGATGTACATCTATAACCGACAGTCAAACAGATTATTACATTGAGGGGAAAACAAATAGCTTGAATGTTGCTTTAAAGCTATTCACTTTTGGCCCTAAAAAGTCACCAGAATTTCCAAGCATGGCTTAAAGCAGAGTCTTTGCCGTCTTCCTGCTTTCTCCAAATTCCTTATCAAAGGTCAAGAATGCAGTGCCCTTGGCATATTATCATGTCTGCATATGTTCCTTTTCAGCCACTGACCTAGTGTTCATTTTAAGGGCCCAACTGTGGATATTCCTACTATGTCCACCCTCTTGTCTGACTATATTTCATTAGTCCTACTTACTACTTTTAAGACCAGCAGAAGGAATGATTCATCCCTCTCCTCGTTAAATATAGGAATGTGTTCTTTTCACATTACAGCAGCAATGGCCACAGAAGAGAATTTTATTAAGGTGGACAAAGCCCTCCCTTAACTTCCTTTAAATTCCAACGTTCAGTTAAGTGGAGTGAGATCATCCTCCTCAGGGAAAACTATTAAGCCCTTAATTCATCTTGAGTTAATTTTTGTATAAGGTGTAAGGAAGGGGTCCAGTTTCAGTTTTCTGCATATGGCTAGCCAGTTTTCCCAACACCATTTATTAAATAGGGAATCGTTTCCCCATTGCTTGTTTTTGTCAGGTTTGTCAAAGATCAGACAGTTGTAGATGTGTGGCATTATTTCTGAGGCCTCTGTTCTGTTCCGTTGGTCTATATATCTGTTTTGGTACCAGTACCGTGTTTTGGTTACTGTAGCCTTGTAATATAGTTTGAAGTCAGGTGGCCTGATGCCTCCAGTTTTGTTCTTTTTGCTTAGGATTGTCTTGGCTATTCATGCTCTTTTTTGGTTCCATATGAAATTTAAAGTAATTTTTTCTAATTCCATGCAGAAAGTCAATGGTAGCTTGATGGGGATAACATTGAATCTGTAGATTACTTTGGGCAATATGGCCATTTTCATATTGATTCTTCCTACCCATGAGCATGGAATGTTTTTCCATTTGTTTGTGTCTTCTCTTATTTCTTTGAGCAGTGGTTTGTAGTTCTCCTTGAAAAGGTCCTTCACATCCCTTGTAAGTTGGATTCCTAGGTATTTATTCTCTTAGAAGCAATTGTGAATGGGAGTTCACTCATGATTTGGCTCTCTGTTTGTCTATTACTGGCGTATAGGAGTGCTTGTGATTTTTGCATATTGATTTTGAATCTTGAGACTTCGCTGAAGTTGCTCATCAGCCTAAGGAGATTTTGGGCTGAGACGATGAGGTTTTCTAAATATACAATCATGTCATCTACAAACAGGGACAATTTGACTTCCTCTCTTCCTATTTGAATACCCTTTCTTTCTCTTGCCTGATTGCCCTGGCCAGAACTTCCAATACTGTGTTGAATAGGAGTGGAGAGAGGGCATCCTTGTTTTGTGCCAGTTTTGAAAGGGAATGCTTCCAGCTTTTGCCCATTCAGTATGATACTGGCTGTGGGTTTGTTATAAATAGCTCTTATTCTTGAGACATGTTCCATCAATACCTAGTTTATCGGGAGTTTTTAGCGTGAAGGGGTATTGAATTTTATCAAATGCCTTTTCTGCATCTATTGAGAAAATCATGTGAGTTTTGTCACTGGTTAAGTTTATGTGATGGATTATGTTTATTGATTTGCATATGTTGAACCAGCCTTGCATCCCAGGGATGAAGCCAACTTGATCATGATGGATAAGTTTTTGATGTGCTGCTGGATTCGATAAGACCTAAAACTATAAAAATCCTAGAAGAAAACCTAGGCAATACCATTCAGGACATAGGCATGGACAAGGCTTCATGACGAAAACACAAAAAGCAATGGCAACAAAAGCCAAAATCAACAAATGGGATCTAATTAAACTAAAGAGCTTCTGCACAGCAAAAGAAACTATTATCAGAGTGAACAGGCAACCTACAGAATGGGAAAAAATGTTTGCAATCTATCCATTTGATAAAGGTCTAATATCCAGAATCTACAAGGAAGTTGAACAAATTTACAAGAAAAAAAACAACCCCATCAAAAAGTGGGTGAAGGATATGAACAGACACTTCTCAAAAGAAGACATTTATGTGGCCAACAAACATATGAAAAAAAGCTTATCATTGGTCATTAGAGAAATGCAAATCAAAACCACAATGAGATACCATCTCATGCCAGTTAGAACGATGATCATTAAAAAGTCAGCAAACAACAGATGCTGGAAAGGATGTGGAAAAACAGGAACGCTTTTACACTGTTGGTGGGAGTGTAAGTTAGTTCAACCATTGTGAAAAACAGTGTGGCGATTCCTCAAGGATCTAGAACCAGAAATACCATTTGGCCCAGCAATCCCATTACTGGGTATAAACCCAAAGGATTATGAGTCATTCTACTATAAAGACACATGCACAGCTATGTTTCTTGCAGCACTATTCACAACAGCAAAGACTTGGAACCAACCCAAATGCCCATCAATGATAGACTGGATTAAGAAAATGTGGCACATATACACCATGGAATACTATGCAGCCATAAAAAAGGACAAGTTCATGTCCTTTGCAGGGACATGGATGAAGCTGTAAACCATCATTCTCAGCAAACTAACACAGGAAGAAGAAAACCAAACACCACACGTTCTCACTCGTAAGTGGGAGTTGAACAATGAGAACACATGGGCACAGGAAGGGGAACATCACACACCAGGGCCAGTCAGGGGGTGGGGGACTAGGGGAGGGATAGCATTAGGAGAAGTACCTAATGTTGATGACGTTGATGGGTGCAGCAAACTACCATGGCACGTGTATACCTATGTGACAAACCTGCATGTTCTGCACCTGTATCCTAGAACTTAAAGTATAATAATAATAATAATAATAAAAGAAATTAGTAAGCCCTCACATTTCTTTCAGGTGTCTTACTTTTTCATGAAGCTTTCCATATCGACCCATTCCATAGATGAGCAAATAGAGACTTGTGAGACCTGCAAAGTTAGGCAACCCGAGGGGAAGTTTCTGGTAATACAATCCAGGTGAATTTTCTAACACCCTATGAATGAGCTGCAAGCCTAAGGCTAAACGGAAAACCAAGTCCCAATAATTTTCACCTTTCCTTCAAATTAAGGAGACAGTATTTTGACATTTGTATAGCCCCAGAGAGATCTCCTGCTCGTGAGCTGAGCTTTAAAGTATTATTGGATATGCTCCATTGAGTCTTCAGGTTTGAGCAGCATTTATCCAAAAAGCAGAACTTCAACGTATTTCTCTGAAAATCACCCTGGTTTAAAATATCCAGGCTGCTCTGTGAAAGCACCTTTGCCTTTTCTCCTCTCAAGCTTTCTTCATATGCTCAAGTAAACAAGCCACGCTGAAGCTGAAGGACTCAGACCAAAAACAAAAGTCAAGGGGAAGGCCCAGAAAGCGGGGCCAACACATTCCCACATTTCCATATTTCCAGATTTGGGGTTCTGTGTTCAGAGCATGAACTCTCTCAAACGTTCTGCTCCCATCGGTCTGCCTTTTTAAGCAGCAAGATTTGTTGCTGGATAATTCTAAATGACCATCGCATACTAACAAAGCCATCCTATTTAGACGTGGGCAGATGAGATAGAAAATGGGTGGTTCGGGCAGATTTCATGAGGTCTAATAAATCTTCAGTAAATTAAAGCTCATCCCCCGCTCCTCCCTTCGTGGGCTCTTTGTCTTGCTAATACACATTAGGCCTTGCCTGGCTTCACACTTTCAGGCATTTCAGAGGTGAGGCCTGTACAAAGCTGCAGATGTGGAGACGGAGGAGACCTTTGCCCCAAATGTTACCCATTAACATTAGCGTGGCCCACAGAAGAATTTTACTATGGTTCTCCCATCTCAAAAGAGCTCCCAACGAGCAACTTGGGAGCTTAAAGCAACAAGAAGAGAGGTGGTGAAGAAGCAGAGAAGGCCACTGTATATCTCTGTTTCCAAATTGTGTGGTTCTGGTTCATTCTTTTAAAATATCCAGAGAGAGAGAGAGAATGAGACATGGCCTTTATAATTACAAAAACAATACAGTTTGAGTATGTATAAATGATAGTACTGACTGGTGTAGAGTGAAAAGTTAATCACCCTCTCTGCCTACATTTTGATAACTAATGTTAAGTTTCTTATGTATGCTTCATGAAAATTTCTAAGCACTTGTAAGCACACAACCACCTTTGAAAAAGGAACACATACAAATGGGATCATACCGTCCTGCAGGTTGCTTGATGCAAGAAGAGTAGCAAACTGGAAAAACATACATGACAGAAGACTAATTTCCTTAATGCATAAAATACTGGTGTAACTCAATAAAATAAGGAGTAGTTACCCTATGGAAAAATGAGCAATATATTAAAAAAACAGCAGCCAACAACAACAAAAGTGGCCAAAGAAAAGTTTCCCATTCAATTGAACAAATAAAATATTAAACAACAAGCTGCTACCATATTTCTCCTATCAGCGTGGCACAAATTCATAAGCTTACTAATTAATATCCAGTGTTATCAAGGATGCAAGAAAACATATTCTCATAATCGGAGTAGAAATTTTTGGACAGCAATTTGACTAGGTATCAAATGAAATATCCATATATCCTTTGACTTAGCAACTTTCTATTGGGGTTTTTCTTATTGACAGAACTTTGTACGGTCCTACAAATGTATGTACAAGAATGTTTACTACAAGCAACACTAATAGGAAAAAAGAGAGGAAATCTATATTTGCATAAATAAGAAATAGTTTAAATAAAATACAGACCCTCTATGAAATGGAACACTAAAAGTAGAGGTTGTCACAGAAACCCTCCTTCAAAGGGATAAGAACTAGGAGGGGCCTTAACTGATTGTTCGGATTTGGCCAGGTAGATGAGAGGAGAGGAGGGGAAGGGTATTCAAGAGTGGTTTGTAGTGAAGACCGCTCCTCTCCCAACAATCCTCCAGATTCAACCCCATCTAGCCCCATGGCTGCACAATCTGGAGGGTAGATCGGAGGCAGCAGCAATAGTAGAAGGATAAGCAAGGATTTAAAGTGAATCTACCCAGAATCAGAATGCACAGCAATTAGGAGCTATGGTGACAATGGGGGGGTTCTATTTTTCCTACTCGCAATAGCTCATTGGGCACCTGCTGGCCAGGCAATGCACTCTGGGAGAAAGAGTGATGCATATGCCAGGAACAAAGTCCTGTTCTCATAGAAAATTATGTGTTTTCTTTCTCATTCCATGCAGCAAATATTTTGGTCTGGGAAAATGAGCACATGCTTCTTTTCTGCACCTATCTCTTTACCTATAAATTTAGCCTCTCATTTCACTTGTGGCTTCTGAATTGCCTGGATCGCAACACGCATTAACAAACAAACACACAGTTATAGCCAAATCCACCTATAGGAATTCTGAAGGGGATTAACCTCACACAGGTCACATTCTGAGCAAGGCATGGCCACATCACCATCTCCTTTCTTCCTGTGCTGTCTTGGGCTGTTTCTGTCTTAGACTTCCATGGCTTCATTTTCTTCCAAATATTTCCACTGTGCCTTCTGCAACTTTGTCCCATAATAAATAAATTCTGTCTCTTCACAGAACATTTCTCCAACCTTTCCTACCTGGCCACAGCTCAGAAGTGGAGGAACCATTGTTTCACCAAATCTTGCAAATTCCAAGCATTTCCCTGTGCTTTTGTTCTTGCATTACACTCAACCAAGAAAATCCCAAACCTGGGAGAGTCTAACAAAAGCCTCCCGAGGGCAGCCCTGCACAACTAAGTCCTGCTAGGAAAAAGACTCACAACAGAGCAGATGGATAAGCAAAGATTTGAAGTGAATCTACCCAGAATCAGAATGCATCTCCTGGTGTGTTCTGCCTTCTGTAGTGACTGTTGTCATACCTCCTTTGCCACTCCTTTTCACCTTTGACTTCCGCCCATACCAAACGAAGACCAATTTCCATCACCACAACTACAACCCCCGCCCCCGCCTCTGCACTCATTGTCTTCTCTCTCCAATTAGAGTGCAGGACATTCCTCTCCTGCATTCTAAGACCAACTCCATCCATTTTGCCTCCTCACTGACCTCATTTCCTCACCCACATGCATTTTCAATTTTCTTCTCTCTCTCTTACTCTCTTCTCCCAGATCACTGCCTTCAAAAATCAAACATGTTCCAGGTTCTCCCATCTGAATGAACTCTCACTGCATCTTGCATCTTGAGCTGTTCTAAACAGTTGTAGATACATACCATCTTCTCTTCCTCCTCCATTCAATCTCGCACCCTACCATTCTATTGAAATTGCCTCAGGAAAGGTCAGCATTTCACTCTATGTGGCTAAATAAGAGACAGTTTAATCTTCATTTGTGCTTTCAATGGACTCCTTCCTCCTTCTAGAACTTTCTCTTCTCTTAGTTTCCATGACACCTCTCTCTCCTTTCTTCTATTTCTCTGGCATTTATCTCTCAGCTAACTTTTCTGACTCACCCTCTTCTACTAACTCCTTAGAAATTGGGGCTTGCCCACCTTCTTGCTCTGTACTTTCCTTAGGCAAGTTTATCAGTCTTTTACATTTAAATAATATCTCTATAAATAATATTACTATTTACAAAACTAATAAAATTTATCAAGTTATTTGCACATCTTAGCTTATCAGTAACTTATCACAAAAACCCTATACAAACAATAAGCATATTACATAAAAAACAGGAACTGGCTCAGTAGGGTAAGATTTGCCTAAGGTTGCACAGTAAATTGTAGACCCTGTTGTCGCTAGTCAAGTCCCAGGCTACTTGACTTCAAAACCTTATTCTTCATCATTGTACTCCTAACAATCCTACTGATAGGATTTCAAGTTCCTATCTCCAGTCCAGGCACTTTTTTGGAACTTCAGGATCAGACAGTCAAGTGCCAGTGCACCTACCACCTGCTTCAGTTCAACATGCTCAGAACTGAACTCTGAACGCTTTCCTCCCCCAGATCTCTTCCTAATCTGCTTTTGCCTTGAATTCCCCATCTCAGTAGATAACACCCTGATATGGTGTGAATATTTGTCCCCTCCAAATCTCATGATGAAATGTAACCTCTAGTGTTGAAGGTGGGGCCTGCTGGGAGGTATCTGGATCATCAGAGTGGATCCTTCATGAATGGCTTAGCCAATCCCCACGGCAATGAGTGAGTTCACAGGAGATGTGGTTGTTTAAAAGTGTGTAGCTCCCCTTGTCCCCCCTCCTCCACTTGCTCCTGCTCTCATCATGTGAGGCACTGGCTCCCGCTTCACCTCCTACCATGATGGTAAGCTTCCTGAAGCCCTCACCAGAAGCAGTTGCCAGCACTTGAGCACAGCTTGCAAAACTGTAAGCCAATTAAACCTCTTTTCTTCATAAACTACCCAGCCTCGGTATTTCTTTAAAGTAATATAAGAACTAATACACACCCTGTTCTTCCAGTTGTTCCAATTTGGATTCATTAATGACATCTTCTATTATCATTTATCCAGCTAACAAGGCCTGGAAATACACACACTCACACACACACATACACATATGCACACACAGATTTCTCTCCAGCTTCTTAAATAGTGCAAATTGATTGTCATGTCCCTCTTAAACTCCCCCTGAAGCTCTACAATGATTTAATGATAATGTCAAAAATTATTTCCATGATGCACTACACTCTCCATGATTTGTCTTCTTCTTACCTCTGTAGCCTTATCTCCCAAACTCTGTCCGGTAATAATTTCCAGCCACCCTGGCCTTCTCTGTTCTTCACATGTGCTCTTTCCATGGGTAATTTTCCTGCTAGGTCCCTTGTTTTCCTATTATCCCACTTCACATCCCTCTTCTTAACCTTTAAGAACCAGATTAAACTTTTTTCCTCATTTAATCTCATTGCACCTTGGACATTTTCTTCATGGCACTTATTACAATTATAAAATTGTATATGTTAAACACAAGCATGTTTACATGATTAAACATGATTAAACACAATCACGTTTAATATTTATTTCCCAATAGACCAAATGCTCTATAAAAACAAGGAATGGCAATCTGGATAACTTACGCATCCTGAACCTTGCATAGTGCTTGAAATATACTTGAAATTCAGTAAGTATTTGTTGAATGAATAAATAAAGCAAAGGTATGACGGCATACCAAGCAGAAGTATCAAAGACTAGACAGCAAGGTCTAGGTATATGGTTCTCAAATTGGGGTTCCCAGACCAGCTTATGATGTTGCTGCTGGTTCCAGTGCTTGTAGGCAATAGTTTCATCTGTGAAATGGGAATAATTTCTCTCAAAAAACGCTATTGGGAAAATTAAATCCTAGTATATGAGAAAGCACAGTGTCCTATAAACAATTAGTATGAAATAAATGCTAATACCTTTCCTTGGTCTCTATTGTTCCCCCCAAACAAGTGTCATGCTATTTAAAAGGCAGCCTAAGTAAAAAGATTATTTGGGAAACTGTTATCTGTGCTGAGACTTTTAGAAGCGTAAGGTAGAATCAAAAACCTCCCTGGACCAAAATGGAATATATAAAGTCTTTCAGGACCACTCCAACCAATTTCTTTGTTTGGAACAAACAAACAAACAAACAAACTTTCTTTGTTCTTTTCAATTGGATTTTAGCTTAATAGTAACCTAGGACATCTAAGTAACACTTAAACCTTAGTAAGTAGATAATGGTTCCCAGGAACTGACAGTATTTCTGGAAAAGGAAAAGATCAAAAACTAAAAGGATTTTCTACACTAAAGCTCCGATCCATGAGCTCTTCTTATGTTGCATCCTGTTGGATGCAAGAGATAGGCTAACATCTGCTTCTAAAAGATAAACTTAAGATAGTGTGATTGAATGTGTATGATATTCCCCCCCTCTGTTAGTCTTGGTCTTGGCAGACTCCAGCTTCCAAATTTATGGGCTGTAGAATACTGATATCTAATGGGTTTAGGAAATGTTGGCTGGAAACATGACCTTCTTGGTACAGGTCTTGCCATCAGTTAACTACTAATTTAAGATTCAGTGAAGGAAAATAAATTCAGATCTCAGTGACAAAAATTGCCCTTAACGTCTTTCATCTTTGTTGTTAATGCTAATGGCTAATAAGGGGTACAGAACCCTTAACCCAACTCTGTCATTTTTACGGCACAGGGCAAATGGAACACCCTGGAGTTTTAAAGCCTAACAGCTTTAAGATTGTGTTTTTGTTTTCAAATCTCACTGCCTTAGTTCAGTTTATTACCACCTCTCTGCTGATGATATCACTTCTCATCAGGTTTTTTGGTGCCCAGTCTCTTCCTTTCCCAAGAAAAGAAGATTACTGCCCTATTCATCCCAATTAATATCACCCAGTGAGATTACACATAAAGGATGCAGCCAGCATCTGGCATGTCCACTTCTATAGTGAGTTATTGAAAGTGAAATATTAGAGATAGACGTCTTAGATTTTCATGCCAATCCCGAAGGGTGAAATGACTTCCAAGGTTACAAAGACTGCTCAAGGCAGAGAGGAGAGTAGACAAAATGTCAAATTCTTTCCATCACTACTGTTAGTCTGGACTTTTTTTCCATCCTAAAGATCAAGATCACTAATTATTCTTGTAATGGTAACAACAGTACATAGATTCTAACATTAAAGGGTATCATATAGAAGCAATAAGAGGCATTCACAATTTTCCTTATTCAACTAATTTTTGAGCATGTATCATGGGTTAGACACTTTTCTAAATGCTTCTGATTCATCATAAGCAGAAGAAAATCCCTTCCTGCATGCAGCCTGCAGACTGAGGGCGTGTGTGTGTGTGTGTGTGTGTGTATGTATGTGTAGAGAAGTGAACCAATTAGAAAACAAATGTAATATGTAACTTGTTAGATGATTAAAAACTATGGGGCTAGGGGTGAATTAGAACAAGGTCACGGGCATTGGGAGTGCCAAGGGGATTACAGTGTTAATTAGGATCGTCCAGGTAGGCTACAGTGACATTTTAGAGAATACTTACAGGTGAAGGAGTTACCTGAGTGAATATTTAAGGGAAAAGTTTTCCAGGCAGAAGAAATAGCCAGGGCAAATGTTCACATGATAAGTCCCCTTAACAGACAACTTAGCTTTATTAAGATTCCCCTGCCCTTTCTGCCACCATTGTCCTTATAGTGATGTTGGGGACCATACGTTAAAAGAAAGACACATGAAGCATTAACTCCTCCTTCTAATAGGACCCCCACCCTTATTGGCAGTTGTTTGTGGCTTCATAGAATATGACTAGCAGCCCTTTATCATCTTCCAGATGCTAGGGATATAGAGATCTCATAGAGATTGCGTAAAGATCTCATTCAATCTCACAACCACCCAAGGAGTAAGTTAGGTGCTGTCTCCACATTACAGAAGGTAGAATCAAGAGTCCTGGAAGAGATATCCCCTACCCAAAGGAACATTACTCTACTTTCAAATCCTATAAAACATTTCTTCATACCAAGCTTCTTTCTTTACAAATTATCTATATTGCAAGTATATACATTTTCTATACTATTATTATATATTAATGTTCTAAAGAATATGGAAAGGTAAAAACTAAAATTCGTCTTTTCAAATCCTTGGACACCAAAGCCATCTTTTTGGTAGCAGGGACATTAAATCCCAAGTCACGTTTTGGGGGGCCCTTCTCCCTCCCCACATTGCATTGGAATCTTTACAGTCTTCTGCTGTCCAGACGACTCAGAGAAGGATCCTCTGGTCTTCAGTCCATATTGGTCACCTTTGATGTGATCATTGTCTGGATTTCTACGTTTTCTTGAAAGCAAGAGAAACTGATCTCTACTTTAGGCTCAAGGGCAATGTCCAAGCCTGACAGCCTCTCTGTTCCTTGCCTGGCCTGCCTGGGGACCCTCTACCCAGTCCCATCTGATAAAAAGCCCCCTTCTTGGGGGAGGAGCCTTAAGTCCTTACTGCTCATGGAAACTGCAAAACCTAATTCCCCTAGGTTTTCAGTCTTTGAGGGCTCTACAAGCACCTGAATTTCTGGAATGAGTCACTTCTACCCTTCTAACTCCAAGCACTGGACTCCAATTCCACATACCTGGACCCCACATTAGTGTCCTTCATGAGCCTGACACTCTAGTAGCTTTCGTGCTCTTTCAAGAAGGAGAATATAAAAAAAGCACAGACCTTTAGAGAAACTAAATTCTCTGCATGTGGGAGAAGAAGAAAAAAAAGGAGATAAATATAATTTAGTTCTTTTTCCTTAATAATTCATATATTTTTAATTATATAAACAAGTTCATTTCATCCTCATATAAAATCTTGTACCTTGTTTGGTCTCACTCAAAATTACCTCTGAGATCTTTTATCAGTTTATGCGTAACAATCCCTGTACTTTTTGAGAGCTGCATTGTATTCTAATAGCAGCTTCCATATTGACAAACTTGTTTCCCATTTTGTGATTGATTACTAACAATGCTCCAGTAAGCAATCCTACACAGATAATTCAGTGCACTTTTATGAATATAGCCATATAGTTAAATCCTAGCAGTGGCACGGCTGAGTCATTGCTTGGGGTATGTGAACTTAAATATAGTCAGATATTTCAGACTAGGCAACATGGCAAAACCGCATCTCTACAAAAAATTAGCTAGGTGCGATGGTGCCTGTTTGTAGTCCCAGCTACTCAGCAGGCTGAGGCAGCAGGAGGATCACTTGAGCCCAGGAAATGGAGATTATAGTGAGCTAAGATGGCACCACTGCACTCCAGCCTGGGTGACAGAGTACAACCCTGTCTCAAGAAAATCAAAGAAAGAAAGAGAGAGAGAGAAAGAAAAGAAAGGAAGGCAGGAAGGAAGGAAGGAAGGAAAATAAAAGAAAGAAAGATATCATTAACTGTCCTCCAAAAAGATTGTTCTAAGTTCCCAACAAATCAAAATTGTAGCTATTTTTTGCACACTCCTTCAAAGTCTCACATTTATTTAGTGCATCCTATGTGAAAGGCTCTTTTCTAAGTGCTTTTTGTATATTTTCTCACTCTATCTTCTTCACAACTTTGTAAGTATTTTTTTTCCATTCTATAGAAGAGGAGTCAAGCACAGAGAGGCTAAGTAATTTACCTGAGGTAACCCAGCTAGTAAGTGGTGAAACCAAGCTTGGAACCCAAGGGTAGTCTGATTTAAGATACTATATATTTTTTACCACCTATAAATCTTAATATTTACCAATTCTGACAGGTTAAAAACTGGCATTGCATGGTTATATTTGCTACTTTAATTATGAATAAGAGTTAATGTATTTGTTTGCTATTGATATTTATTTCTGTGAGCTGTTCATGTATACACGTTTTTGTTTGTCTGTCAGGTTATATGTTTCATTGATCCGTATGAGTTCTGCATGTCACAAAAATTAGCCCTTCATCACATGCTGTAAGTTTTTCTTCCCCTTATACTGTTTGCCTCGACTTTGTATGTAGCATTTAAAAAGAATTTTGCTATGTATTATGAGTTTTAAATTATGTGATTAAACTGATCAGTTTTGTAGGGACTTCTAGAAGGGGAAGGAAGGAACAGGGAGGCAGTAAGGGCTGAAAAACTATGGGGTACTATGCTTACTACCTGGATGATGGGATCGTTTCTACTCCAAAGCCCAGCGACAGGCAATTTACCCATGTAACAAACCTGCACATACACCTCCTGAACCCAAAGTAAAAGTTGAAAGAAAAAAATAATAAAATTATCAGTTTGAGTTTGGAAGATTTTTATAATGCTTTAAAAGGCCCTCCCACAATAGGATGATAAAAAATAGTTTGCCTGGGTTTTTTGTAGAAAGAATATTTTATTCAATATATACATTTTCAATAAATTTGGTATATTAAGCAAAGGGATGCTCTATTTTTTCCTACGCTATCAATTCATTTGAACCAATGTTATCTAGAAATTTCAGAAGTGTCACCTTTATCATATTCCGAATTCATATTTATATCATATTCTAAAATTAAGTGGTTTTTAGTATATTCACAAAATTGTACAATTATCACCACTGTCTAATTCCAGAACCCCTATATATTTTGAGGCTAATTCTAAACCTGCATTCAGTTAAAGATACCTGTGTCTATTGGTGCCAGTAACACCAGAATCTTTTAACTACTGAAGCTGTAGAATGTACATAAATCAATAAATTTACTCATATGCTTTTTCCTTTCTGGAAGGCAGGGAAGCATGGATAATTCTGCAGAGCAGTTATCATTTATGGGATACAAGAAACCCCAATATTTTTACTTTAATGAAAACTGAGATTGCGACGGTGCTTAACTCACCACACTGAATGTATGCCTGTTATCCCTTACTGATTCCGGTTTGAATTCAAGATCTGTAATACTTTGTATCACTTGTGCTTATTAATACAGGAAAAGTGGCCCCTCTTTATATAATTGGTTTAAGTACTTGGACTTGTGTTTTCCTGTTTCCTTATGAGTATTTCACAAGCTAATCACGTTTTTTTCTCTATGCATTAAAGCAAGACCCTCTCTGCACATCTTCCCTTCATCTGTTAACATTGTTTGTCCAGCCACCCCCATTTATGGAAACACTTACTGACAGTCTGGTGTTTGCTAGGTAATATACGGCAGGACATAAAATGACAAAGAGTCTTTGCTCTTAATTTGGCCAGGAAGCACTTAATAATGAGGACTTTTTTTTTTAACAAAGAAAAGGTAAAGCAAATTCTGAGTCTTCCACTTTTCACCACTTCAAGCTCTTATTTCTGGCTTAAGGACATTTTATTCTGAATATAAACTATTTCTCAATTAACTGAGGATAAAGTAGCAGTGGCCGCTTCCCTTCCACCCCCATTCTCTATCATGCATCTATCACAAGCAAAACCTTAAGTGAATGCCAGGATTATGACATCTGCATAATTTACATAGTTGGCCTCCATGTGTCTGCATCTGTCTGCATGTCAGTATGGCCTCTCCCCATGTGCAGGTTGAAACTGCCGATTTCAGATGTCACGTTCCTAGAGAACAAGCAAAGCTCTGTTCCACTCTGCTTGCCAGTCCCCACGACAATCCTGCACAGGTGGGAGCTGGCTCCCTGATGATAAAGTAGTAATGAGCACCTAATTATGGATAATTGCATAATGAAGGGCTCTCTCGCTTCTGCCAGTTCACATTTGCAGCTGGTACCTGAACGATTTCTGCTTGTGGCAACAGGTTACTTTCTTCTGGAATCATGCGACGGAAAAAAGGCAGCATGCCAGCACACCAGCATGGATTAAATTATCCCCAACAAGTCTGTACCTGATTCCTATTTCTCAAGGGCAGGATGGGGAACTTGACTAGTCATTCTCATTATCCAGGGAGATTAGTTTGCACTCCCAGGCTATGGACTAATAATAATGTCTTCCATTTGGAGAAGGCTTTAAATATTCAGGCTATGCAACCACACCCTTCTGAATTTCTGTAACAAGCTGCCCATGTGCCAGTCTGTAACTGCAGCAGTGTGCAGTAAGCTGTAGCAGTGTTCTTCAAATTTGTCTGCTTATAAGACTCACCTTGTACATGTATTAAAAACATGCATTTCCCAATGCTCATCCGGACGTACTGAATAAAAATCTGCCAGGGTAGTTAAATAGACTCAGGTTCTATTCCCAGATCTGCCACTAATCATGACCTGGGTAAGTCACAACTTTTGTGGGTGTTAGTTTTCTCAACTGTGATATGAGATACAGAACTCCAAGATCTATGAATGTGATTAGATAATACATTATTCTCCAGATAGGAAGTGTTACTCGACCACTCTCCTAAACCAACCACTGATTCAAAGTGCAGCCGACTGCATTTTTCTAAAAAGACTGCCAAAAAATATTTCCCATTCTATTTTCTTCCTCCCTCCATTCCTCCCTTCCTCTCTTCCTTTTCCTTTTTCTCTCCTTTCCCTTTCTTCTCTCTCATCTTCTAGTGTGATCTTGATTCATTCAATTGAATAAAGATCTTTATTTTCTCCCCTAGAATTTGGGTGCTCTTGTGACTCTTCAACTTCCAAAGGTAGGTAATAAAATGTGATACAGTTTCCTCTTGGTTCTCTTAGGATGCTGACACTTGGAACCCAGCTACCACGCTGTGAGGAAGCCCTAGCAGCCTGAGGACGTGAAGAGACACCATCCTGCAGTCTTGGCTGAGCACCAATTTGCCAGCTATGAGAGTGGGCCATCTTCACAGTGGATCATCTGACCCCCAGTCAAGCTGCTCCAGCTTATGCTGCATGTAGACTGGACTAGCAGTCTTCACATAGTCCTTCCCAAATTGCAGTGTCGTGAGCAAAATAAATAATTGTTGTCTTAGCCTGAAGATCTGCGATGGTTTGCTACTCAGCAATACAAAACTGATGGACCACATGACTGAGTGTAAAGTATATATTTGAGCAATGAAAATAAGATGGGTGAGTGGTATTGGGCCCAATTATGGATAACCCTTATGAGGGAATCAGATGTGTTCTACTTGGCAATATTAATTATAAGAGATATACCAGATGGAGGAGGTTAGAAATGACATTAAGAGGCCAGGCGCGGTGGCTCACGCCTGTAATCCCAGCACTTTGGGAGGCCGAGGCGGGCGGATCACGAGGTCAGGAGATCGAGACCATCCCGGCTAAAACGGTGAAACCCCGTCTCTACTAAAAATACAAAAAATTAGCCGGGCGTGGTGGCGGATGCCTGTAGTCCCAGCTACTTGGGAGGCTGAGGCAGGAGAATGGCGTGAACCCGGGAGGCGGAGCTTGCAGTGAGCCGAGATCCCGCCACTGCACTCCAGCCTGGGCGACAGAGCGAGACTCCGTCTCAAAAAAAAAAAAAAAAAAAAAAAGAAATGACATTAAGAGACCAGAATTATGGTTAAGAGGCCACCTCATTAACTCCAGCATGAGTTGATAAAGTCTAGCATTAGGTCTATCATGGTAGAAAAAAGCAGATAAGGCAGTTGAGACATTAAAAATTACCAATAGTACACATTTTCTGAATAAAAATGAGCTATGAGGTTGGGATTAACACTGCTGAGTCTTTCAGCTTTTTTTTTTGAGATGGAGTCTCATTCTGTTGCCAGGCTGGAGTGCAGTGGCACGATCTCGGCTTACTGCAACCTCCACCTCCTGGGTTCAAGCGATTCTCGTGCCTCAGCCTCCCAAGTAATTGGGACTACAGGTGCATGCCACCACGCCCAGCTAGCTTTTTTGTATTTTTAGTAGAGATAAAGTTTCACCATGTTGGCCAGGATGGTCTTGAACTCCTGACCTCGTGATCTGCCTGCCTCGGCCTCCCAAAGTGCTGGGATCACTGGCATGAGCCACCGTGCCTGGCCAAGCTTGTCTTATTGAGAATCCTGGTACTCTTGACAATAATGGGAAAACTTGGAAACTGGCATAGGAAAATCCTTCCATTACTAGCAAGTTGAGTCAAGTTCAAGTCAACTTGAATTTACTGAGAGTTTCCATAATGACAGACATCTGACCCATAGCAAACATAAGGCATCTGTAGACACGCAAAGGAGAAAATGTTGGGTGAGGTTGGAGCATTGTCAGGGGCATGCAGGAATGTCAGTCATCCACAAGGCCTTGTCAGGTGGAGTTTTTGGGTGAATTTACTCTGGTCCAGGGTTTGGTTCTTAGCCTGACAAGTTTAGAAACTTGTCCTTTCAGCGTACTGGGACTGAGGGGAAAACACATTAATCAAACTCAAAAGACTGAGCTATAAAATCAGTGTTCTAATTTAACCATTTATAACAAAAGATGTGTCACCCGCCTGGAATATGCCTTTCAGCATGACCAGCACATTCCTTCCTTATGGGCAAACCTACATATGAAGCCAATTCATAATCATGAATCTTGTTGGGCATGAAATCAAAAGGGGAAGCAGCTGAAGTGACCGTCTAATTAGCAAGCCTAGAATGCCTGATGCAGATATGTCCGTGATAAGGTGGGCTTTCAATGGGCACGAACTACACAACTCACCTGTCTCCCTCTCTCTCCCCTAGACTGTGCCCAAGGCATTTAGAGACACTTTCTCTGAACTTCATTAGAGGAACCACCACGTCCCTTTTAGAGTGACGCATTTCGCTTTAGACAAGGGGCTACAGTAAAATGTCTGGGATCATTTTGGTTTTTCTTCCCTAGGGTCTCTCTGGCTGAATCCATTTTACAGCAATTTCAAAATACTAATGGAACTAATCTAATTTTCAAATTTTTGTTGGGGTAACACCTTGTGGTAGTTCTGACTATATCCAACCAAATAGAGCCATTTTAAAGCTGTTGGAATTGGAAAAGAAAGGAAATTTCTGCGAGAAAGAGATTTCTAAGCCAAAGAAACAAAGGGGATGGTTGGAGGTTCGGGGGGGCTCTTCCAAGGAAAACTGCACAGAGGGGAGTAAAAGAGTTAAAACTTCAGGAACATAAATGTGGGAAACATAATGTGTAGGCTAACAAGTACCAGGGCAATGGGGACAAGTAGTGACAACTGTCCAAGGGGTGAGAAAACGTTTGTGACAGAGAAGGTAAAAAAGGTGTAGGTTATCGGTGTAGCCACAAGGAAGTCTTACAACAGAGCTTCTTTGTATATTTCAGCTTGTTTCCTCTTCAAGAGTTTATTTCTAGACAGTGTCCCTGAACTCTGGGGATGCCAGGTGAACACCTGCCAGTCTCAACAACCAGGTCTGTTTGATTTTCCATGTGGCTCCTTATAAAAAAATCTTTTAACGGAATCAACCTAGGTGTCCAACAACAGAAGACTGGATAAAGAAATTGTAGTATATATTTTGGAATGGAATACTATTCACCCATTAAAAAATAAAATCCTGTCATTCTTGGCAACCTGCATGGAATTGGAAGACATTATGTTAAGTGAATAACCCATGCATAGGAAGTTAAACACTGCATGTTCTCACTCATATGTGGAAGCTAAGTAAGTTGATATCATAGAAGTAAAATGTGCAACAGAGGATATTGACGGCTGGGAATGGGAGGAGATGAAGGGGGTGTATAGAGATTTGTTAAAGAATACAAAATTACAGTCAGAAAGGAGGCATAAGTTCTAGCGTTCTATTGGACTGTAAAATGACTATAGTTAACATAGTTTCCAGTAGCTGGAAGAGGGATATCAAATGTTCTGAACACAAAGAAATCATAAAGGCTTAAGATGACCCATATGTGGCCGGGCGCGGTGGCTCACGCCTGTAATCCCAGCACTTTGGGAAGCCAAGGCGAACACATCACAAGGTCAGGAGATTGAGACCATCCTGGCTAACATGGTGAAACCCCGTCTCTACTAAAAATACAAAAAAAGTAGCTAGGCGTGGTGGTGGGTGCCTGTAGTCCCAGCTACTCAGGAGGATGAGGCAGGAGAATGGCATGAACCTGGGAGGCGGAGCATGCAGTGAGCTGAGATTGCGCCACTGCACTCCAGCCTGGGCAATAGAGCGAGACTCCATCTCAAAAAAAAAAAAAAAAAAGAAAAGAAAAAAGAAAAAAAGATGACGGATATGTTCATTACCCTAATCAAATCACTATACATTATATATGTGGAAACATCACTAGGTACCCCATGAATATGTACAATTATATCAATTTTAAAAATAAAACAAAAAAGATCTTTTAGAGCAACAGGTATGTCAACTGTAATTAGAGATACATTTAAACGCTACCTTGGGAGGTAAGTTTAAGCGCTTGGCTATAATTGAGGTGCTTTGCATTTATCAGTGCTGAATCTAATCTTGAGGTTTAGGTGTAAGAGTTGATCTAAATGTTGCTTCTGACTTCCCCTGAATCTGTATTTTGAAGTCTGCACAAAAATTCAGAACAAACTTTCTAATAAAAATCCTCTCAGCAGTTTTCTCTTACCTCTAGAAGTTTATCTTAGCAGCCTCAATCATATATTACTTGTATACCATAATCAGGATGTTACGACTGTATAAAACATAAACTTTGCATTCTTTATGTATTAGTGTCCCACCAAGTATCACTATAGGATCCTGTGTTTTTTCCTTAATCAGACATTTTCCTGACAATTTATTATCCTAAGAGGACTGAAACAGCCTCCTTTCTCCTCTTCTCCAGGTCTTCTTTATCCAGTAATTACATGATTTGACAAAATGGTAGCAATCCTCTTAAGAACTTATTTAATGACTTACTCTTGATGAAAAACTAGGTTTATACCAGAATAAGTAGGGGAGGCTGACTCTTGGCGCACATACAAAAATTTCCATTTAAACAAGAATTTAACATATATTATTTTTAAACAAAATGACTAAGCACCGGGGCATCTATAATTTGAAGAAAGATTCCAGATTTACCACAAAGTATGTGACAATCTTTATGAATTCATGTCAGTTAGTGGTAAGAAAAGTCAAACTGAAGGGAGTTCTGAAAGAAAATACTGGTTAAAAAAAATTGTGTCCCAGAATAGTCTCTCTAAATTGTCTTTAGGTAACAGTCTCTTGGCCTTTTGACTAAATTCTTTCCTTCCTTAGTCTGTTCAGGCTGCTATAACAAAAATACCGTAGACTGGGTGGCTTATAAACAACAGAAATTTACTTCTCACAGCTCTGGGAGCTGAAGTCTGAGGGTAGGGTGCTGGCATGGTGGAATTCTGGTGAGGACCCTCTTTTGGGTTGAAGACTACGGACTTCTCTGTCCTTATGCAGTAGAAGGTGTCTCTCTAGGGCCTTTGTTTCTAAACTAGTTTACTAATTATTTTAAATTGACAAATACTTGTTTTGAAATATGCTTACACTGTAAAATGGCTAAATCAAGCTAATTAACAAATGCATTACCTCACATACTTTTTGTCGTAAGAACTCTTAGAATCTACTCCCTTAGCAATTTTCAAGAATGCAACGTATTGCTATTAATTATAGTCACCATATTGTACCACAGAGCTCTTGAACCTATTGTTCCTAACTGGTTTTTTCTTTTGATCAACACTTACCTCACATCAGGCCTCTTTCACTGATCCCATTCACCAGGCTCCATCCTCATGACCTAATCAACTCCCAAAAGTCTCACCTTTAAAAGCGTTAAAGCCTTTAACACTGTTGCTGCTAGCATCACTTGATCATCAATACTTTTCCAAGGGAAATTAACCTGTAAAAAGAAAAAAAGATTCAGTAAGACTCAAAAAATATATATAATGCTTTTTTTAAAAAAAAGGAATTATTAATTTAAATAAATGTTTTTCCCTACGGCATAGGACTCTTAGTTGGAACAATCCTTCAGCTTACCACATAAGCAATTATTTTTTAGCCCTCATATTAGTTCATTCTCATGCTGCTACGAAGAAATATGCAAGACTAGGTAATTTATTAAGGAAAGAGGTTTAATTGACTCAGTTTCACAGGCCTGGGTAAGCCTCACGAAACTTACAATCACGGTAGAAGGGGAAGCAAACACATCCTTCTTCACGTGGTGGCAGGAAGGCGAAGTGCTGAGCAAAGGGGGAAATGCCCCTTATAAAACCATCAGATGTCATGAGAACTCACTCACTATCATGAGAACACTGTAAGGGTAACCGCCTCCATGATTCAATTACCTCCCACCAGGTTCCTCCCATGACCTGTGGGGATTATGGGAAGTATAATTCAAGATGAGATTTGGGTGGGGACACAGCCAAACCATATTAATTCCTAAAATAGACCTCAGTGAAATTAGAAAATATCTCAGTTCCATAGCAGACCAAAACATGAGGGAAAAAGAAAAAGCTTTTTTTAAAGCCTGGAAAAAAAAGGAAGAAAAAGATTTTTAGATATGGACAACAAATCCCTCAAGTTGGCTAATTTCTAGGACCTTCACAAATATTTCATGGACTCATTATCTTTCATAAATTAGGCATTCCCTGTGACTGCATGACCTATAGATCTACAAGGTGACAAGACACCCACACCCAGCCCCCAGATAGGGGTTGTTTACCAAAGGACCAGGGAAACATCTTGTATTTCCAGACTTCCAGAAAGCTCTTTTTGGGCTTCTTCCCTCTCAGTTCCCCAGCCCCTGAAGCTTATGACTCCCCCTGCTGCAGTGATAGGATTGTCCTGCTCTTTTCTTTCAGGATATTTTTCCTGTTCCAGCAGACAATGTCTTTGAGAGAAAGTAACAGAACCTCTGACAACTTTGGCTTTGCAGAGCTCAGCAGTAAGATATGCCCTATGCCCCTTCCCCAACCTGTCTGGTCTGCAGTCTTTTTCCATCCTCTTCCCAAACCTATCTTCTGTCTGGGCCTTCTCCTTGTGTCCTGGCTCCTGACTCATCCTCCAGAGGTCTTGGGGAGGGCTTCACATCATGCTGTAAACATGCCTGTGCAAGAAGTATTTTTGCAGACAAAGGTGACCAGTGCTCAGCAGGTCTGGCATCAGCACATCCCTATGGTTTGCCAGGGCAGAGCAGGTCTAAGATCAGACTCTGAGATCCAGAGAAAGGAGGCTTACTGCCGTGGAGAAATGCCTCTCATCTGTACTCTGCCATTTTGTGGGCCTCAGGTGAGTTAACTGCTTACAAAACTATCCCTGGCCACTGGGGAAGGCAGCGGCGTTCAAAGAGAAGATGTCATTGACAGGTTCCATCAGCAGCTGTTTTGTAACAACCTGCTTGTGTGCCAGGTATGATTTATTGCATTTGAAACAACTTCTAAAGCCAAATGTTACAACCATTTCATTCATCATTAGATCCAGGTACAACATAGTGCATCACCCATTGTTCTTGTGGGGAAGAAGTGATGGCTAGATATTCTTGCAGACTCCAAAACAAAAAATGTCTGCCTCTGCAGAGAACTTAAGTGCCACCTGCCATAGGAGACCAGGCCCTGGGTATTAAAATCCACTGCACTGCCTTCAGGAAACCTACCCATCCATGTAGAGTGACCACGGGGTGTTCAGTCTCAGAAATGAGACAGTGCTGAGCTGGGGGAAGTGCTGCTTGTTCTACTGAGCAGACGTCGCTGGCAGGACCAGTCCAACAGCTGGAGATGTGAGTTGCTGCCTCACTGCACAGTCCCTCAAGCCCCAGGCTCCATGGGATGGACAGAGAAGCATGGAAATATTAACGGTTGGGTGCTTATCGTGGGCCTCAGAAAATGCAATTCTCCCGGTTGTCCAGAGAACCAAGGACTATTATTCCACTCTAAAATGAAGAAACAGACTAAGTGAGGTGAGATGACATATGTAACAAATGGTTCAGCATTGAGACCCTTAAGGGAGAATATCAAAGGCACCTAAGTACCCAAGGATTCTAAATACCTACTAGTTCACAGTCCTTTAAATTGGTAACCCTCAACTTAGAATGGGTTTTTGGTATGAAAGGTTTATGCTGGACTTTCCAGAATAACTTCTAACCTGTAATGGAAGATTTCACTTTTGAAGGATTCGTCTCCTGAGTGGATCATAATCTAAGTAGGGATTGGCTACACTTTAGAATCACCTGGAATATTTGTTTAAAATACAGATGTCCAAGCTGTTATCACGAAAGATTCTGATTTAACTGGTTTGTGGTGGGGTATTTTTTAAAGTCCCTCAAGGGATTCAGACATCCAGCCAGGATCTGGGCACTCCTGAAGGTGGATGGAAGCACTCCCCTGAGTCTGAGGGGACACCCTGTGACTTTGTACTCTCCTTCCCATCCCTTGTGGACTACACCCGTCTTTTTGACCAAAAATTGGATCTGAGAGGTGAGGGTGTGGTCACTATAAAAGGCTTTGGAAAGTTTGCAAAATAAGTAGAGAGCTTCCATTTGTCCTTGGATGGGACAAGTCAAGTGGCTCTGAGAGACAAGGGAGAGTCTTGAAGTTGGAAGACAACTGGTTTAGAACAGGCAAGAAACAGAGGGGAAGGAAGCCCTGGATTCAGTGGAGAGTTGACTCAGTGGGCATCTCCACTCCTTTTGCAATGTTTTGGGTAACCTCACGACTGACGGGGTTCAATTGTAAAGTGATGCCAGCCTATTCTCTTAATACATCTGTGAGTAGGGCAACAAATTACTCATTGGAACACATTTTCAAGGGGGAAAAAATGATGTGAGTGGTCTCTTTGGGGCATGTAATAAGCACCTGCTGTACCAGGAGACAGGTCTATGGAGACCTGCTAGCCTGTTGAGGACTGCCCTTTCCACAACGTTCCATTACACTGAAATGATTGCTTCGGCAGGGACAGACACATTTGCTTAAGAGCTGTGTTTGCTTCCAATTACTCTTATGACAAGTTACCACTAATTTCGTATCTTAAAGCAACACACATTTATTTTCTTACAGTTCTGAAAGTCAGAATCGTAAAATAGGTTAGCAGGTCTGCATTCCTTCTGAAGGCTCTAGGGAGAAGGCGTTTCCTTGCCTTTCCCAGCTTCCGGAGGCTTCCTGCATTCCTTGGCTCACAGCTGCATCACACAACCATTGCTTCTGTTACCACATCACCTTCTCTGACTCTGACCTTCCTGCCTCCCTCTTATAAGGCTCCTTACAATTACATCCGGCTCACCAGATAATCCAGAATAGTCTCCCCCCTTCAAGATCCTTAACTTTGTCACATTTGATGTATCCCTTTTATCATGTAAAGAGACATATTCATAGGATTGGGGTCTTAGGACATGTACATCTTTAGGGGGCCACTGCCCTGCTGACCAGAGGAACTTATATGGGCAGGAGATGAATCAGGACACCTAGCGTTCTGAAATTCAGTGTTATCAGAGTCTCACTCATGGATTGAGACGGTCCCAAATAAGTCCCCTGCCAGGAAACGATGCTAAGGTCCCCACAGTGCATTGCCCTGTGGAGGAAGGGGTGTCTATGTGGGTTGCCTAGCAATGCACGTTAGGCAGAGGAAGAATGAGAGACCTGCAGACCCCGCCACTCTGACACACGGCCATGCTTTGGGAACAACGTCCTGGAACAAAAGAGCAACTTAGTTGAGCCCAACTCAGGGAGTTCATTGGCGATCTGCACCAGCAAGTGCATCGCTGTAGCAGACGACCTGCATCTGCGTGGTAGATGTACCTGACAGCAACCACTTAAGAACACCCGGGGCTGGGCACGGTGGCTCACGCCTGTAATCCCAGCACTTTGGGAGGCGGAGGTGGGCGGATCACGAGGTCAGGAGATTGAGACCATCTTGGCTAACACAGTGAAACCCCGCCTCTACTAAAAATACAAAAAATTAGCCAGGCGTGGTGACGGACGCCTGTAGTCCCAGCTACTTGGGAGGCTGAGGCAGGAGAACGGCGTGAATCCGGGAGGCAGTGTTTGCAGTGAGCTGAAATCACGCCACTGCACTCCAGCCTGGGTGACAGAGCGAGCCTCCGTCTCAAAAAAAAAAAAAATAAACAAACAAAATAAAATTTAAAAAAACACCCTGAGAACAACCCTGTATGGCAGATGCACCTGAATGTTTGTTCAGGGTTCCAAGCTAAGGGAATTGGGAGTAGCCAACCTGGAAATTCCTTTTTTTTGAGATGGAGTCTGTTGCCCAGGCTGGAGTGCAATGGCACAATCTCGGCTCACTGCAACCTCCGCCTCCCGGGTTCAAGAGATTCTCCTACCTCAGCCTCCCGAGTAGCTAGGATTACAGGTGCCCGCCAGCACGCCCAACTAATTTTGTGTATTTTTAGTAGAGACAGGGTTTCACTACGTTGGCCAGGCTGGTCTCAGCCTCCCAAAGTGCTGGGATTCAGGCATGAGCCACTGCACCTGGCCAATTCCTTTCTTATCTATAAGGAACTTTTAAGTCCCTAGCTCACCCTGTTAAACACAGATAGGCTGGTAGAGGGGATCAAGGCCCTTTGGGGTTAAATGAAGCTTACCAGGTGGCGGTTGTTAACGGGAGGGTGCTAAGTGAAAATGCCATATATTCTATGCTTTTTGCAAGTGGTGGTGGTTCTTCCATCCAGCTTGCCGCCACTGAACCACTCTATCTGTAAGTTTCCCACTCATAAAACCCCATGTCTCACTTGTTAGCTCCAAGGTTCTGGCTTCCTGAACCTGACGCTATGCCTCTTGCGATTAATAGGGGTTTGGCACCACAGGATCTACAAGAGGATTGACCTCTCTGCCCCAGCGCCTCTTTGGAGGCAGCCACCAAATAACTCGTGGTGGGGACTGGTCAGTAGCAGAAAAAGGGAAGAAGAAATAACTCACAAAACGGATGTGTCCACAATTGGTTCCTTTCGGTGCGCTCTTGGTCTCGGCGACTTCAAGAAAGAAGCTGCGAGGGTGGACGCCACGGACCGTCGCGGTGAGTGTTACAATTCTTACATTTGGTGTGTCCAGAGTTTGTTCCTTCGGAGTCTGGAGTTTCTTCCTTCCGGTGGGTTCGTACACTCGCTTGATTTCAGGAGTGAAACCACAGACCTTCACCGTGAGTGTAATAGCTTTTAAAGACGGCTGGGACCCAACAGTCAGCAGCAGCAACATTTACTGCAAAGAGCAAAAGAACAAAGCCTACACAGCAGAGAAGAACACCCAACCAAGTTACCGCTGTTTGCGCGGGTGGCCAGCTTTTATACCCTTATTTGTCCCCACCCACATCCTGCTGATTGGTCCATTTTACAGAGAGCTGATTGGTCCATTTTACAGAGAGCTGATTGGTCCATTTTATGGAGAGCTGATTGGTCCATTTTTGCAGAGTGTTGATTGGTGTGTTTACAAACCTTTAGCTAGACACAGAGCGCTGATTGGTGCATTTACAATTCTCTAGCTACGCAGAAAAGTTCTCCAAGTCCCCACCCGACCCAGAAGCCCAGCCGGCTTCACCTTTCAGTGAGACTTGAGACTTTCTGCTAATATGTACAGATGGTATGTGTGCAACTATGTGCAGAAATAAAAGATTGACCACATTTGTATCCCAAGGTGGTGACGGGTGGGGGGGGGATGTGAGACCAGAAACCAGTGCTTTGAAAATCTGATGAAGGCAAGCCCAGGATGAGAGGACTGAGGCTTCATAGCTGGGCATCTGTAGGTTTAATGTGCACTGGAGTCTCCTAAGGAATTTTGTCAAAATGTAGACTCTGGTTTGGTGGGTATGGAGTGCAGCCTGAGATTCTGCATTTCTAATTAGCTCCCAGGGGATGCTGATGCTGCTGACTCTGAACTGTATTTTGAGGAGGAAGGGCTTTGAGCAGGGCCAGCTTTCTGGGCCGGTGACCTGTGCAGTTCTACAGGGCCCCACCCTTAAAAGGGCCCTGTGCTTGGTTTGGTGCTCTGTGGTTGCCATTTTGAAATTCTTAATTTTTTTTAACAAGGAAGCCCGCATTTTCATTTTGCATTAGTCTCTGCAAATGGTATCCAGTCCTAGTTCAGAGTCAAGGTAGGGTTCAAATCTTGGCTCTTCCTTTCAAGAATGCCATGTGCTGGGGAAAGGTCCTTCGCTTCCATGCATCTGATTTCCTTTGGTTTAAATAAGGCTAATGGTGTTGGTGGGAGGCTAGGTGGGATGTGTAAGATCCGGGCTCTGAGGCTGCATGTGATGACAAGCAGCTGCTGATATGACCCGGGCAGATGCTGCTCCCATTAGCAGCCATTCTTGAGCACAATTTGTGTCAATACTACACTATTAGTATTACTATTTTTCACATTTAATTCTTAGTAATCATTTCCTGTTTAATCTCATGTAATTGGTATTAAAGCCTTGTGGTTAGTCTTGTTTTAAGATGATCAGGCGTCATTGGATGCTTAAAGGAAACAGGAGTAACTGTTCAAAGGGAAACTATGTAACCCTGAGGCCAGCCACTTCCTCATAACTGTGTCAGCCACAATTCCTTCTTGATGTTAGTCTCAAATCCTTACCAGGCTGGCTGGCTGCACCATTAGATGTCGTAAATTTCCCCTGAAATCCGCTGCCTGGAGACTGAGCCTTTCTGGCCAGGTAACAGAAAAAGGTTTAGGAAAGAGTTTAGTTTAGGTTTAGGTTTAGGTCAGAAACTAGAAGCTCCGAGGCAAAAAATCAAGGCGTGTGTGAAAAATTAGTTTGGTCCTATGTGAAACGAGAATGAATAAGAATAAAGCATAGGAAGAGTAAATCTGTAAGTGCCGAGAAGTTTCGTCAACAATATCCAGAAGCCACTAATTGGTTAAATCGATGCCTTGCTTTAATTTCACCTGCCTCTTTCTTGGTTCTGGCTTTCCTGGAGCAATGTCTTATGTACTTGTCCTTCCTTAGTGCTCCCTTCCCAAACGTGTACAATGTAGCCATAATGATGCTGTCATCTCAGTTGCTTTAAAAGAAAAAGCAGGCCGGGCGCGGTGGCTCACGTCTGTAATCCCAGCACCTTGGGATGCCGAGGCGGGCAGATCCCGAGGTCAGGAGTTCGAGACTAGCCTGGTCAACATGGTGAAACCCCGTCTCTACTAAAATACAAAAATTAGCTAGGTATGGTGGCGAGCACTGGCGAGCGCCTGTAATCCCAGCTACTGGGGAGGCTGAGGTAGGAGAATGGTTTGAACCTGGGAGGTGGAGGTTGCAGTGAGCCAAGATGGCACCATTGCACTCCAGCCTGGGCGACAGGGCGAGACTCTGTCTCAAAAAAAAAGAAAAAACAAATAAATAAAATAAAAATAGAAAATAAAGCAAATCTGGAGGGTCAACATAGTCACCTGACATTTTAGCACAGTTGTTCTCAATCCTGGCCACATATTACAATCGCCGAGGGCACTTTTAACACATACCAATACCTGGGCTACATCCCCAAAGATTTTCATTCAATTTGTTTGGGGATGGTCCAGGTATTAGCACTTTTTAGAATCCCCTTAGGTGAGTCTAAAGTGCAGCCACGTTTTAAATTGACAAGATTGTTTCAACCTTAGCCAGTAAGCAAGCATCAGAGCCTGGAGGCCAAGAGCACAAATGCTGGACTCACGCTGATTGGGTTCAAATCCTTGGGCTGTCCCTTCCTGGCTGTGTGACCTCTGCAATTTCCTTAGCTTCTCTGTGCCAGTTTCTTCACCTTATGAAACAGGGAAAAGAAGAGTTCCTCCTTCACAGGGCTATGGTGAAAATTAACTGAGGGTTTTTTAAATCTGTAAAGCACTTCAAACAATGTCTGGCACATGATAAGCACCTTGCAAGCTTTTGATAATTAAATGTACTTTACACACAGTAAAACATAATATGTGATTTATAAGGAAGGTGTGCTATTAATGTAAGGTACTTTGCTAATTACTTAGATTAAATGATTTAAAACATTTGTTAGGTTTAACTTTTTTTTTTTAATTCTAATTTTGATGACTTTCTTCAGGCTAGTTTTCCTCCTCCCTCTGGCTCTGGAATTTAGCCTGTGTTACTAAAGCAGAAAAAAAAGGATGTCAGCTTTTCTTTGAGCCTCCTAGCACAGACTTTATTGCTCAGAAGTCTGTCCAATTAGAGCTAATTAGCAAATGTATATTTTTCTTCTGCACAATAGTGTATAGAGAGCCTTCTCATCATTAGCAAGGCTTAAGTCCCAAAGCCTGTGATCCTTGCAGAGAATTCATACGGGTGGAAGTAGCAGGATGATGTTGGACTTGAAATCCGATTCCTGCATCTAGATTGAGCTCTGGGGAAAGTTGATTTAAAAAAAAATCATGTTAGTTACTTCAGTGCAGCAATTCTCAAAGTGTGGTCCTGGGACCAGCAGCCTCAGCATCCCCTGGAAAGTTGTTAGAAATGGATATTTGGGGCCCCACCCCAGACCTACAGAATCAGAAACTTGCAGCTGAGGCACCGCAGTCTGTGTTTGACTCTGATGCTGCCAAAATTTGTAAAACACTCTCTAGAAGCTTTTCTTCAATTTTAAAATTATGCAGTTCTGTTTTTGCAGTAGATTAAAATGAGAAACTCCCTACAGCAATTCCCACCAAATTCATATCTTAAACCTTTAAAAATATATTTTAAAACCCCACAGCTGTGGTATAAACCAGAACAACTGTAATTTTAATTAAAAGTATTAGTTAGGACCAGCCGCGGTGGCTCACACCTCTAATCCCAGCACTTTGGGAAGCTGAGGAGGGTGGATCACAGTGTCAGGAGTTCGAGATCAGCCTGGCCAACATAGTGAAACCCCATCTCTACTAAAAATACAAAAATTTAGTCTGGCGTGGTGGCGGGCGCCTGTAATCCCAGCTACTCGGGAGGCTGAGGCAGAAGTATTGTTTGAACCCGGGAGGCAGAGGTTGCAGTGAGCCAAGATCGCGCCACTGTACTCCAGCCTGGCGACAGAGCAAGACTCCGTCTGGTGACAGAACAAGACTCCGGTTCAAACAAACAAAAAAAAGTATTAGCTAATGATTCATTTGGTTGACATGTTTTAGAAACAGCTAGTTAATTTATTGTCAATGCCTCTCTAAATTCTGTCCAAGGGCCTTAGCTGTATATTTATAACATAGCAACATTTATTTCCTATTATGAAGTTCTGTGTTTTATTTACTTCCTCCACTTTTAGCTATTTTTACCATTTTTGAGGGATTATGCTTTATCAACATAATGTTTTTATGGATTTGTTTCCATTATGGTCAGATTAAGACTTTTAGAATAATCTGTCATAACTTTACCGATGTGATTGACACTTGGAAACAGTTGATAACTAAAACAAACAATAGTATGAGATGTATTTGCTTGGTATGAGATGTGCAGTGACATATCTTTTAATATTTTTTGCCTGAAAAATATCTATTTTCCTAGCAAATTAAAATAAGTAATCATAAAAATGATAAACAATGCACAGTGTGTTTAGACAAATAAAGACAAATCTCAGGGCAAATGTCCAAAAGTAATAACTATTAAACTGTGTTCTTAGTTTTACAATTTTAGTACTCACTGCAGTGTTTTGGTATGATGCGTTAGTTTCCTCTTAAAGAAAATTAAAGAAAATATTTCTACTAATATCTTAATGAATTCTAAAATTTAAATAAAAGTGACCATTCTTTTAAAAAACATATTAGTTAATATATTTTATACAAATATCCAAATTGACATAAGTTAAAATTGTTGAGTTTTGTGGCTTGTATCAATGGATCTCTTTACAATTTCTCAATATATACTATAAACACGAGTCTAGTCATTTAAATATGAGGGATGCCTTCCACATATCAAGAAACTGACCTCTTTAGAGGTTCAGGGAAGAATTATATGCATAAAACTTTAGTTTCATTGTTTCTAAAGGATTCTGTGAATTTTGGCAAAACCATACAGCTCTTCAGTTGGTATTACTCTGTGATGAATGATCCTACTTTCTATTTGTGTAATGTTTTATAGTTTTCAAAACTCTTTCATGTGGATCCACTGAGCGATCCTGGAAGATAAGCAGGACAGATATTACAATTGCTTTCTCCCATTGAGAAAACTGAGATGAAAACACTGACTCCCTTTTTCAGAGCTGGACTGCAGGTGGGAGCTTGGGACTCAGAGAGGGTTTTCTGCTTCCCACAATTCTTATTACACCAAGACATTCCATCTAAGCCAGAAGCAGCTCCTTAATGCTTCATGAAACGTAATTTCACAGGACAGGTGGCAGTGACTCCATTGCAAAAGTGTATCCATTCATTGAGAGCCAGGAGTAAGAAATAGAAATGCTTTTGAGATTGCTGTAAGCTTCAGATACTAAATAGCTGCTTCTGCATAACCCATCATTCCCACGCATGAACATTAAACAAATGGTCTTTGACCGACAAAGATTACTAAAGAAAATGGAACCTCATGAACTTTTTATAGGTCTCAGATATGGTTTTTCAAGTATTCAGAATGTTTTCTGGCTTTTCTTGGGACTTATGGGAGAGGATGAAAAGACTCTGGACAAACAGAGGTACTGGGGATCGATCAAGGTGGTGATTCAAGTAGGGACTGGGGGTCCTGAGGAGAGTAAGTTCTCTTTCATATACCCAGAATCTGTAGAAACCTGGTAGAACAAATTGATAACGTACAGGATTAGAATAGAAGTTCATAATCAGTGTGTGGAGGCATCTGCATTAGGCATTTCCCCCAAATGTTCAACTGCTACATTTTAGAGATAGACAGTGAACCATCATGATGAAGAACCCAAGATTGGAGTCAGGCTGCCTGGGTGCAAAACCTGTCTCTAACACCTGCTTGCTGGGTGTCTTACCCAAATTATTCTCTCTGGGTCTCTGAGTCTTCATATTTAACATGGGAACAAGAACCAGGGCGGTGCTGAAGCCAGCCTTCACCTGCCTGTGACAGCCAGCGGTACATATCTTTTTCCCAACTCTGTGTTCAGCGATGTAATGTTGGCAGCTTGAAATTGGCCATGGTGGGAGTATTTACACCATTAAAATTGGCAAAAGCTGCAAGGCAGGGCTTTTTTCTCTTTACATATTTCTATATAAATATATATGAAGAGCTGGTTGTTAAACATTTAGCAGCACTGAGAATATCCCTCCACAATTGTTGACAGCATTCATTGAAATACCACAGACTGGCATAGTGGCTGGGACATGACAGGAGTCCAATCAAGGGGAGGTGTTAATTTTAATAATAGAATAAACAGTCACAATAATAAGACTTAGGGTCAGGCCCTAGCTCCATTTTTGAGTTTGGGCAAGTTGACTTTCCCTCTTTTTACTTACTTGGACTCCACCTTTTTCCAGAGGGAGGTGAGATAACAATTCCCTACGCTTCTCTTTCTCCAGAATCCCTTTTTATCTCCCTGGATGTCCTGACATTTTTCCCTATGATACTTTTAGCAAGAGCATCCAAGAAAGCACAGTCAAAATTTCAAAAAGAAATTATATACTTGGCCTATTTGGACCTAGTACCATAGTTTCTGGTTTTGTCTTTTGAACCGGTGGGTTCGCATTAAGGCAAAGCTCACCAGACACCTGGGAAATTCTCAAAGGACATATCCCGGAGTTTGCTCTCATTTCGATTTAAATGACTCCTGTTTCCAAATGGCTAAGATAAACTCAAAGTAAAAGAGATGAGAAGCTCTTTCTCTCCAAGTAGGTAACAGAAGTTCATAGACTGCCCAGAAAATCCTCAGGAGCCACATTATGAACTATAGAGCCCTGAAATGCACCCCCTCCCACATGTCTAGAAGTTAAAGAGGACATCCTGACATGTCAGAGCTGCAAGAGACTTTAAGAGTGATCTTATACAATCCTCTCCTTTAACAGAAGAGGAAAGGGATGTCTGAGACTTTATGAAACCTGCCCAAAGGCGCACAGCTGGCTGGAGGCTCCAGCAGAAGGAAGCCTTGGGTCTCTTTCCGGTCACAATGGTGTGGAGGTTGCTGATCCATTTTTCAAACTCAAGAGTATCGACATCAAAGCAAATTCTATGTGACCTCAGGGGTTATCTTTTGTAAACATCTACTAATTGGTTTTGCCAACCTGAGACCTTTATGGTCTTTCCATCTAATTTCCCTTGTTCACTGCATTTCTTCCTCTATAAAAATATCCATCTTTCCTCCCTGTCACATAGATGCACTCTCATGGCACCTCCTTTCAGCTCCTCCCTCCATTGAGCATATAAAGCTGTCAGCTCCACCAGTGACAAGAACCAGGCGGACTGCTCTTCCTTTGTCTCTTCCAAATGGGGGAATCGGAATCATGTGGGTGTCCCGCAGGCTGGCTCTCTCTGGAAGCTGATAAACCAGAGAGGACTGGGTGCTGAATCTACTAGTCTTGATGTAGTCAGGGTACCTACCATAAAGGAAGTCCCCAGACTCACGCCTTCCACCTGTGCTTATATCTAAGTCCGTGCTCTAGAAGGCAACTGGTGACAAGTTCTCTTTCCCTCTAAATTAAGGTAACCTTCTAGCAATTTTTGTAATAAGTTGAGGCAGTAGTTTTCCATTCTGGAATGATTTTATGTCCATATAAAGCTACTCAGCTTTCAAAAAGTCAATGTTGGGCTAAAATGGTCTCCCTATTAGTATGAGTTGATTTGTTTTTCTTTGGATCAGTAAGCGCTAATTTTTAAAAATTTAAAGCAGTACGTGCAGGAATGATGTTTTATGAGAAGACTGAATGATTGTGTGTGACATTTTTTCTGTAATAGAGAAGGGATAAAAATAACCAACTACACCTCTTTGTCCCTTCTGAATATTCTAATGCGATTACAAATATACTCAAAGCCAGTGGTCCTCCAACTTGAGCATGTATCAGACTCACAGGGCAGGCTTATTAACACTCAGATTTGCGGGGTCCCAACCCCCAGAATTTCTGATGAGCAGATCTGAGTTGGAGCCTAAGAATCTAAATTTCTGACAAGTTCCCAGGTGGTGCTGATGCTGATGCTGCTGGTCTAGGGACCGCATTTGGAGAAGCACTGTTCTAAAATGTAGGGGCCAATTTTCTTCTTGGTGCAGATGGGCCTTCCCAGGTATTGAATCCCTGCACTTGGCCTTTTTGAGCAATAAGCTTACATGACTGAGCTAATTAGTCCATATGCAGGACACAGCGCAGCTGCACTTAATTTCAAAGCAGGCAGTGTGCTTCTGTTAGACAAGGGCTGTGGCTGTGAGTGAATTTTAGAGAGCAATTCACAGCCCAGCTTTGGCCTGAGGACAGGCAGCATGATCCGTCAGGGTCACATTCATGGGTCAGAGAAGAGCTTTCATCTGTGAGGAGTCCATGGCAAGAGCAACTATATTTATTGCACATCATTTAGTTTCTACTTAAAGAAGTGTCCCTCAAGGAGGAGAAAGCTGGCTCTGAACTTGCCAGGAAATGCGTGCTACTTAAAAATACAGCATGGAAGAATATAAATCAGTGCTACTTAAATCATAGGTAACACAGTGGAAAATTTGTGGTTTTCAGAATAAAAAATCTAGAGTTTATACATGAGTTCCAACACTTACCAGCCTGTAGCTCAAAGGAGTTATGTTATCCCTTTAAGTTTCATTGTGTAAAAAGGTGAAACCCATACTCAATCAAGAGTTGATGGGAAGGTTAACAATTAAGCAGATTTAAAGTTCACACTGAAGGGGTAGAGCTGATACTAACCTCTAGAGACCTACCATGCCAGCTATGATCATCAGCAGGAAACAAAGTGGTAGTAGGTGTGCAGCCTCACATAAATCTCAGTCTTTCTGCTCTGATTTAGGCCTTTTTGGTTCTGGTAAGCCATGGAGGCCTGCCCATGCAACATGCACCTTGCACAAGTGGATTGTGAGGAAAATGACACATCACATACCCTGAAATACCTTTATAGTCCAATTACAAGCACACCCTCTCTTGAAAAAGATAAATCAACACACACACACACACACCCCAAAACAAAACTAAAAATGCTAGCATTATTCCTTTCTACAACTTCCTCCATGTTTCCTTCAATAACTCAGTATTTGCTAATCATCTATTTCCTTTTCCTGACAATTGGGCCAGACCCCCAACTTCATCAGCACAACTTTTCACAATCTCTCAGTCAACTCAGTCCTTGTAAAGTTAATTCTTACACTGATAAATGGTAAGCATTAAATAGTAATTTTAATTTTTATTATGAGAACATAATAAAGCACACTACGACAATCGTCTTGCTCCTCTTCTCTAGGGGACTTCTCTAAAACAGTTCTGTAGAGTACAAGGATTTTACCTTCTCAAACATGTGGAAAGAATGGGGACCTAGCAATAACACCACTCTTAAGTATTAGCTGAAAATGTTGTGGTATTAAGTATACTGAGAGAATAAGTGTCAGAGGCCCCAGAACTAGAGGACAGAGCACAGAATTATTTCTTGCTGAAAATGTCAAGATTGAGGAGTACAAGATGAATAGAGGATGTGTTAGTCCATTTTTGTGTTGCTGTGAAGAAATACCTGCAGCTGGGTAATTTATAAAGAAAAGAGTTTTATTTGGCGCATGGTTCTGCAGGCTGTACAAGCATGGTGCCAGCATCTGCTTGGCTTCTGGTGAGGCCTCAGGAAGCTTTAACTCATGGCAGAAAGTGAAGGGAGAGCAGGTGCATCGCATGACAAGAGAGGGAGCAAAAGAGAGAGCAGGGGTGCCAGACTCTTTAAACAACCAGCTCTCAGGTGAACTAAAAGAGTGAAAACTCATTCATTACCATGAGGAGGACACCAAGGAATTCATGAAGGATCTGGCCCATGCCCCAAACCCCTCCCACCAGGCTCCACCTCCAACATTGGGGATTACATTTCAACAGGTAATTTGGAGGGGACAAGTATCCAAACCATATTATAGGCCTCCTTGAATCCTCTCTGCTACTGTGAAGCAGAACAGTCTCTTCATAACAATAGAAAGCTTCCCCATAGCTATTAAGTTTGATCAATTAAAGAAAAGTAAAGGACAAGTCTTCTGAGACATAGAGCTTCATGGAAAGCCAGGGAGAGAGCCTACAAACATGAAGCATGCATCTCCTTGGAACAAAATGAAATCTGCATTAGTTATTTGTTGCTGCATAATTAATTATCCATGAATTTAGCAGATTAAGACAATAAACACTTACTATGTCACATCATTTCTGAGGGTCAGGAATCTAAAACAGCTTTGCTGGAGGGGTTTGGATCATGATCTGTCGTAAAGTGCAGTCAAACCTTTGACAGGACCTCCTGTAGGCAGTAGGCCTTAGTTCTTTGCTTGTGGTTGGCACAGGCCTCAATTCCTTGCAATGTGGTCCTCTCCATTTAGCTGCTTGGTTTTCCTCATGTGATATGAATTCTCCAAGAGCAAGTAATCCAAGACAACAAAACAGAAGATGCAAAGCTTTTGCCTTAGAAGTCACACTGTCTTTTCTGCAATTTTCCATTGGTTCTATATGTCAATCCTATTTAACTATTCAGTGCAAGAGGGCACTACACAGTGACATGAATGCCAGGTGGTGAGAATGCCAGGAGGTGAGAATGAGTGAGGGCCATTTTGGAGGCTGGCAGTTACAGTTAGGAGAATTATTTATGAGAAAAGAGAGCAAAAATTAAACAGCCTGTTAAAACAGCTTATTCTCTGGCTCAAATGCTTTCACAAATAATGGCCACAAAGAACTAGATCTGTACATATATAAGTAAACACTAAAATTTGCCAGCCAACAGATATGCTGTGATACTGTGTATGTATAATTGGTATCCCAAAAGGGACAGAGAAAGTGGCAAAATAAATATTTGAAGAGATGACAGATTTTCTAAAATAAATGAAAGAAATAAGAGAATTTCTAAAATAAATGAAAGCAAATTATAGGTCCAAAAACTATCAAAAAAAATCTAGCACAAAGAAAAACATAGCCCGATACATAATAGTCGAACTTTTGAAAGCTGATGATGGAAAGAAAATCTTGTAGGCAGAGGAAGTGGAGCAGAATACAAAGGAATGAAGATGAAAATTCCAGCAGACTTCTCATCAAAGTATGGAAACAAGATGACAAAGTAGAAACATCTTTACCAAAAGAAAATAAAACAGCAACATCAATTCAAAATGCTATACCTAGCAGAAACACCATTCAAAAATTAAGATGAAATAAAGATCTTTTTCCAAACGAAAGCTAAGATAATTTGTTATATAACAAGACATGGTAAGGAAAGTTCTTCAGGTAAAAGGAAGTATGATAGATGAAAATTTGGATCTTCATAAGGAAATGAAAGTTGAAAATGTAAAAATAAAGGCCACTATAACAAACATTTTCATTTTTAATCACTTTAAATGATAACTGTGTAAAACAAAAAATAATAAAATGTAGTTTTCGATTACAATTTAACAAAAATTGAAATGAACAATAACAAAGGTAAGCAATGTTTCATGTATTTGGAGCCTTAAAAGTACCCTTATAAATAATTCAAGAGTCAAAGAAGAAATCTTTAAAAAAATAAAATTAGAGAATGTGTTTAGCTCTGAATGACAATGATGACACTATGTATTTAAGCCTGAGAAATACAGCTAAAATGGTACTTTACAGGGAAACAGCTTTCAATGCATAGAAGATATTATTGAAAGTTGATGAGCAAAGCATGTAACTCAAGCCTCCAAATTAAAATAAAAAACAAAAACCAGACTACATCCAAAAAGCAGGGGAAATAAAATAGTAAAAATAGAATAAATTAATATAATAGATGATAGACAAAAAACAATGAAGAGTGTCAATAAAAACAAAAGGATGAAAAAATACATTTCCAGAAAAATTGTTCTGTAAAGGTGAATGCATTACTGTAACTTTGTAATATACATTGATGTCAGGAAGTGTGATGCCTCCAGCTTTGTTCCTTTTCTTCAAAATTGCTGTAGTCTGTGGAGCTCTTTCGTGATTCCATATTAATTTTAGAGTTTAAAAAAAATGCCCGTCAATATCTTGGGGATTATGATCAGGATTATGTTGCATTTATAGCAATGAATTTGTAGATGGTTTTTGGTAGTGGATATTTAACAATATTAATTCTTCCAATCCGTAAATAGACCACGGGATGTCTTTCTATTTATTTCTATTGCATTGGATTTCTTCAGCATTTTATAGTTTTTGGTGAACAAGTGTTTCACCTCCTTAGCTAGGTTTATTCCTAAGTATTTTATTAATTTTGGTGCTATTTGTAAATGGTATTGTTTTCTTAATTTCCTTTCAGGATAGTTCATTTTTAGTATATAGAAATGCAACTAATCTTTGTAGGTTGATTTTGCACCCTACAAATTTTCTGAATTTTTTCTAACAGTGTTTTTGTGGCTTTTTTTTTTAGGGTTTTACATATAATATGTCATCTACAATGAGATGTAATTTTACTTAATTTGTTGAGAGTTTTTATTGTGAAAGAATATTGAATTTTGTCAAATGCTTCTGCATCTATTGAGACAATTGTGATTTTTGTCCTTCCATTAATGTGATATAGCAGCATTGATTGATTTGTGTGTATTGAACAATCCTTGCATCCCAAAGATAAATCTCAGTATGCTACTAGCATAAAAATAGACATATAGACCAATGAAACAGGATAGCTATCCCAGAAACAAACCCATGCATATATAGTCAACTGATCTTCAACAAGGATGTCAAGAAGGTACAATATGGAAATGATAACCTCTTCAACAACTAGTGTTGAGAAAACTGGATATCCTCTCCCCTCACCCTCAAAATGAAATTGGACCCTTATCTTTTACTATGCCCCCAAATCAACTCAAAATATATTAAACATTTCAATTTAAAATCTGCAACCATAAGACTCCTAGAAGAAAACATAGGGGAAATGCTTCTTGGCATCGGTCTCAGCAATAATTTCTTAGATATGACACCAAAAGCACAGGTCATTCTCTCACATGGCCAGTAAATTGTGACCAGTTTGGAGACCAATTTGGCAGCATATATAAATTTAAAATGGGCACCCTTGCTGACCCAGCAATTCTACTTCTCATAATTTAGCATGCACATATTAGGATGTTCAGTGCCACGTTGCTTTTCTTAGCAAAACGTAGGAGACCATCTGTGGGTCCATTATTAAGGCACTCAGCAAATAAATTGTTATACCTCTATATGGCCATGCAAAAAAAAAGAGGTTAATATTTACGAACTGATATCTTTGAAGTTCTTCAAATATTTAAGCAAAATAATCAAGGTGTAGTACAGCATATACACTATATTCCTGTTTGTATAAACATGGGTGATGATATGGGTATTAGTACTAAAAGCAATAACATATATTCATATAGTAAGCTGATAACGCATGTAGGTTTGACTGTCAATAGATGGTAACATGTATTTATTCTACTGTCTGAAAAAATATTTCTGGAAGGCTAAGTTGGTTGCAGCAGTAGTTATTTCTGAGGAACGGGACTAAGGAAATCTATAAACAAGACAGACTTGCTTCCCGTTCTATATACTTTGTGCTCTGGAAGTTTTTTCTAAATGCGATGTTAATTTTTAATTGAAAGCAGTTAATCAAAGAACCCATATGGAATAATGAGTCATTGAGATTTTTGAAAATTGAGAATGAATCATAAACCTCCCAAAGGCAGATATTATCTGTTATTAAAATGTTCTTTACATGTCCTCCTCTGTCTAGGAACTATAACTGCTCCTGTTATCTACACATAGAAATTAGTTTATGCAACATGATCTCAACTAGCAAAGCAATGCATACATGCACACACATATACAGTCACACTTGGCCAAAAAAAAAAAGACTGCATAAACATATAAAAAATGTTAGGTGCTTATCTATCTTTTCCTATCTTTTTTTTGAGACGGAGTCTTGCTGTGTCACCAGGCTGGAGTGCAGTGGTGCCATCTCGGCTCACTGCAACCTCTGCCTCCCAGGTTCAAGCGATTCTCCTGCCTCAGCCTCCTGAGTAGCTGGGATTACAGGTGCCCGCCACCACGCCTGGCTAATTTTTGTATTTTTAGTAGAGATGGGGTTTCACCATGTTGGTCAGGCTGGTCTCGGGCTCCTGACCTCGTGATCCATCCACCTGGGCCTCCCAAAGGACGGCTCCTCAGCAGGGATGTGAGGTGGATGAGAGAAAGCAAGAAAATGTAACCATTTCAAACCAAAGTGAAGCCCAGGACCAGCGAGATGCACAGCCGAATTCTACCATATGTATAAAGAATAGCTGGTACCATTCTGACTGAAACTATTCCAAAAAATGGAGGAGGAGAGACTACTTCCTAACGCATTCTGTGAGGCCAACATCATTCTGATACCAAAACCTGGCAGGGACACAACAACAACAACAAAAACTTCAGGCCAATATCCTTAATGAACACAACACAACATTCTTCAAGAAAATATTAGCAAACTGAGTCCAGCAGCACAGCAAGAAACTAATCTATCACAATCAAGTCGGCTTTATCTCTGGGATGCAAATTTGGTTCAACACACACGATTCAATAAATGTGATTCATCACATCAACAGAACTAAAAACGAAAACCACACAATCATCTCAATAGATGCACGAAAAAAAGGCTTTTAATAAAAGTCAACATCCCTTCATGTTAAAAACCTTCAAAAAATTAGATATGAAAGAAATGTACCTCAAAATAATAAGAGCCATCGATACAAACCCCCAGCCAACATACTGAATGGGCAAAAGCTGAAAGCATTCCCCTTGAGAACCAGAACAAGACAAGGATGCCCTCTCTCTCCACTCCTGTTCAACATAGTACTGAAAGTCCTAGCCAGAGTGCTCAGGCAAGAGAAAGAAATGAAAGGCATCCAAATAGGAAGAGAGGAAGTCATTTTATCTCTGTTTGCAGATGATGTGATTGTATACCTGGAAAATCCCATAGTCTCTACCCAAAAGCTCCCTTATCTGAAAAACAAAGTTTCAGGATACAAAATCAATGCACCAAGGTGAGTAGCAGTCCTCTACACCAAAAACATTCAAGCTGAGAGCCAAATCAAGAATGAATACCATTCACAATAGCTACAAAAAGAATAAATACCAGCTGAGCATGGTGACTCACACCTGTAATCCCAGCACTTTGGGAGGCTAAGGCAGGCGGGTCACTTGAGGTCAGGAGTCCAAGACCACCTGGCCAACATGGGGAAACCCTGTCTCTACTAAAAATGCAAATATTAGCCAGGCCTAGTGGTGTGTGCCTGTAATCCCAGCTACTCAGGATGCTGAAGCACGAGAATTGCTTGAACCCAGGAGGTGGAGTTTGCAGTGAGCCAAGATTGTGCCACTGAACTTAAGTGTGGGCCACAGAGCAAGACTCTGCCTCAAACATTCAAACAAACAAACAAAGAAAATAAAAGAATAAATACTTAGGAAGAAAACTAACCAGGGTTTAGATTAATATGGAACCAAAAAAGACCCTGAATAGCCAAGGTAATCTTAAGTAAAAAGAACATATTAATAGTTGGAGGTATCATGATAACTGACTTCAAACTATGCTGCAAGTCTACAGTAACCAAAACAGCATGGTACTGGTACGAAAACAAACACATGGACCAATGGAATAGAATAGAGTCCAGAAATAAGGTGGTATACCTCCAACCACCTGACCCATGACAAAACTGACAAAAACAAGCAATAGGAAAAGGACTCCCTATTCAATAAATGGTGCTGGGATAACTGGCTAGTCATATGCAGAAGACTGAAACTGGAGCCCTTCCTTACACCATGTACAAAAATCAACTCAAGATGGATTAAAGACTGAAATGTAAAACCTAAAACTATAAAAACGCTGGAAGATAACATAGGAAATACTATTCTGCACATAGGCCCTAGCAAAGATTTAACGACAAAGATGCCAAAAGCAATTGCAGCAAAAACAAAAATTGACAAATGGGATTTAATTAAAGAGCTTCTGCACAGCAAAAAGAAACTTTCTGCAGAGTAAACAGACAGCCTACATACAGAATGAGAGAAAATATTTGCCAACTATGCTTCTAATATCCAGCATCTATAAGGAACTTAAAAAAATTTACAAACAAAAAACAACCCCATTAAAAAGTGAGCCAAAGGACATGAACAGATGCTTTTCAAAAGAAGATATACATGCAGCCAACAAGCATATAAAAAAATGCTCAACATGAGTAATCATTATAGAAATGCAAAACCACAATGAGATACCATCTCACACCAGTCAGAATGGCTGTGATTAAAAAGTCAAAAAATAACAGATGCTGGTGAGGTTGCAGAGAAGAGGCAACACTTATACACTGCTGGTAGGAGTGTAAATTAATTCTGCCGTTGTGGAAAGCAGTGTGGTAATTTCTCAAATAATTTAAAGCAGAAGTACCATTTGACCCAGCAATCCCATTACTGGGTATATACTGAAAGGAATATACATTGTTCTATCATAAAGACACAAGCATTTGTATGTTCATAGCAGCACTATTCACAATAGCAACGTCATGGATTCAACCTAAATGCCCATCACTGGTAGACTGGATAAAAAAAAAGTGGTACATATACACCATGGAATACTACACAGCCATAAAACAGAACAAGATCGTGTCCTTCACAGCAACATGGATGGAGCTGGAGACCATAATTTTTTTTTTTTTGAGACAGAGTCTCACTCTATTACCCAGGCTGGAGTGCAGTGCAGTGGCATGATCTTGACTCACTGCAACCTCTGCCTCCCGGGTTCAAGTGATTATCCTGCCTCAGCCTCCTGAGTAGCTGGGATTACAGGCACGCACCACCACGCCTGGCTAATTTTTGTATTTTTAGTAGAGACGGGGTTTCATCATGTTGGTCAGGCTGGTCTCGAATGCCTGACCTTGTGATCCACCTGCCTCGGCCTCCCAATAATTCTAAACAAATTAACACGGGAACAGAAAACCAAATACCTCATGTTCTCACTTATAAGTGGAAGCTAAACATTGATCACACATGGACACAAAGAAGGGAACAACAGACACCAGGCCTACTTGAGAGTGGAAGGTGGAAGGATGAAATACTCTGTACACCAAAACCCTGTGGCATGCAATTTACCTTATATAACAAACCTGCACAAAATCAAACAAACCCGTGACCTAAAACTGAACAAACAAAACAAAACAGAACAGTCCTGGTTTTACATTTATGAGAGCGAGAACACCATAGTTAGATAAAACACAATCCAAGAAGAGTTAAAGCATTGTAAAAGAAGGTGCTAATGTGTATTTACGTGCATGTATTCCTTTAACCTTTGTTTAGTAGCATGCCTATACATTTACATTATGATTAAAGTACTTAACAATAATCGGTCTTTTGTGGAAAGTGCGTGCTAGCACAACATCACTGCAAGTTTTTTCAGAGACACATTAACATTTGTTGATTTTTTTTCCCAACTTTCTTGACTCACTTGGCAGCCACATGAATATTGCATCCTAATGAGGATAGAGAAGGAATGAGACGTAGACAAAAAAGAGGTGCTAGAAGGCATTTAAAATTTTATAGAGATATGAGTATTAGATTGACATCTTCAGGAAAAAATGGAAAGTAATATATTTATTTCTAAAAAAGAGTAACATAACAAGCACAAATACACCAAATACTCAAATTTAACAAGTGTCAACATTTTGTCACATTTGTTTCATGTTATTACTTTTAAGAAATAAAATGTTATAAAGTTGAGGTCACCGTTGTACTTCTCTCCTGTATCATTTCCCATCCCTCCTTCACCAGAATGCCATTCTTCTTCTCGTGTATGTAAATCTCCACAAACAATAGATTCTACTGTTGTGTATAAATTTAAAATAGGTGCAAGAACGCCGTCTTGTATATATCCTCCCACAAATTGGTTTCTTTGTTCCACGCTATACAGGATTTGATCTGCTTGCTACATCAAGGTCTGGTTCATTCATTTCAACCGCTTTAAAGTGTTCTGTGGATATAGCACAATTTATCAAATCTTCCATTGATGCATATTTAGGTCTTTTCACCTTTTTTTTTGCTTTAACAGGCAACACTGCCATGAATATTCTTTTATCTCCACGTGAATCTGCTCTAGAGTTTTTTAGTACAATTACTGAGTCTCAGGGATTAGGCAGCTTTAGTCTTAATAGATGTTGCCAAATTGTTCTTCAAATAGTTTTATACATTTATGTACTTCAATTAGCAAGACATTAGAGTTTACGTTTTCCCATATTCTTGTCCATTTAGAATTTCCAATTTTTAATTTTTGTCATTCTTTTGAGTGTGAAACGTTACATCACCTTTGTTTGTTTTCATTTCCATTCTCCTGCATGAAAGCAACATTATTATCTGATTCATATGTTTATTTGTCAATAGGTTTCCTCTTCTATTAAATGTCTATTTTTTAGATTGTTTCTATTTTTATTAATTTGTAGAATTAAAAAATATATTTCCTGGACACTATATCTTTGTCAGCCATGTAGGTTGAACTATTGGGTTTACTATTATTATACAAATTTTAATATTATTATAATATTTTGGGTCCCCTGAATTTGTAATATCCCTATTTCCATTATATGACTTTTTTCCTCTAAAGCATGCTTAGAAGCCTAAATGAAGCTGGCAAATGTGATAGTAAGTCGGAGTGGTAATAATAATAGCAGCTATAGTATCCATGATGTCGTTACATGCTCTTAAAAGGCAGAAACTCATTTAATCCTAATAGTTCTATGAGATAGGCAATCTATAAACAATATAAATTAGCCCAATCTGTAAACACCATAAATTTGTTCACATTATATTTTTTGCCCATTATCTTATGAAAAGATTTTAATTTACATTGAATCAAACATAAAAATGTATCCTTTCATGGTGTGTGTTATTTTTCACTGTTAAGAAATCCTTGCCCTATCTGAAGTCATAATGATATTCTCTTGCATTTCTTTCTAAAAGTTGTATAGTTTAGATTTTCATATTTTGCTTATCTATTCAATTGTAATTTAACTTTTTGGATGGTGTGGAGTAGAGAACTAATTTCATTTTCTTCTTTAGAAATAGCCTTTTTTGGGTGTGCTGCTTATTGAATAGTTTATTGTTTCCTCAGCAATTTGCTGTACCACCTCCACCTTTTATCACATTTCATGTGTGGGTTTGTCTGTTTTGGAGATCTCTATTGTAACCCACTGTTTTATCTATTCCTAAGTTATTACCATACTTTATTAATATGGTTTTATGATAAATCTCAATAAATGAAAAGGCAAGTCCTCTCCCCCACATTTTCTAAATGCTTTACTGGTTGTGTTTCTTTATTCTTTCATACAAATCTTAGCTTCTTAATTTTAGTGAAAGACTATATTTGAAATTTGATTTGAATTGCATTGAATTGATGGGTTAATTTGGAGGGTTAGTCACCACGCACGTACACTTCGAAATCTATACCCATTTTGATCTATTCACTTAACAATGTTTACCGAGAACTTACCATATACCAGGCCTGGTTCTAGGCATTAGCTATACAGAAGTAAAAACATAAAATGTACCTACATCCTGCCTTTGTGAAACATAAATAAATGACTAAATGAGTGTGAAAATGAGTAAGCTTACATGAGTAAGCTATGAGTGTGAAAATGAGTAAGTGATATGGAGAAATACAGCAAGGAAGAGGGATAGAGAGTGGCAGAAGCAGGGAGAGATACGAGTTTAATGACGCCTGTTTATTTGACAAGGTTCAATCAAGCAAACAAAAGCCATTCAACCTGTTTCAATAAAGAAGATTTATCTACCAAATCCTGATAGCAGTGCTGAGGAGGCATATATGAGACTATGAGGCAATCCAAAAATTAGCACCAGTTGGAAGCTACTACCCCCATTAAGGAAATCCACACAATGCACCCAGAACCCACTTCTGTCAGTTCAGTGGCACGAGGAGGCCCAAATCGTCTCAGCTGCTAATCTGATGGGGGCCTTTCTCTGTCACCAATGGAAGCAGTCCTCCATTATGAAATCAGAACTTTAGACTGGAAGAGTCCACAGGAATCAAAAGTACAGTACCTGTGGGTGGGTTACTAAGTGTAATCATGACTTCAACCTTTTGGTTCCTGGACTCATTATTTTGGCTGTTGGAAAAATGGCACCATGTATTGATTGCTGTTTCAAATTGTATGCCACAAAACTGTGGAGGCAGTAAAAAGATCCGTGGTTGCCAGGGAGTGTAGGGAGTGAGGGATGAAGAGGCAGAGCAGAGAGGACGTTTAGAGCAGTGAAAATACTTGATGACACTATTATGGCGGGTATATGTTATCATACATTTGTTTAAACCCACAGAATGTACAACACCAAGAGTGAACCACATGTAAATTACGGACTTTGGGTGATAACGATGGGTGAATGTAGGATTATTGATTGTAATAAATGCATCCTCTGCTGGGGGATGTTGGAAATGGGAAAATAAGGAGTATATGTAAAATCTGTATCTTGTCTTCAATTTTCCTGTGAAACTAAAACTACTCTAAAAAATAAAGTCTTAAAAATTTAAAAAATCATAGTAAACGTATGATACATCTTGCAGGGCAGTGCTCCGGTGTCTCAGGAGACTGGAGACTGTTGTTGTTTAATAGCTGGCACCATAATAGAGAGTCTCAATTAGGATCTCACCAGGGGACAAATGATTCAATCATTTGACCAGGGCAAGTTGGCTACAAAGAATTATTAACTATGACGCGGAGTTGGAGGAATGAGGGATTGTCTGGAAGGAGGTGATGAGAACTCTAAATAGGAATAGAACATATAAGGAATATCCTCTACCCCTAGGGATGAGATAGAGCAACCAAGGACAAGACCCGCATCTACCCTAGAGCTTAGCCTCAGATCACATTGGGGAAGGAAAGACCGTGGCTCCCTGAATGGCAGAGAAGAGTTTGTAGTGCTGCGCCGGCAGAACTTGCTGGAAACCTCCTCTCCAGAATTTGCCAGATATCCTCTTTCTAAGACAGCAGGGGGCGCTTTTCAAGGGGCAGGTCGAGGGAAGTTGCTGGCCCCGCGGCTGCTGCTGTGCATGGCAGGGAACCTGGTTCCCGGGCTGCCGCTCACACTGTTCAAGTCGAGCACTGGGAGCTGCATGCACTGCTAAGAGAAGACGCTAGAACCGACAAAGACCCTTCTTCCTGCACTGTCTCCCCAGTACACTCCATTGACAAGCCAGCTACCAAAGGAAAAAGAAAAGCGGGTACCTTTCAAAATAGCTAGAAAAAAATAATTCGAATGTTCCTAGCATAAAGAAAAGATGAATATTTAAGGTGATGGATATCTCAATTACTCTGATTTGATTTTTACACATCACATGAATGTATCAAATTAACACATGTACCCCCAAAATATGCACATCTATTATGTATCAACAAAAAAAATCAACAAAAAAGAAAGCAGGGAATGAAGAGTAAATTTGGAGAGGAGAGGCAACACCTTTGTAACTGGAACAGAGAGTATCCTGCAAGCAGTTCTAAATGGATGCGGCCAGCTGCTTCCGGGTGATGGTGAGCATAAGAAGAACCCTTTTCTGCACTCCTCTCTCAGTGGAATGTGTTCCTTGGGCAGAAGCATTTGAGGGTTAGAGTGGAAGGACAGAACACCATGACGGGTGAGACACTTCATCCCAAGCAAGCGCAGATAACACATTTAAATAATTGTGACTCTACCATATGCTATGGGACATTCATAGTTCCCCACAATTCTGCAAGGAAACCACCACACTCAAAGACGTGAGCGCTGCATCCTGAATATCTGATTTATTGGGGCCAATTCTGGTACCAATAACTGTAGTAGTATCCAACTGTGCTAGTATCCAACCAGGAAGGTGGGAACCACTCTGAATATTTAAAACAAAGGAAATCTAAGATAGGAAGGTTGTTGCACAAGTGTTGGAAGAGCTAAATCAAATAGAAAACAGTAAAGTCACCTAAGCAGTAGTAAGAACAGGAAGCCACTATCATCCGAGGCTGAAGGGACACAGCAATGAAGTAGTAGGACTGGCATCCAAGGACTTTCCATGGGGCAAAGGAAGGGCTGGTCATACCTGTCTGAATAACATTCTGGTTTACCCATAGAGGCATCCCCCTCTGGCCTGTTCAGAGGAAGCTGAAACCTCACCACTATCATGGTTACTGCTGGAGGTGACACCAAAGTCAGGGGGACGGGAGAAACACCTGCTTAATCCCTTCCTCCTTCCTCCAAATTTCCCTCTTCCTATTTTCCAGCTGACAACCTCTCTGCAATACAGAACGAAGCAGAGGAAATGTGAGCGAAACAGCCTGAGGACGGACACACTGAGTATCTGTAATTTTTTTTTAAGTATTCAGGTGGGGCTGTGAATTAGCCAAGTTTGTGGACCATTGGTACATCCCAGTATTAGGTTATGTTCCCAGAAGGCAGGGCCTCATCCTATTTATATTCATATCTCCAGAAATTAACACGATGTGTGGCATGCAGTAGATGCTCATAAATGGTAAATAACTTATTGAATGACTCAATTAATGAGATGCCTAAATTAATAAAAGCTACAGAGATGAAAGAAGGATCTGCATGGGGGCTTGAAGAAAAGAAGGGTCAGGGGAAGGTACTCCAAACGAGAGGAAAAGCAAAGAGGCAGGAACATACAAGATACAAAGGAAGTAATACGTAGATTAAATTGGCCAAAGAGGCTGGTTCATTCTGGCTTCCCTGCGAAGAACATATCATAGAAGGCAGGCATAGAAAAGTGATCATTGGTCACGCTATTTGACATTGCCATCCAGAGAAGAGACGGCAGTGGTTGGCCAGGATGGCGGCCATGGCGGTCAAGAAGGGCACATGTATCAGATGTATTTTAGACACCTTGCTGACTTCATGCCTCGCACTGGAAATACAGAAATGAAAGACATGAACCTTGCACTCACAAACCTCACAATCCTAGTGGACAAATAGTGGAAAGACAGGAAATTCAGGCAACAGAAGCCAGAGCACGACTCAAGCACAGGTTCCATTTGAGTTCAAGATTTCCCATCAACCTGTCCTCGCGTGGGTCCCATGACTGGCAGAGTTCACCTGAGCCCCTTTCCATGGGGCAAAGGAAGGCCTGGTCATCTCTGTCTGAATAACATTCTGGTTTACCCATAGAGGTAACCGCAGCCTTCTGTTTTTCATTAAAATGTTTTTTGAGGCTTATCTTCTTAATGCAAGAGACACTAGGCCTGAATCTGTTATTTACTGATATAAAGTATCATATTATGTACATATAATAATCTGTTATATCTGTTATATATATATATATGATTATTTTCCAGTTTAGTCTTTTTTATACTAGAAAACTAATTGATTTTCCTTCTTCTAGATGACTCATATATATATATATATTTGTTGTTGTTGTTGTTTTGTTTTGTTTTTGAGACGGAGTCTCTCACTGTCGCCCAGCTGGAGTGCAGTGGTGCGATCTCTGCTCACTGCAACTTCCACCTCCCAGGTTCAAGGGATTCTCCTACTGATTTTTTTTTTTTAACACAAAAACACAGCCATTGTTTGTGTGGATCAGAAAACCGCCATTACCACTTGTCTTTGGTATTCATAGCCACTGAATAAAAAGCAAAGTGAAAGAAAGACTGAGAGAACCCATCACACACGCTTGGTCTCTGTGTGATGCTCTATTATAAGCATCCTTAGGCTTCATTTGATTCCACAATCTCAGGCCTGTGACAGGAACCCATGTCTTTAGATGCAGCCTGCCATGCTCCAGGCCTCCCACTAACTGGAACTTTCTCAGCCTAAACATTTCTTTATTAAATTCCTCCTGAAACTTGGAGTTATACCCTTGATACCACCCACAGATGTCTTTCTCCTTTGGCTGTTTATTCTATTAGCAGTTATTGCCTCATCAATCCCCCTCTTTCACTGGGTGTTCCAGAAAGAAATGTGGTTTGTATTAATATCTTCAATCATCCTTCATAAAACAATACTCAGAGTCACTTAATTATCTTTATTACTTTTCTTTCCACTCTTTGCTATGTACTATACTTGTCACATGCTTTTCCAAACAAACATTTTAGGACTGTCAGAGGTGTCAAATGAAATAGCCACTGGCATTTAATAGGGTTCTCCAAGGAAAACCTTTACCAATGAAGCTGATTGTGGTGGGGTATGAATTGGTACAAATTTATCATCATATCCAGGAACTGAGAAGGAGGGCACAAAATGGACTCAGGCTGAACACTCCAAGCCATTTCCCTAAGTGACTGAAGGAATATAGGGGGCACAAAAGCCAGAAGACAATTTAAGTAAAAATACTAGTACAGTTCTCCTTATCATGACCAAAAGGATCAAGAAAAACAAAGTTGGGGTGGAGTGAAGGGATGGGGAATCAGGGCAGGGTGGTAACAATATACCACAAGGACATTTTTCCAAATACAATAAAAGTTGAACTAAAGCTAAGGAAGATAAAAGCAGATGAGCAGAAATCTTGAATTATGATAAAGTTAAATGTACCATTCTATTCCTTTATGGATAGTACCTTTTGTATCCTGTCCAAGAGATTTTTTTTTCTACCCCAAGGTCACTAAGGTATTCTGTTTTCTTCTAGAAGTTTTATATTTCTGACTTTTGTGCTTGAGTTGAGGTGACTATGATCCACTTCACATTAAGTTTTGTGTATGGAATGGTTAAGCTTTTTGTCCTCATACCTTTATCTAGTTGCTCCAGCATAATTTATTTAAAAAGGTGTCCTATTTGCCATTGAATTGACCTAGCCCCTTAGCCAAAAAGCAATTGACCATATGTGTGATTCTGTTTCTGGGCTCAATCTGTTCTGTTGCTTTAGTTGTCTGTCTTTATGCTCATACCATACTGTCTTGACTACTTACCTTCAAAGTCAAGACAGTATGGTGTGAGCATAAAGATAGACAACTTTATTTAGACAATTTCAAGTCTTGAAATCAGGTAGTGTACATCCTCCAGTTTTTTAGGACATTCTAGATCCCTTGAATTTCCATATAAAGCTTAAGAGTCATGGGATTTTGGTAGAGATTCTCCCCATTTGGGAGAAAAAATATCTTAACACTGCTTTCTTCCAGTCTGTGAAGATAATATCTGTTTACATTGATTTAGTGTATCTTTACTTTTCTTTTCAGTAATGCTTTGTAATTTTACCTATAGTTATATTAGATCTCTATTGTAAGATGTATTCCCTTGTATTCACTGGTTTAATGGCATTTTAAGATTAATTTTGTTGTTAAAATAAAGATACACAATTTATTTTTCATACATTGGCTTTATAGACTTTGGCCTTACTAAATTTACTTATTAGTTATAGTAGATTTATTTGTAGGTTCTACAGTGTTTTCAGCACATATAATAATGTTATTCTGGTAAAAAAGACATTTGATGTTTTCCTTTCTAACCTTTCTGAACTTTCTTTTTAATTCCTCCACCTTTTTGCACTGACTAGAATGTCCATTATACTGGTGAATAGTAAGGATAATGAACATTATTACCTTTTTTTTTTTGGTCTGAGGAAAAAAGGGCTTAATATTTCACAATTAAGTATTATGTTAACTGTAGGTTTTTCATTGATGTTATTTATCAAATTGAGTAAATTTTATTTTATTCCCACTTTTCTCAAATTATTTTTAAAAAATTGTTAATGAGTGTTGCATCTTGTCAAATGCAATTTCTGTGTCTAAAGAGGTGATGTTTTATTTCTTTATTCTGTTCATGTGGTAAATTACATAGATCAATTTTTAAACTTTGAAACCACTATGCATTCCTGAAATTAATCCCTAATTGTATATAATGTGTTACTATTTTGATATGTTGCTAAATTATATTGGCTAATATTTTGTTGGGGCATGTTTAATCTATGTGTATGAAGGATTTAATCTCTAATTGCCTTTTCTGGCAACATCTTTGCCAGGTTTTTATATCGGGCTAATGCTGCCCTAGTAAAGTGAATTTTGAAGTTACTCTCCTCCTCCATTTTCCAAAACAGTTTGCATATAGTTGGTGTTATCCCTTCCTTAAGAATTTGATAACATTCACCAGTGAGTATATCTAAACCTGCAGTTTCTTTGGTAGGAAGATTTTTTTTCCTATTATCACAAATTCAGTTTTTTAATAGATATGGAGTTATTTAGGTTTTCTGCATCTTTGCATGTCAGTTCCATATGTTTTACCAGGGAATTTGTCAATTTTGTCAAAGTTGTTCAGTTCATTGACATAACTATGTTTATAATGTACCATAATTTTCTTTTTAGTGTATGTAGGGTCTGTAGTAGTATCTCCTCATTCCTTCTTGATCTTGGTAATTTGTATTTTTTTATTATTTATTAATGTATCTGAAGATTTATTCTTTTCATTATTTTTTCAAAAAATTAACTTTTAACTTTATTTTCTATGCTGCTTATTTTCTGCTTTATTGATCATTATTATTTAAAAAAATCATTTCCTTCCTTTTACTTTAGGTTTAGTTTTCTCTTTGTACAGATTAATGAAATGGAAACTTAGATTATTTTATACCTTCTTTTCTAATACAAGTATTTAAAACTATCAAATTTCCTTGCAACTACTAACTTAGCTGCATTTCACAAACATGATGTGTTTTGATTATCATTCAGTGTAAAATATTTTCAAGTAATTCTGCAATGTTTTCTTAGACTCTTCAGCTATTTAGAAACGTGTTGCTTAATTTATAAATATTTTGGACTGGGGGTATTTTTGTTATTGATTTCTAATTTATTTTATTTTATTTTTTGAGACAGGGCCTCACTCTGTCACCCAGGCTTCAGTGCAGTGACATGATCTGAGCTCACAGCTACTTCCACCTCCTGGGCTCAAGCAATCCTCCCACCTCAGCTGCCTGAGTAGCTGGGACTACAGATGCATGCCACCATGCCTGGCTAATGTTTTTGAATTTTTTGTAGAGATGGGTTTCACCATGTTGCCCAGGCTTGTCTCAGACTCCTGGGCTCAAGAGATCCAACTGCCTCAGTCTCCTAACATGTTGGGATTCCAGATGTCAGCCACCGTGCCTTGCCCTGATTTCTAATTTAATACCATTGTGATCAGATAATATACTCCATATGAGATGTGTTTCATAGCCCAGCACATGAAACAGATTTCACCTGTGGGCACAGATATGCTCTGTGTCTAGGGCTCCTCAGAGCTCTAATTCATCATGCTGTCCTACATATTCCTGCCAAAAGTATTTACACTCTTCAGTCAGATTCTCCCTACTCTCTTTCACGGTGCATTCCTTCTCCTATCTGTGGTCTGACAGGCATAAGAGCAGCCATGCTCTTATGCCTGAAGTTTATGAACAGATTTTCTGAAGTTTAGTTCGCCTAACTTTCTCAGCTATTTTATTGGCTCCAGGAAGAAACCCTCTATGACCAGTAGTTTATCTGGCTTGTCTAGGTTATTAGATGAGACACAATCTCTTATAACCTTATACATCCTTCCACTCAGGGTCTTTCTTTCTTTGCTTAGAAATTTAAAATTTTTTTAATTTTGATAATATATACATAACACAAAATTTACCATTTTAACCACTTTAAGTGTACAGTTTAGTGGCGTTAAGTATATTTATATTGTGCAACCATCATCACCATCTCTCTCTGGCACTTTTTTATCTTTCCAAGCTGAAACTCTATACCTATTAGCAACTATTGACAAGAATCTCCTGATGTCCCCTTGGCAACCACCATTCTACTTTAAGTCTCTATGAATTTGGCCACTCTAGGTACTTCATGTAAGTGGAATCACATAGTAGCTATCCTTTTATAACTGGTTTATTTCACTTAGCATGATGTCCTGAAGGTTTATCCATGTTATAGCATGTACCATAATTTCCTTCCTTTTTAAGGCTGAGTAACATTCCATTGTATGATGAACCACATTTTGTTTAGCTGTTTATCCATTGATGGACACTTGGGTTGCTTCCACCTTTTTTGCATTGTGAATAATGCTTTTGTGAACATGAGTGTGCAAATATCTGTTAAAGTTTTTGCTTTTAATTATTTGGAGTGTATACCCAGGATTAAAATTACTGGATGATATGATAATTCTATTTTTAATTTTTGAGAAACCACCATATTGTTTTCCATTGAGGCTGTGCATTGGGATCTTTTTAAAAACAATATAGTTGGATTAACAGATTAATTTTAGTTGGAAACTCTTAAATCTGGCTTAGGAAGAGTAGGCTTTTGGATCAACAGAGTTTCCAATTCACTTGTAGCTTTTCTGTAGACCAGCAGCCTCAGAAGAAACAGACAAATATATGACTGCATTTTCCAAATAACACATTGCTAGTAAGGTTTCTATTATTCTGTAAGCAATAAGCCTGTGTCATTTCAAAGCTGATGATCAATCTTGTGCCACTGGGACATCCTCTCAAAGGGAAAGGCTACTTCTCCAACTTGGTAGAGATGGTACCTTATAACATGGTTACATAAAATATAGAAGAAAAAGTGTTCAATGGCAAAGTTACTTAGCTTCTGTGACCCCTCTTCCCACCTCCAGGCTCCTGAAATTCTGGCTAATTATATAAACTTGAACCAGCCTTCACTCTGTGTCCTCCATGGAGGATATTCAAAGAGAGCCCAGGTAAATAAGAAGGAAACCCAAAGTAAATCTACCCACACTTTTTATGATAAATAGGAAGACTGGATAGATTAGTATCCATTCTAAAATAAGTGAACCAAAACAACAACCAAAAAAGGAAACACAACATAGGATTTGTACAAAATTTTCTAACACAACAAAAAAAAAAGAAAAGAAACATAAGCAGTAAAAAGAAGACGAAGAGAACACTTCTAAAAAGACATATTTCTGCAACTACAAGACAGGTTAGAAGAGTAAATGCTTTACTTTTCAATATAATTAAAATTAATGGGCAAGCACTCTACAAAGGTGAAGAGAAAACTGATAGTGCTAAGAAAACAATGGTAGGAGACAAAGCCCCTATGAAAAGGAAAGAAATAGTAGAGAACATAAATTAAGATGGCATAACAAATGGAATTATGTAGAGGATGTTAGCCAGAAGGCAGAGGAAAATTTTAAAAACACATAAAGGCAGCTAGATAGCAGGAATTTTTCTGAAAAATTGTTGATAGTCCCTAACATGCAACAGGCAAATTATTTAAAAATGACTAAAATCAAGACATATCTTGGTGAACTTATTTAAGAATGAATTGTCCAAGCATTTAGATTAGGGTTTCTCAACCTCAGCACTGTTGACATTTTGGAGCAGATAATTCCCTGCTGTGGGAGGGGCCTGTTCTGTGCATTGTAGGATGCTTAGCAGCATTCCTGAACTCTACCCACTAGATGCCAGTAGCATCCCCAAGTTGTGACAGCCAAAAATGTCCCCTGCAGGGCAACATCATCCCTGGCTGAAAATAACTGAAGCAGGGTAAGCATGTCACCAATAAGACAAAAAGTAGTCTATTTACAATATTTACAACTTTATACACCAAAGGCCTGGGAGGCAAGGTCAACAGTTTTGAAGGAAATATGATGTGCCCCAAGAATTCTCTACTCAGTCAAGGTGCTGTTCATCAACTTTTGCAGAGTTCTTAAAAATCGCTATGAAAATAGGAGTGGCCCCTGTAATAAAATGGGCAGACACAAACAGAAAATTTACAAAAAAAGAAAAAAAAGAGAAAACACAAAAGTGTGAAAAGGTTCAGCTTCATCAAATGAAAGTAAATTTTAAAAATTCTTTTTCAAAGATCAAATTAATAAACTGAATAAAATAGAAGACACTACAGTGTGGGCTAGGAGTGCGCAAACATTTCTTTTACTATTCCGATGGGTGATTGGGAAATATTTATCAAAAGTATTCATTGCATTGTTGCTTATCATAGGGAAAAACTGGATTGAACATAAATGCATTACAATAGAGAATTGATCAATTCATCTATACGGCAGTCATAAAAAGTTGTTTTGAATAAGGATCCTTATTGGCATGAATAAAATTCTAATTGTGTTTTAAAAAGAAATATATAAATGCACATACACACAGATAAAGTAACTGACTTAAGGTACTTATGCCAAAAGGCCACAGTGGTTAACTGGATAATAAGATTCATTTTTTTCTTTTTTATTGTGATTTATCTGTATTTATCATTTTCCATATTCTGTACTTATCATATTTATTGTTACTTTTAAAATTTAATTTAAAAAGCCATTTTGAAATAAAAGTTTTAAGCGGTTTTTATGGAACATTTACTCTGAATTTGGATAAATCCACTCAGGTGATGTTAACGCCATAACAGAGTCAGCAAATCCATCCTGACTTGGTCCCTCTCTGCCAGCTTCCTGGTTCTCATTTGGGCTGACATTGGACATGCAATATTTCAGATTCCACGGAATCACCCATGTCATGTTATCATAACAGTCATAATTAGAGCAGTATCCAAAGATACCAAAACATGCCAGGGACGTCAGCTAACAATTACTCCTGCTCCCTTTTAAGAATGGAGTGCGGTGATCCCCACAGACCCGGGAATCCACTCTTGGATTCAAAGTCTCACTTGAAAAACCTCTCTGTTACATGAGGAAATCTAAAGTGCTGGAATATGGTTTACAAAAATTAAATTGGCAAGGAATGTGGCAATAAAGTTGTCTAATGTGTTCCAGGGTGATGGTGGGGAGATGATTTAAAGTCGCCAAGGGCAAGAGTGGTTTAAAATCGGCTGCTGAGCAGTGAACACTTTCAGAGCTGTCTGAGTTTTGGGTTGGGTGTGCAGCATTTTAGTTCAAAGGCTGTAGTCCATTTCAGGGTTTGACAGGAAGAAGTAAGAGGCCAGCTGAATTCTTGCCAGAGGATATAACAAAGAATTCAGAATCCAATACCCAGCCGGCTCACACTCACACACAAAACAATGCTTCTTTTTCCCCTTGTTTGAAATGCAAACCAGTCATTTTTCTGTTCCTACAATTGTAACTAATGAAATCATCTTTGCAGAGCTCTTACAATGGCTTCCCTTTCTATCTCTGGGGCACCCTTTCCTTATTCTTGCTTCCTCCTTCCTCCAAAACTCAGGCCTCTAAGAAGAGTTATAATGGCTAGGACATATTGTTCTTGGTTACTTCATTAGCCTGGATCCTGGAATGAGATGATAAGGACAGGTAGCAGAGCCAGGGCACGTAGCATGAGTCAAAATAAAATCTTTGTATTATAAGCCACAGGTATCTGAAATTGTTTGTTATTGCAGCATGATCTAGCCAAAGCTGACCAATACACAGGCAATTTATCCTATAACTGGCATTAATATATATGGATGCAAATGTGCTCCCAGCATAGTATCTGGGGTGTGTGAAGTGGGCACTCAATAAATATTTGCAAAAATAAATGCAGGCCAGGCACAGTGGCTCACGCCTGTAATCCCAACACTTTGGGAGGCTGAGGCAGGAAGACTGCTTGAAACCAGCCTGGGCCTACATAGCAAGACCCCGTCTCTATAAAAAAACAAAAAATTAGCCAGGTATGGTGGTGTGTGCCTGTAGTCTCAGCTACTTGGGAAGCTGAGGCAGGAGGATCTCCTGAGCCCAGGAGTTAGAGGCTGCAGTGAGCTAAGATGGCACCACTGCACTCCAGCTTGGGCGACAGAGCAAGCAAGTCACCCTGGGTGACACAATCTCTAAAAAATGAGCGATACAAAAGAAAAGAAAAAAAGAAATGCAAGGAAAAGATCTGGTTTCCAATGCCAGCTTTGTCATTTTCCGATTGCAGGACCATCATGTAATTTCATCTGTAAGTAAGCATACAATTAGCTGCTGTCTGCTCCAAGTATTGCGATGCTCCAAAAAGCATTTGGTGAAGCACAGAATAAGCCATAAAGTGTTGTACAAATGACCTTACCTATTTGAGGGGTTTTTACTCATTTATTTTTGGTTGAGGCATAAGTTGGAAAGTTTTCTTTTGCCTCTAAATAAAGGAGAAAATGGAGAAATGGAACAAAGTATATAGGAGTCCAGAGGGCTAGTGTCTAAACCAGGGTAAGTCATCAAGTAGCTGTGTGGACTTAGCCAAGTAACACCCCTTCTCTGGACCTCAGCTTCTTTATCTACAAAATAAAAGAGTTACCCTAGATTGCATATGAGTTCCTTTTCAAATCTACCCTTCTAGAATGGACTTCATGTGGTCATAGACCTCATGGGGTTGGGCTTCCCAAAGCTGTAATGGTGAATTGATCTGCAGCCTCTCGATGTCTTTGGTCAGTGCTACATCTACCAGCATTTCTAGATGAAAAGTGTACAATGATTGATTACTTAGATGCTCCTCAGCACTGAGCAGTTTGGCATGGAGGCCTGGTGAAATGGTTTCAACTTGTGCCCCTGCCCAAATCTCATGTCAAATTGTAATCCCCAATGTTGGAGGAGGGGCCAGGTAGGAGGTGATTGGATCATGGGGGCACCCTTTCCCCTTGCTGTTCTCATGAAAGTGAGTGAGCTCTCTAGAGATCTGGTTATTTAAAAGTGCGTAGCACCTCCCAGTTCTCTCCTTTCTGCTCCAGCCACGTAGGATGTGCCTGTTTCCCCTTCACTTTCCGCCATGATTGTAAGTTTCCTGAGGCTCCCGGCAGCCATGCTTCCTGAACAGCCTGAGGAACCATGAGCCGCTTAAACTTCTTTTCTTTATAAATTATGCAGTCTCAGGTAGTTCTTTAGAGAAATGTAATAACAGACTAATATACCTAGCAATTTAGTGATTGACTAAATGTGTTCATTTTTCACCCAGACTTTTTGTCTTGTTTCCGATGCAGTCTCTTTCTCCAGACCTGGAAGAAATTGACCTATGATGATGTGAAGACCCAAAGTCCAGACCAAGAGAAAAGTGTGAGCTTGGAGCTCTTTATCATACAGAGACTTGGTGTAGATAAGAGGGGCAATGGGTTTCCTGCTTTCCCTCAAACTGTCCTGCTTTGGTCTCTCAGTCTAAATATATTCATGACTCTAGATGCTTTGAGCCCCTAGAAACTATAGAGACAAATGACATCCACAAGCAGTTTTACCTTGGCCCAGTCACCGGGTAACTCAAAGACTGCCTTCAGTCTCTCTTTCTTGGTTATCCCTTCCTCTGCTCTCTGTACATAGCTAGCATGGACATGCCTCAAGTTTCATTTCCTGACCTTTAGCTCTTCTTATTTATCATCTTCAGAAAATATGTTAATTTTCAGAACTTCAGGAATCACCTTAATCATAAGTATAGAGGGAGAATAAAAATGAACTTAAGTTGCCCTAACACCCCAAAGCAATGTCTTCTTCTAAGTGGGGGAAGCCCACTGCAACAATTGAAATGTGATATAGGTTCCAAATATCCACAAAAACAGTTATGGATATTGTAAAGCATAATATGTGTATATTGGTTTGGTGAAAGCAAATTTTGCCAAATTATGTAAAGATAGGAAATAAAGAAATAAAGAAAAGCCATTCATTCTGCTTAACAAATATTCTTTGAGGACTGTGTCAGTGCTCCATATTAGTCATCTAGTACCATAATGCAGAATAGCAACTCATCCCTCAAACCAGTGATTTAAAGCAATAAATATTTATTTAGCACATAATTCTGAGGGTCAGCAGTTTGAGCTGGGCTCAGCAGGGCAGCTCTTCTAGTCATGGCTGGACTCACTCATGCACTACAGTCGGTTGTTGTGTTGATTGAGGACTGGCTAGTCTGTGATGGCCTCAAATTAGAGAGCTTATCTTTGCTTATCATGGTCTCTCATCTGGTAGTCGATTATCAAGGCTAGTTCTCAAAGTCCTAGGCAGTGTTCCAAGAGAGAATGTGGGAATGTGGACAGTTTCATTAAGGCTTGGGCTTGGAAATGGCACAATATCGCTTCCATCATTTTCTGTTGGTCAAAGCAAGTCAAAGATTAGCTCAGATTCAAGGAATAATAAAATAGATTCAACTTTGTGATGGGTGGAGCTATAAAATCAAATTGCCTAGATTATGAATATAGAGAGAGGTGGAGAATTAGGACTATTCTTAAAGCAATCCATCACACCCCTTCCCATCTATTCTCTACCCTTCTCCACTCTAATTTCTACCCAAGAGCCTGACCTGTATGGGCTGCATCAATGAAGTCCCCTGTGCATTGCCTTCTGAATGGACACAGCCAGTGGGAAACTGGAGAGACGGAAGGTTGGAGCAAGAAAGAAGATAGTGCATTTGTTCCCTGGTTTCCTCAGGCTGGCTTTTTCATGCACGGAAGATCAGCGCTCCTCTCAAATTGGCCACCAGAGGTAGATGCCAGGTATTAATGGGGCCTGGGACAGTGTGGAAATGTGGGGCTGGGATGTGTTCTTCTAGTTGACATGGTTATGGAAGATCTTTCCAAGGAGGAGGGTTTTAAACAGGTCTGAATGCTGTGAAGAATGAGCCACGCAGGAAAATAAAGATGTGGGAGTAAAGCACTCCAGGCAGAGGGAACAGCCTATGAATGATGTTATAGACAAGACCCTTCACCCATCACAGCTCCCTATTCACAGCTGCTGGCAGGACATCTGATGAATACCCTTCCATCCTCCCACTCAGCATCTTCCCAAGTAAAACGATCATCTTTTTATCCTCCTGTAAGTCTCACTATCCTATTTCATCGTTCTTAGGATTTTCTGCATTAGAAATTTACAGTCAATTTTGGTGTCATTCCAATTCAATATTTGTTTATTTTTACATATGATGAATTAACTTAGAAACTGAAGTTCCTAGTAATACTAAGATTCTATGAGCCACCTTTACCTTATCTGAAATAGATAACAATAGACACAACATAGTTGTAATAAGAATTGAGACAATATAAATGATCCGGTTTGGCATGATTTCTGGTACATAAACAATGTGCACATATACACCATGGAATACTATGCAGCCATAAAAAATGATGAGTTCATGTCCTTTGTAGGGACATGGATGAAATTGGAAATCATCATTCTCAGTAAACTATCGCAAGGACAAAAAACCAAACACTGCATGTTCTCACTCATAGGTGGGAACTGAACAATGAGAACACATGGACACAGGAAGGGGAACATCACATTCTGGGGACTGTTGTGGGGTGGGGGGAGGGGGGAGGGATAGCATTAGGAGATATACCTAATGCTAAAGGACGAGTTAATGGGTGCAGCACACAAGCATGGCACATGTATACATATGTAACTAACCTGCACATTGTGCACATGTACCCTAAAACTTATCAAGTATAATAATAATAAAATAAAACAACAACAACAATGCACAATAAATGTTCACTTCTTTGCATGGATACACAAGAAATTTTACAATACATTTCGTTACTTCTTTTTAATTGTTTTTGTATCAAAGGGTCTGGGCTCAGGAAATGATACCTAAAATGAGGCCTCAGAAGCTGAAGTTTTTCTCTGACCTTCTCCTACCCACCTGTCTCTGGCTCTTCATTCTTCCCGGAGGTTAACAGTAGAAACTAGAATCCTTCTTCTCCAAGGCAGCTCACAGTTCAGAATGCTTTTTCCCCAAATACAGCCATAAAACCTAAAATTATTATTCTAACTTTCCATCTGCTTTTCTATGTAAAAACTGGCCATAAAGAAATTATCTGACCCATCATGTTTGACTAGGGGCCATAAGAGCCCCATTCCAGAGAGGGATCTGTCTCGTATCCAGAAGGAAGGCATGCTCAGAAAGGCCAAGAAGAATTTACACAGACAGACCTTGTGGGGTTTCCCCATTCAATCTATGAGCATTAGATCATACCTTTTGGTCCAATCCTATTTCTTTTCTTTTCTTTTCTTTTTTTTTTTGTTTTAGATGGAGTCTCACTCTGTTGCCCAGGCTGGAGTGCAATGCCGCAATCTCAGCTCACTGCAACCTCCACCTTCTGGGTTCAAGTGATTATCCTGTCTCAGCCTCCCAAGTAGCTGAACTACAGGCACATGCCACCATGCCCGGCTAATTTTTGTATTTTTAGTAGAGATAGGGTTTCGCCATATTGGCCAGGCTGATCTCAAACTCCTGACCTCAGGTGATCTGCCCGCCTCGGCCTCTCAAAGTGCTGGGATTATAGGCGTGAGCCACCGTGCCCGGCCAATTTCTATACGGTTGTCCATACTTTGTTGAGCCTAAGAATAAAAATGGACAGTTCCATCTGTCACATAAAACTGTGATCAAATAAATTCGTGTGCTCGTGTGCTAGGCTGGGCACAGTGGCTCATGCCTGTAATCCCAGCACTTTGGGAGGCCGAGGCGGGTGGATCACGAGGTCATGAGATCGAGACCAGCCTGACCAACATGGTGAAACCCCGTCTCTACTAAAAATAGAAAAATTAGCTGGGTGTGGTGGCACGTGCCTGTAATCTCAGCTACTCGGGAGGCTGAGGCAGGAGAATTGCTTGAACCTGGGAAGCGGAGGTTGCAGTGAGCCGAGATTGCGCCACTGCACTCCAGCCTGGTGACGGAGCGAGACTCCGTCTCAAAAATAAATAAATAAAATAAATAAATAAATAAATAAATAAATAAATAAATAAATTTGTGTTCTTTTTCTCCTATTAATTTGCCTTTTATCAGTAATTTTCAGCAAACCTTCAGAGGGTGATGGGGAAGTTTTCCCTGTGTCCCCCTAAGATTAATATGCACACAGGGTAGTTGTAGCAGATGCTGTCCGTGCCCCACCCAATATCTATGCATCCACACCATTTCCATGTGGTCCCCAACACTGCTGACTGGCACCATCCCCATCTCTGCGCCTGAGCGCATTCTTCCTAGAACCACTGCAGGCTGTCCTAGAATCGTGGGCCACAGTTGCTGGGAAATTAACAACACTCTGGGAGTCACCCTCAGCTAACAGCTGATAGGGATTGGCATAGAAATAGCCCCCAGCTCCCTTGCTTCTCAGTGGGGGGTATGTATAAGATGTTTTCCGGTTTCTCTTTGGAATGAATTTTCCTTGTTTGCTGTGGTGTGCTGGTTTAATAACCGAGTCTTTCTGGTTCTCATCCTGCATTATATCATTTCCTCTCCTCCCTGACAGCTGTGCCCTGCACCACTCAATAGACAGCGTGCCTCCAAATCCTGGTTCAAGGTTTACTTCTAGGGGGACCCAAACTAAGATAATAACAGTTAAGCAGCACAGAATCTTCTGTGATAGAAGCCAAGGACCTCATTCCTCCTTCTATGTCCTACTCTGCAGGGACGAATTTTATTTACTCCTTCGGTTCTTAATGTCTTCAAAACTTCAAATTGAATGCGTGTATCTCTCGTTTGTCGATTAAAATATTTTGACAATATCCACAGACTCCCTCATGTGAGATGAATATTTAGTCACTTGTAATACCATCCTCATTCTTCAATATTTGACATGTGAATTTTAATATTTGGTTCTCATATGGGCTACATTCTATTTTAAAATAATATATTCAAACATTTCTCTATTTCTCAAGAAATCAACTTTAGACAGTGTACATGAACACCCTACTTAGTAAAGTGAGGCGAGTTCCCCCACCTTCCTTACCCACACTCCCATTATCCACTTTCTGTCAATTCCACTTTTACTCTCACTGTTTCAAGGTTGTTAACATTTACCTTTGCGCCTACAACCTCAATGAAGCTTTCCGTGCTTTATGCAAAAGCATGTGGAGACTGCAGGAGAGAAGGTAAATGTTAACAATCTTGACACCGTAAAAGCAGAGTTGGCAGAAGTTAGGTAAATATATAAAATCACATGGGATTGTGTTTCCATTTCAATAAGCCCAGAGTCATAATTCCTGGCCCACTAAAAATGGAATATTCCTAAAGTCCAATGAGCTCTTTTATCTTAGATTCCATCAATTGCTTAAAAATCATACCACATTTAAGTTTGTTTCACTGTTGTTGGATCATGGCCTTTTGGTCGGTTTGGTTTTTGTGTGTGTGCGTTCTTTGTTGTGTTTTCCAGAGGATCTAATCGCCTACTTTTTTCTCCATTTGTTTGCCTTTATCATGTCCTCGTTAGTTTTCACAATAGTTCAGTCATACGCCCTATTCCCAAATTCCTTTTCTTCTTGGAGACTTTCCTACTGCCGAAGAGATGGAGCCTGAGTTCCAGCAAACCTTTGGATGGAGCTACTGATGTGCCGGAGATCCGGGCAGTACAGGAACGTGGTGAACACACCAGGAGTGTGCCCTCAGCAAAGTGCAGACCATGAGACATTCAGGTTAAAGGGCTTCTTCGGCAGATAAATTTTAAGTAAACGAAAGTGACCAATGGTTGGTGTGTGTGTATGTTTGCAATGGGGAAAACTAAATTCTAGTGTCGGGACACACTTTTCCATAAGGAAATGTGATGAAATGTGTTCTATAAGATGAAGATAGTGATTTCTTTTATAGGGAGGCAGGGGGCCAGGAGTGGAAGGTGCTCATGCAGTAGCTTGGGGGTGGTTGGGGTGGGGGGCTGGCAAATCTGTCTTTAGACTTGGGTGATGTTTTACAGGGATGTTAACCTTTTAGTAATTCACTAAGCTATTTGTGTTTATATTTTTGTGGCTTTCTCTCTCTCTGTGTATGTGTGTGTGTGTGTTTATTCAATACATGTTTTGGGAAAAAGAAAATTCCAAAAAAAAGGCTGATGTGGAAATAATATTTTTAACAAAGTGTAAAGAGGGGTTAAGTAGCGTTAAAGTCATTTTATTGTGATAATAAATACATAAATGTCAATATAAATTATCTTATTAATGACTCAGTGAGTAAATGTGAATATAAATTATCTTATTAATGACTCCATGAGTCTATCAACAAATACCTACCATTTTAGAATATCTTTTCTGTTCTATGGGGATGTGAAATAAGCAGAAGCACAGGATATATTTTCTTTGCTAGAGAGTTTACAGGTAACAGAAAAACATCTAGGGGGTGTGTGTGTGTGTGTGTGTGTTAGAGACAGGTTCTCACTCTGTCACCCAGGCTGGAGTGCAGTGGTGTGATCACAGCTCAAGGCAGCCCCAACCTCCTGGGCTCAAGCCATCCTCCTGCCTCAGCCTCCTGAGTAGCTGGGATTACAGACATAAGCCACCATGCCTAGCTTGATTTTCATATGGGACAAAAGGTAGAAAAAGAAAAGTCTGTGAGGGTTTGGAAGATTTTGCTTTATTCTGCTAGTTTGGTGAGGTGGGGAGTGCTATATGAAATATTTAGTGATCTGTGCCTTGGGCAAGAAGATTAAGAAACAGTAACACAGTAACATACTCAACCCCTGGATCCGCCACTAAGCCAAGATGTATGTTTGCTTGAATAATGTAATCTCTCTATGTGTTAACGTTCTTGTCTGTAAAATGGAAATGGTCTCTATCCCTAACCCTCATGAGAGAGGAGGGAGCCCTTTCCAAGCCTTCTCAGCTGTTTCTTGGAAACACGATGCAAGTTTATGTGCCAGCTTGAGCAGGGTTGTGGTTGTTTGGGGGGATAGAAATGACTGGAGGCATGTAGGCAGCACGCAAATAGAGGCCTGGGGAGCAGCCTCTAAAACACAGTGGGCCCATTCTCCCCTCTCTTTGCCCACTAGCATAAAAGAAGAAGAGCTGGAGGAAGCCTGGTTACCTGGAATACTGCTTCCCCCTCTGCCCACCTCATTTATTTTGCTTTGCAACCTCCTTCCATGTTCTCACACACATAAAAAACAAAAACATGTGTATGTGCTCAGGTAAGTGCACTTTGGCCAGAGAGGACCAGCCTGGAGTCTAACGCCACCCCATGGGCTGAAGGGATGCATGTCTCACCCACACAGAGCCCTCACCATGGGCTGCAGGTGAGAAGTTCTGGTCTAACTTGCAGCAGAAATGGTAATGTAGTCAACTCAAAGCAAATGTGTGAAAAACAGGAACTCAATTTCTTAAATGAAATTCTCTACCTCCCAGTGAATGATGTAATTGATCAGGTTTTCTAGACCTGAGATATGCTGGGGCCATCTTGTCCCAGCTCTCAAGAGCCATGTGTATGCACCTCTTCCCAAGCTGACAGCACACTGGGGCCTAACACAGAGGAAGTATTTCCACCACAGAGATAGGCAAGTGCTCCATAGGAGCTTCTTTCTTTCTCTTTTCCTTCTTCTTTAAAATCTTATTAAACATTCACCAGCACCCCAGAAACCAATATAAAAACCAATACCATTGCAGAACTATAGTTTTACTGATTTTCTTTGTGCAGTTAAAAATTAGTTTGTTAATGACAGCTTCTGCTTCAAAATGTTGTTCTTATTTGTTTGATAAATAATTATTTAACACTTACTATATGCCAAGTACAGCCAAGTAATGAGGTTACATACAGTGGTGAACAAAAGACTCCCAGTCCCTTGCCCCAGATGAACAGATTGGAAAGATAAAACCAAGCAAGTAAGTAAAAGATTACAAACAGACACGTGCTCTGAAGGAAAAATACAGGGTGTTTGGAGAGCTCACAAGACAGGAACTTGATTCAGATAAAAGGGCCAGGCAAAGGATTTTTGGAGAAGTGATATTTACTCCAAGATACAAAGAATGAGTGAAAATTAGTAATTAGTGTGATGTTTGTGTGTGAGTGTGTCTCAGGAGAGAGGGAAGAGCAAATAAATACAAAGTCCCTGAGGCAGGAAAGTGCTTGACATTGTTAAAAGAAGAACCTTAGCCAAATTAAGTTTTACAGAGTTTAACCAAGGAAAGAATCATTGGTGAATCACGCAGCTCACAAAGGGGAATAGGTTGAGAGCGGGTCCAGTGCAGCCACGTGGTAGATTTCTGGACAGAAAAGGGAAAGTGATTTGCAGAAAACGGAAGTGAGGTAGAGAAAGAGCGGGATTGGCTGCAGCTCCACATTTGCCTTATTGGAACATGGTTTGAGCAGTTGGCCACATGTGATTGGCCCAAACTCAGTGATTGGCACAATCATAAAAGTAGGTTACAGAGCCCCCCGCGCAGTGGCTGCCGGCTGGAATCCCAGCATTTTGGGAGGCTTAGGCAGGAGGATAACTTGAGCCCAGGAGTTCAAGACCAGCCTGGGCAACATAAGACACCTCATCTCTACAAAAACGAACAAAAAAATTAGCCCAGCACAATGGCAGCGCCTGTAGTTCCAGCTACTGGGGAGGCTGAGGTGGGATGATCACCTGAGCCCAGGAGATGGAGGTTGCAGTGAGTCATGATGGTGCCACTGCATTCCAGCCTGGGTGAAATAATGAAGGCCCGTCTCTAAAAATAATTACAATTTAAAAGTAGTTTATGGTCTGTGTACACATCCAGTTAGGTTACAGTTTGCTATTTATGGAGAAATCTTTAGGCTGAACTTAAAGTATGTAAGGAGGCAGCTTTAGGCTAAACTTAACAACATCGTGAACTGATTATGGCAAGCCTTGGATGCTATGATGAAGACTTTGGATTTTATCTAAACAGAGGAGGAAACCACCAAAGAAGTAAGACGTGAGTCACGTGATGCAAGAAAACAGAGGAAGGGAATTCCAGACTTTGAGGGTAGGACTAACAAGGATGATTTTGTGACTAATCAATGAGATCATGTGCATTAAGTTCTTAGCATAGTGTCTGGGGCATAGAAAGTGTTTGATAAATACTGGGCATTATTATTATTATTAATTGTAATTATCTGGGAAATGATTTAAACTGAGTGTCCAGTGACTGTCTTGTAAATTACGGGTAATACCCATCCCAAAGTGTAAATACAAATGGGAACCATGTAATCAACTCTAAAGCACAAGTAATTTTTGGTACTGGGTGGACGTGGCTGGCAGAGCGGCCTCATTTCTCCTTCATCTCCAGGATATTTTCACTGGTGTGGAAATTGCTCTAGGCTCTCAGAAAACAAACCAGCGTTTGCATGCGGCTTAGCTTTGGAAGTGCAACTGGTTTTCTTAGCTTTGACACAAGTACTTTTCTTCCTTAACACTCACCAGATCTCTCGCGTAGGAGTAAAGGTGTCTGCCAGGAGTTGCAGAGTAAGCTTCTAGCCCGGGTGCCTGGGCCTTGGCACGCTTCCCATCAATGGTTGCCAAGATATCCAAACCTGAAACTAGCGGCTCAGAAGGCTTAACGATCCACTGATGGAAGCTTTTAGAAATGTGTGGTTTCTATTTGTGCCAATGGAGTGTTTTTCCTCTGGTCCCCATTTTCTGCAGGTGGTCCACTTAATTATTTAATTTCCCTTCCAGCCACTACCTTCTGCATAGATTTGGGGAAGTTACTTGTCTTCCCCATACATTTGAAATTCCAGAATCCTTTACATTTCCTGTGCTTTTTCCTCCTGCTCTCATCCCCTCCACCCCCAAACTCCAGTGTTTAAAAAAAAAAAAAAAAGGATTTTTAAAAATCCTATAGAATAAAAAATGTCCATGAGTTTGAACCAAATCTGGCATCATTTATACCTGCGCAGCTATTTGACTCTGTGGTCGGAAATGGTTTGCTTCAACACCTGAAATTTTTTTTTCTTTTTAATGATCTTATTTTAATGGTTCAATTTTGACAAATCCGGAGTTCCTGCTGAAAGGGCTACATGAGACACCTCATTCCTCTAACTGGTGACAGGACTTTATGAAGTCTGGGCTGGTACAAATCCTAAGGCGATTGTAAGAAATGAATAGTTTTCAGTTTGGACCAGCCCCGACGGGGTGAGGGCCAGGGCAGACACATCATTCCTGTGAGTATGGGAGGAAGGCTTCCTGGAGGAGGTGATGCTTCAAGGGACCAGGTAGACGATCAGAAGGCAGACACCTGGAAGGACCTTCAAGATGCAAGAGAAACACCAAGGTAAGACTGCAATGAGTAGACAAAGGAGGCTTTCAGTAGGTTATCCTGGGAGGGGCTGAAAAAATACTCAAGGTGAAGGAACATGGAGCATGTGGCAGGGGTTATGGCTTAGTGAAGGACCTGGAACAGAGGCGAGATCCACCCAGCAGGTAATGGTGTGCACGTGCATGAGCGTACATGTGGGTGTGTGCAGGTGTGTGCAAATACATTTAAGCAATTTAAGTTGTTCGCTTCACAACCCTTTTTCAGAGACATAGCAGGTGTTAGGCAGCCACAATTATTTAATTATTCACCTTGGAGACCTGAAGGGCACAGTGACAGAGCTTTCTGTGGCTTGTTGAGAAGGGAAAAATGATTTAACAACCAAGGCAATAGGAGCCCTCTGAGCTGTGGGAGACAGCTTATTCACTGGGGGACCTCAGTTTCTTTGAGGAGCAGCGTGCCGTAGTGACCGAGTCACACAGCCTGTGTGACTAGAAAAAAACCTAACACATCTCGGCGCCTCATGTCCCTCATTTGTGAAGTGGACGTTGTTGGGGTGCTCTCCATCAGAATCGGGGATGGTGGGGGAGCATTCCCTGCTCCTGATTCAGGATGAGGGGTCTGAGCTGTTGGTCACTCCAGAAATAAAATAAGCAAGGCAATGTCTCTTGCCTGCCTGTACTCGTCTGTTATTTGAGGTCACAAAGCAATCACCTCTCTCTCTCTCTCTCTCTGACTCAGCATACCCCCAATCCTGTTTTCTGCTGGTTGCCTGTAGACTGTAATATGATTTGAGGGGTTTGTCTGCTGAGTTTCTGACGCCTGAATATGGGAGACAGGCGTTCAGTAAAGCCTAGGACCCCAGTGGGTGTGGGTGGGGTGTCAGAACACAGCACAGGCTCACAGAAGAACACACACGTTCCCACAGACTAAGGGTGAAGTTTGCTTCCAGCGCTGGTCCCCAGGGGTTGGTGGGGGGAGATACAGTTTAGAACTGTGCTGGGGGGAGGTGTTTTTTGTTCTATGTTTAGCCCGTGGCAAACAATGCAAACCTTTGAGGCAGATTTAAGATATTAAATGGCTTTATTTTTGGTATGATCCCAAGGCTTCCCAAGAATAATAAAACTCCAAATTCAAGTTCAAGTTCAGCCAGGTAAGTGGTTCATTACTTTCTTTCAATTACCCTCATATGTCAAAGGGCCACTCAAACTACCCAAAGATCTGACACTAAGATTCACAAATAACTGACCCCAACTGACCCCACGAGGTGTTTGGAGGATTAAATTCAATGTGATAGGACACATACAGTCCTAAGCAAAGACGCTAATGAGAGCCGAGTTCTTTCTCCTGTGCCATCACTGGGTTGAGTCAGCCCCTTCCTCCCTGAGCTCTAACAGCCTTCTGCCTGCCTCTCTCGCACAGCATACTTCCTTCTGCTTTATTCTTATGTCAGCCTTCCAGCTGGTCTATGTGCCCCTGGAGAGTTGGGGTCAGGTCTTATTCATTTTTTATAACCTTCATAACCAAATTTAACCAAAACATCAAGAAGGAAAAAAAAAAAAACCCTTCATTAGAGCTGTTTCTGTTTGACTGGGCTTCCTAGTAACTCTAAAGTCTTTAACACATTCTTGCTTCCCTGGTTTTTGAAACCTTGCCTCATTTCTAATCTTCTTTTACCCCCCTCAAAGTAATAAATAACGTAGGCATATTTTGTAATTTAAATGTAACTTAGCTTGGCTTTGAAAATGCTGTGAACCCTTGGTGACAGGGTCCCAGATAGAGGAGCTCTAGTATGTCATAAGAATGTTGGACAGGGAGAAAATGCCCCTCATCTGTCCATAAGGAGGAGGCATTAGCTTCTGTTTCCTGATCGGGGCTGGTGCTTCAACCTTGAGCTTTCTCTAGAATACAGCTTCTCAAAGTGTAGTCCCCAGATAAGCAGCATCAACATCACTGTGAAATTGTTAGAGATGCAAATTATTCATTCTCAATCCAGACCTCCTGATTCAAAACTTAGTGGGGTCTGGGTGCGGCTGGTGTAGCAACCTGCATTTTAACAAGCAGCCCGGAAGATCCTGAAGCACTCCATTGATTGAGAACCACTGATCCTTTAACACCATTAGGGCTAGAACTAGGTTGGCATGACCGTGGATTCCTCTGCTGTGAGAAAGCAAAATAGGAGATGCTGCAGGCTTTGCAAGTGGTGTGTTCACTAGCAGAACTCTGATGGAGCAAAGGCAAACAAAGTATCTTACTTGCCATCTCTATGCTAAATGGAGATTTATTTTTTAGATTTTTTTCCATAAATCTTTATGCCCACAAATCTCAGTGAAATGTTAGTAGAACTAGAATAGAGAAATAGCATTGTAAACCTCAGCCAGGCATGCATGCTGTATTGAGAGGAGATTCATCCCATCCTGCTTGATTGAAAGAGGAAGACTGTTTTCCTACCGTTTTGTCCAAGACTCTGGTAAGCAGAACACTATGAGACACAAAACCAGGCTTCACTGCAAAGCCCACTTTCTTTCCCATAGTACATAAAGTGCTAAGTGAATTTTAAGGGATAGAGATCCAAGTTGATCGGAGAAATAAAGGGGGGATGTAGCTATGAGCATTCAAAGTCCACATGGGAAAGGTCTCTGGAGGCAATACTTTTTGTTCCTGCCTCTGAACTCTTTTTATCTAAATTCAGGCACCCGGTTTCTCAGGAGGTCCATCCACCTGCATTTAGAGGCTCAGGCTAGGGAGAGCAGTGGCTCTAAGTACAAAGTGTGCATGCCTTCTATGGCATAGGATGAGGAGCTGGTTTGGCTGAGAACTGTGCTGATCCTGCAGATTCAACTCTGAGGAAGACACAGTCCCTGCCCTTGGGGAGCTGACAGTCCAGCGGGAACATGGATGAGTAATCAGTCAGTGACCAACAGCGTGGGCATCTTACAATAGTCTTACATGGGGCGCTTAGGCACTTGATCCAGTCTTGGAAAAGTCAGTGAATGCTTTCCAAAGGATGTACTGAAAGCTGAAGGATAAACACATATCAGTGAATATGTGATTGGGAGGATGGAATGGAAAGGCATGGTGGTAACAAAGACTGGACTAGGCAAAGCTAAAGGCATCTGCACATTGAGGATGTCTCAGTAGGTATATAGAGCAGAGGCCAGAAGGGAGCAGGGGAGACAGAAGTGAGATGGGAGGCCATTATCGTGGAGTTTTAGGCAGATTGACTTTGGAGGCTTTAGATGGCACTTTAGCTGGGCAGAAGTTTGATTTGAATATAGGCAAGGCTGAGGGACAGCAAAGAGATCTTTAGCTGAAGCCACCAACAAAGATAAAATTCCTAGAGGTAATCTTTGCCAGAAATTGGCTAAAATTATGTGAAGAAAGTTTTACAACTCTGCCAAAAGATGTAAAAGTAGACTTGGACAAATAGAAAGACATTTTGCGTTCTTGGTTAGGATGACTCCAAATTATAAATATGTTGATTCCTTCCAAGTAAATATATATTTAAAATGATTCCAATACAAATACCAAGACATTTTCCACACACATACAAACCTCCCCCCACCTCCTACCAAGAGATAGAGAAAATGTTTGTATTTTAAAAAAATGTAAATAAGCAGTTTGGGAGGCTGAAGTGGGCAGATCACCTGAGGTCAGGAGTTCAAGCCCAGCCTGGCCAATATGGTGAAACCCCATCGCTACAAAACTACAAAAATTAGCCAGGCATGATGGTGAGTGCCTGTAATTCCAGCCACTCGGGAGGCTGAGGCAGGAGAATTGCTTGAACCTGGGAGGCGGAAGTTGCAGTGAGCCGAGATCGTGTCATGGCACTCTCCAGCCTGGGCAACAGAGAGAGACTCCATCTCAAAATAAAACAAAACAAAAGAAAAGAAAAAATGTAAGTAAGCAAGAATAGCCAGGGAAACCTTCAATAAGAACAGCAATGAAGAGGATGGAAAGTCCTATCAAATTTAAAAACATACTATCATGCGGAATGATTTTTATAACATATTAGAGACAACCCAAATTCTCATAACTCACAGACTGGCTGAATAAACTACAGTGTGTTTACTGCACTCATTACTAGGCAGTCATAAGAAAGAATGAGGATGGTCTATGTGTACCAATAAAGTCTATATGTATTGATAAGTAGACCTTCCCCATTCATGAGAAAGAATGGGGAAAAACCTGCAAAGTGCGGGCTAGTACATTTAGCATCCTATTGTTTTTTGTATGTATAAGAAAAATGGGAAAATAATAATAACTGCAAGAAATGTTCAAGTCCACTCAATACTTTTGATAGCATTATAACTTTCAGTAGGCTTATGTATAGTGTAGGATAAAACAAATAAGTATATAGCTCAATATTTGTAGCAACCAAGATTTTTCATGTAAGGAAAAAATTACAGTAATATGAAATTAAAGTTAAGGGAAAAAACTGTATTGTTTAATTTGAATTTGAAATATTAACAAGCACTGATATTTTTAAAAATCTGTACATATTTTATATCAATTCCCACAAAGAGCCTAAGAACAATGACACTCAAGTAATAATCAACACCCCAACACCTAGATTTTGCTTTCTAAATACCATTCCCCATAAGAAAAAAGATAAGACTTCTCTGTGAAATTGCTAATCCAGGTCTAGAGTAGAAAAAGTACAAAGTGAGTCTGGGATATCTTCTTGCCCCAGAAAATAAGGAAGTTCTCAGAGATAATGGGGGGATATCAAAAAGTGCAGAAGGCAGCTTGAGGGGCTCTCAATGGTCAAATTCAGTTTCAGATGAGCATCAAAAGAATACTGGCCATAGTCGATTGAAACACACAAAGTCAAGGAGTTTTTACTGACACAGGAAAAGAGAGAGACAGAAAAAATAAATGAAAACTCACTTGCCACCACTAACAGTGATTATTATACCAAATCCTTATTCTAAGAATTGATAACTAAAGGGGAGAATTAAGCAGTTACCCTGCTTTTTAGGATGAACTATAGTTTGTTAATGATAGAAAGCTGTTTTTATAGAAAAACGCAAGCTAATAACTATGGGAAGTATAATAGAATTTAAAAGTCACCATTTGGAAACCTCCAGTGAGGTAACTGTTTCAGGCAAGGATAAACAATAGATGATAAAATCATTAGATGACTGGCTGATGGGGAACAGGATGTTCAAATGGTGCCAAAATTCACTCCCACAGATTATAGGTAAGTACCAAAGAGGGGAAACAGCATTTTAATCAGGTGATCAAACTTTAGCATCACTAATGGTAGGACATGTTGCCTTGCATGCCTTTTGATGTGATGCATTATGAAATACAGAGCATCACCCATGCAGGATGCTTGCAAGCATGCTTTAACTTGTGCCTAACTAACCCTTTAGATGCAACTTTTGGTTTTCATAAAATAGAGGACAAAGCTAAATGGCACCATAATAAAACAACATAAGAAACCCAGAATTTGGAACATTCTGTAAGATGATTGGCTTGCCATCATCACAAAAGGCAAAGTAAGAAAATACTTACTGTGGCAGGGCATGGTGGCTCATGCCTGTAATCCCAGCACTTTGGAAGGCCAAGGTGGGTGGATCACCTGAGGTGAGGAGTTCCAGACAAGCCTGACCAATATGGTGAAACCCCATCTCTAGTAAAAATACAAAAATTAGTCAGGCATGTAGGCATGCGCCTGTAGTCCCAGCTACTCAGGAGGCTGAGACAGGAGAACCACTTGAACTCGGGAGGTGGAGGTTGCAATGAGCCGAGATCGCGCCACTGCACTCCAGCTTGAGTGACAGAGCAAGACTCCATCTCAAAAGAAAAAAAAAACTTACTTTGAGGGGACTCTTCTAGATTAAAATAGACCAAAGAGATATAACAACCAAATGCATAAACCCTGACTAGGCTCTGGATTACTGAAATAAAGGCATTTGGGGAAATTTGCCTTTCCCCAAAGGGAACACCAGTTTGATGTTAGAGAATTCGTGTTAATTTTCTTGAATAGGATAAGCATATTGAAGGATGTAGGATAATGTCTATTTTCAGGAGATTCCTGCTGAAGTATTTAATTGCGAAAGGGCATGTTGTTTACAATTTACTTTAAAATGGTTCAACTGAAAAAAGGAGGACAGATAAAGCAAATATGGCATAGTTTTACAAATGCTCATTGTCTCATTCCATTAACATTTTTGTATGTTTGAAAATTTTAAGGATAGAAGTCAGGAAATTGAGAAAAAAATGACAGATTGATAGTCCCAAGATTTTGGATTGGGCAGGTGTTCAGTAATTTACCAAGAAAAAGAAGACATGATAAAATCAATGACAGAAGGCAAGGTTGGTAGGCTTAAGCAAGCAGGTCTTAATTGAGGAAGAAGGACTACCTTTAATTCCCTTCTTGCTTTTCTCTTCCATGTGAGAGGCTATTCAGGCCAAAATGAGAGTGTGGGGCTAGGGAAAAGGCCAGAAGGGTGCTAAGAAGTCTTAGTGAACTTTCGCCTTGAACTTAGACCTGTGATTCAGCTCCAACCACCAGAACTAAGACATAGAACCTGAGTTCAGTAAACAGACTTAAGGGCAGATTTATAAGGGCACAATGGTAATGGTTGGATGTGCTGGGGAAGGAAGTGTCATGAATGATTCTAAGTTTCTAAATTATTCAGTTGGGTAGATTGTGTTGCCATCACCGAGATACCCTGATCCTACAGGGGCTGAAAAAAATTGAGCTTAACCAACAAACACATGAAAATCACTGAGGCCTACAATTGAGTATTAAAATTACTTGAACTAGTCAACAAGATTCTAGTCCATAAATAGAAATTGAAAGTTTAAATTGCAACTGTCACGGGATCCCTGGGGTGTCACTTCACCAGCTGGAAACATCTGTGGCTGGTGTCACCTTCTACCTGAGTATTGCTGTCCATGGAGCTTGTTCTACCTACTCAGCCCAGCAGGGTGTGCTTGGCTCACACCTGGATCCCAAACCTGCCAAGGGCAAGCCAGGCAGAGAGCAGCAAGGGGTTGTGAGCGAGTGAGCACAGGGTCCAGCCATTGCGCACAGCCAGGTACTCTGGCTGCTGCAGCAGGGTTGGCAGCTCCAGGCCATGGCATAGGTGCTGGCTCCATGCAAGGCTGCAGCTGGACCAAATTTATCACACATGGCTTCTGCTGCAGGCACCTGCATCTGGACTTGGGGAATGTGGTGGTGCCTGGGAGCTTGGAGACGCCGGGAACCACAGAGCCCCCAAAAGGGTGTCACAGCCCTGTCTTGGGGAGCCCCTAGATCTGGGCTCCCCAAAAGTCCATAGCTCTTCTGTCCTTCTCATCACCCACAATGTGGTGAGCAAGGGTTGTGTTACAGCTATTTCAGTCCCATCATTTGGCGGGTCCCAAGTTCTTGTCCTGTGTCTAGGAAGAATGAGGTATGTGGACAACTGGAGGGTAAGAAAGGCAGAGAGGTGCTTCATTGAGTGACAGAACAGCTTTCAGGAGACCCGCAGTGGGTAGCTCCTTTCCTCAAGCAGGTCATCCCAACAAGTTGAAGAGACCTAAAGTGGGTAGCTCCTTCCTACAGCTGGTAGTCTTGATGTCTGTTTGAGTCTGTCTGGGTCTGGCGTTTTTATGGGCTCAGAAGGGAGGAAGTGCCTGCTGATTGGTCCATGGGTGGCTATGGGGAGGCCCAGATAAAGCAACATAAATTCTCACTCTGGGCCATGGACTCCACCCAAAACTGACAGCCTGGCTCCCAGGCTTCAGGCTATCCCTGGCTTGAAGGTGGGGCTTCACTGGGTACTTGCCCCTTTCTGCCCAGGAGCCTATCTACCTCTTGCCACCATCAACATGTTGTCCATGGTGCCCAGGCTGCTTACGTTGAGGGGTGCCTGCAAGCCTGTGCTGAGCCACCCGCAGCCCTCTCTCTACTTTGCTCCCATGCTCGTTGGCACCTGAAGTACAGAGGGGGCCGAGGCAGCAGGGGAATGCTGTGTTAGTGCCACCCTGAACATGCTTACATGCAGCCAAGCTCAGCCACAACTTTTGCTCCTAAATCAGAGCACGTGCTGGGAGCAGGGAGAGGCCAGGGAGTGGGAGCAGGCCCTTCCGAAACTGCAAGGGGTGGTGGTGGTGGGGGCTTCCCGAGTCCCCAAGAGCAGAGGGATGCCCAATTCTGGAGCCATGGCTGAGTGGCTGCAGCTGTGCCCAGGAGCATGGGACTCCTGTGCCAACTCGGTAGGGGGCAGGGCTTCCACCTGTTCCCAGTTCTTGCTGGCCCCTCAGAGCACACAACTGCAGCCACACCTCCCTTGCTGCAGCTGGCGTCTTCGCAGTGGCCCCTCCAGATGGGCCACGGCTGCCATCATAACCTCATTAGTCATTAGGGAAATACAAACTGAAACCATAATGAAATTGGGTGTTGTGGTGCACACCTATAGTACCAGCTACTCGGGAGGCTGAGGCAGGAGGATCATTTGACCTCAGCAGTTTGAGGCTGAAGTGAGCTAAGATTGCTGTACTCCAGCTGGAGGACACAGCAAGATATTTTCTCTGAAAAATAGAAACCATAATGAGACATCACTACATACCTGCTAGAATTTCTTGGTGTTGACGGCACAGAAAACAATTCCCCAAAATATGGCTCTTTGGCATGCTGAGTGCTTTGAAAATTAAAAGGCCCCAGGTATGAGCCTGAGAACCAAGGTTTCCCTGTGACCTTCTCCTGCTCCATCTCTCTGATTCTCTGTCTCTCCCAAAGCGTAGGATGACGTTGTTCTCTGAAGGTCCATTATCTACCTAGTAACTGGACCCCCCAAAGAGAAACACGATTGGCTTCAATACTTACCTTGAAATTTCACTAAACAGAGATTAAAACTCATATCATAGCGGAAAAGACTAAACGTTAAACACCACAATTAAAACCCAGGCAAACTTCATCCCAAACAACTGTTTGTTCTCCAGTCCCATTCAATTCCCAAAGATAATTATTTACTTACCATTGTCTGAGCATTTGGCCCATTCATTTCCCCTAAAAATCATTTACTCCTACATCCCCATCTCCCCTTTCCTATGAAGAAGGGCATGTAAGTTTCTGCTCCCCACTGGGCTATTGATTGATCATTCTCCCGCTATCCCTCCACGCTATGCACATTAAACAACGTTTCTGCCTTTTTCTCTTGTGGATCTGCTTTTGTCAGTTCATTTTCCATGAACCTTCAGCGGGGGAAAGGGGAAGCTTTCCTTCTTTGCCCCTACAAGGGCAATTGTAAACACACACACACGTCATTATATTTCTAAATATATATATAATATATTTATATATAATTATTATATATTAATTACATATAATATATAAATATTTATTTATATAAACACATATAAATGCATAATATATAAAAATTTTCATATAAATATATAAACAAATGTATATTTGTATTTTATATAAAATATGTAATATATAATCACATATATAATACACATTATATATATCATATATCATATATTACACAAATAACATATATGATATATCATATATTTTATACATATATGATATATCACATATTTTATGCAAATATGATATATCATATATTTTATGCATATGTGATATATGTATATTTTATGCATATGTGATATATGTATATTTTATACATATGTGATATATGTATATTTTATGCATATGTGATATATGTATATTTTATACATATGTGATATATGTATATTTTATACATATGTGATATATGTATATTTTATACATATGTGATATATGTATATTTTATACATATCTGATATATGTATATTTTATACATATGTGATATATGTATATTTTATACATATGTGATATATGTATATTTTATACATATGTGATATATGTATATTTTATACATATGTGATATATGTATATTTTATACATATGTGATATATCATATATTTTATACATATGTGATATATCATATATTTTAAAAAGACAATATTAGGTTGTAGAGCAACTGGAACTCTGTGTTGCTGATAGGGACGCAGCAATGGCACGGACAAAAAATCTGCTTGGACTGGGAAGCGATTAGCTGTCACCTGTTAATCATGCACTAAGCAGAGAATGAACAATCCCATTCCTGGGCATTTCTCTGAGAGAATAAAAACACCCAGAAACTGTGAGCAAATGTTCGTAGTGACCTTTGTTCAAAATTTCTCCAAACTGGAAACAAACCAAAATGTCGGTGAATGGCTGAACAAAATATAATGCATTCATGCAATAGAATACTACTGAGCAATGAAAATGAATGAAATACCAATCAATCCACACAACAGAATGAATAAATCTCAAAACCATTATGCAATGTGAAAGAAGCCAAACTCAAAAGGCAACGTGCAGTATCACTCCATTTTTATGACATTCTAGAAAAGGCAAAACTATGGGGCCAGCAGGTGGGGGATTGAATTGACCATAAGGCAGAATGAGAGAATTAATTTTAGGCAGAGAAGAATGATGGAGCTGTTCTGTATCTTGATTGTGATGGTGGTTATGAACCACGTGCATTTTTCAAAACACATAGAATTGTTCATTATAAAAGAGTGAATTTACTGTATGTAATTACAGTAATCTTTTTTTTTTTTTAAGTGAAAATGCAAATAACTGTGAGCACCAACACTGGGCTAGAGTCCAATGACATTAAAATGAGGTCAATTAGCCAACAACCTCCAGGGGTTGGTGTCATGACAATTCCTGATTTTGGAGAGCAAATGTTAAGAACTGTGGAGTGCTGGGGGCTTATGGAGGGCAGGGAAAAAGCCTGCAGATGAGATAGGCAGGAGACCAGCTGGTGAGGCTTCCTCATGTGGCTCAGGCCAGCCCTGCTGTAGTTCATCTGGGCACACTTCAATTAAACTATTCATTTGCTAATGCTTCTTAGGGTGCTGTTTATCAGCAGCTCTGTTGCCAAGCCCTGAGCCCCAGGCTCTGCAATATCTTGGGGGGGCACAAAAACTTATTTTCCTTGATTTGCCACTAAAATATTCCCCGACCAAGATGATCCATCGTAGTTATATTGAACACTTAAGCCAATTCTTGCTTAAGTGGAAAGCCTCACGCAACCTTGTCTTAAAATTCCTTGCTGTGGTGCAATCTGTTGGGAGATCTTGGGACGTAGTGTCTGAATTCTGAGGTTCCGTCCAGGCCACATCACTGATCTATGTCCTCTAATGTCTCATTGGCAAGTATCAGTTTTCCCACCTGTCCACTGGAAATAGTTGCTGTTCTGAGCAATAAAGCACATTCTGTATGGGTAAGCAATTTGTAAACTGAAAAAATGTTATTTATGCAGAGAAGCGGGGGCCCAGGCGTCAATCCCCTCAGACGCGACACGGGGCCCCCTCGACCCTCCTCTGGATTGTTCAGAGCCTTTGTTCCATCATTTTTACATCTGTGATATGATACTGCTGCCTCCTCTGAAGGATCGGTGGTTCCCACTAATGCAGCCCCTAACAATGGCTTCGATGAAAGAGGTAAGCGAAGAGGCCAGAGGGTCTCCGGAAAGAAAGGAAGCTTGTAGCTTTTCAAGTTCAATGAGGCTTAGGAGGTTGGAAGGCTCTCCAAATAAAGGCCTGTTTAAAAGAACGCCAAGGATTCAAAGCCCGTTCTTTTCCCAGACCTCTGACCACTTTCAGCCATCCCGGGACGTGTGTGTTTACCCATGACTCCCGCTCCCTTCTCGAGTCGTTATTCCACTCCCAAGCCTGGATTTCTGAATCTGTGATGACACAAATGGAATTACCTGGAAGGTCTCACTGGGGTCAGCCCTTGGAACCCAGGGCAGCAGGTGCAGCCCGCGCCACTATTCCCAGCCCCAGGGACTTGATATATGCAAATGCGGGGGCCATCAGGCCAGGGACAATAGAGCCTCTTAATCCCCCCAGGCAATGGGAGGGGGAGCACTCTCGTCCACACCCCTCCCCCCTTGCCAAAGCTGAACTCGAAATGGAGCATCCACAGAATGGAGATCTCCTGCACAAGCCAGGGATTCTTTTTCCTCAAAGAGCACAGCTCTGGAGTGAGCTCTGTGAAGGCAGCACAGATGCCTGGAAGGACCCTCTACAGAAGCCTTTGCTCCTGTGTGTTTCCGCTGCATAGCCCAACCAGACCTCCATCGCCGGCATCAGCCCCCAAGGGCTTTCTCCTGCTCTCCCCAACTAGCAGCAACGCCTCCAAGCTCATGCCTTATTATTTATTCCACCGAAGCAGAGGAGTTGACAACAGCAAAATCTCTGTTCTTATCCTACTTGGCTGTGAACTCGTAAGTCACTCCCCTCTTAAGTGGCTGAGACAGTGCTCCTGATCCCTCAGAGAATCCAAAATAGACATAAGGCGGCTTCTATCTGTCCAAAAGGTTTAAGTCTCTACTTCCAGCACCCTGGGAGGCATGGTTTCTGTCCCAATATTAGGTCATGGAAACCCCTCTCTTTTATGTTCACTTTTTACCAAATGAAGTAGTGCCTACCAGGTTGGGCACCTTGGGTAGGAAAATGGAAAATGCATGGTCACTGACACCCACCCAAAAACGATTTTGCCTCCTCGGGGCTCCTTTCCCATCCAACTTAGCCAGTAAACCTTCAAAGTGCATACATTTCACTCTCATGAAAGAAAAAGTGAAATGCAGGCTGCATACAAATTAGGAAAGTTTGCAAAGTACAGTCTCACACTGTTCAGGTTTTACCCGTATTTCCAGTTCTTTCTTTGTCTTCTGTCTTCCAGACACTTAATGAAGCCAGCTCCTTCGCTAAACTCCATGTTCACTGTTGCGGGCTGAGGTGAATACTGTATTTCCAATACCCTCCTCTTTGAGGCTCTTACCTGGATTGCATTCTCCTTTTCTGGGCACACAGCTCCCTTTGAAACTGGAGGAAGTGACATTAGATAAATGCTGAGGTCTCTTCTAGGTCTGAGATTCTGTGAATCTGGAATTGTTCAATGGCCATGTTTAATCTCCCAGTGTGTATTTCTGATACTATCTGCAATTCTTGCTCTACCCCAGAAACAGTAGCGGAATCCTTCTCACCTAGCAGAACTTGAGATATGCCTTTTGAGCTCCAAAACTGAAAATATTTGTCCTATGCCTTCTCTTGTATTTTTTTCCCTCTCCTTTCTGGAAGACTTGTTGCTTAGACACTACTGGTCTAATCTTTGCCAGAGGAAGCTGTAGGCTTGCCTGGGTTCAGGTGCTGGGACTGGGATATTGTGATCCTCTTCTGGGCAACCTGGCTGTATCTAGGTTTGAGCCACAAACCAGCAGCCTCTTGGGGAGTGCTGCGGAATTGCACGGAAGTTCTCCTCCCTCCACAGAAAGCTGCAGAGAGATGCCAGGGACTATGGCCCACTTGCCCTCCTGCTATTCGGAGAGTCAGGTTCATTATTTTCCAATGTTTTCAGATTCAAATTATCATGTAAATTAGAGATAGGAAATCACCATTAGGTCATTTTTCCTATCCTCTCAGGGGCTGAAGTGGGATCAACGTATGTTCTCCAGTTCTTTGTTCTCCCTTGTGTTAAATAATGTAAGGAATGGGGCTTCTATTCTTGAGAGAGTATTACATATTCTAATAGATTTTCACAGTTAAGAAGGCCTTTCATCTTTGGCCCAAAGTTTCCTTTCTTTACATTTCATGACTTCATTCTTTGGAGCTCTTTTTACTGCAGCCTCTCCCTTTTGGGGTTTAGACCCTAAAGATACATTTCTTAGACTTGGTTCTCTGAGCAAGCCTCCTGAGCCCAGACTTTCTCAAATGGGAAATAAATCCAACCCAACCAGATCTTTCCCTCCTGGTGTGAATGGAAAGTATTATAGAAACAGAGTAAGGAGTACTGCAGACCCAGACCCCTGAGGCATCGTGGATCAGAGATTCCACTGAAATTTTTCTCTAGATGTTTTATGATTCAAACAATATAATTTGTTCTGTTTCATTCGAAAGAGCCTGGAACACCACTCAGAAACACCTCCTTTTCTTTGCTGTGTATCACAGCCCCCTTCTTCTGCCCCTGTTTCCATCTGGGCATAAAAGTGGTAGTGAGGGAGAGAGAGTCAAAGGCTTGTTGAGGTTGTATTTCCCAAAGTTGTAGGTAAAAGATTTCAAAGACCTGTGTCTTTCTTTCTAAACTTTCCCTTTCTTTCACTCTCTCTTCTTCCCTTCCTTCTTTCTTTCCTTCCTTTCTTTTATATTTTAGAGACAGGGTCTTGCTCTGTTGCCCAGGCTGGAGTGCAGTGGCATGATCATATAGCTCACTGCAGCTTGGCACTTCTGGGGTCAAGTGCTCCTTCGCCTAGGCCTCCCAAACACTGGGGTTACAGGCATGAGCCACCGTACTAGGCTCCTTCTTCATTCCTTTCCTTCCAAATGTTATTCAACATCTTGCCGTAGCAAGCCCCTTTTTCTCTTCCAGAGATACAAAAGAAAATAAGAAAAACAAGGTACTTCGATGAAACTTGTACTCAATTGGGGAGAGACAATAATTGAGTAGGCAAAAAAAGAAATAATTTCAGAGAGTGTCAAATGCTATGCAGAACATCAACTGGGTGATTTCATGCACAGTAACAGGCAGCAGGGGGTGGGAGGAGGGCACTGAGAGAAGGAGCTTCCTTAGAACTGGTAGCCACAGAAAACCTCTCTGAAGTGGCCTTTGAGCTGAGTGCTGAACAAGGAGGATCCCCCTATGTGAACCCCTGGGAGCAGAGTGCAAAGGAAGTCTCAAAGCCCTTGAGAGAAATCGAAGTAAGGAAGTAGTAGATGAAAAATAAGTGGAAGGCCAGTGTGGCTGGAGCATACTGAGCCAGAGGTCAGACCAACAGGCAGAGACCAATTGCATCAGCGGAGACCATTGTAGTCCACAACAGTGAATATGAACTTCACTGAAAAAGCTAATTCTTAGCTTTTTTCTTTGGATATGTCCCATAACCCCTTTGGCAGTTAATTTGTTATTTATGGCCAGGTAACAGATTGCCCCAAGACTTAGTGCTGTAAAACAACAATAATAATGTATGATCTCACAGTTTCTGTAGGTAAGGAATTCAGGAGTGTCTAAACTGGGCAGTATGGCTCACAGTCTCTCATGAAATCTCAAATTTCAGTCATCTGAAGGTTTGACGTGGGTGGGAAGTTCTGCTTCCAAGGGAGCTCACTCCCAAGGCAGACAGGTGGGTTGCTGCAGCCTATGGCTGTAGTTGGAGGCCTCAGTACCTCTCCACTCTGTAAGTGGCCTCATGACATGACAGCTGGTTTCCTCCAGGGCAGGTGATTCAGGAGAGCAAGACAAAGCTGCAACATCTTTTGTGACCAAACCTCAGACATGACACACCATTATTTCTGCAGTATCCTGTTGGCTACACAGATCCACCTTATTTCATGTGGAAAGACTCTATGAAGGGCATGGATCCAGGGGGTAAGGATTGAGGGCCATTTGAAGGCTGCCAGCCATAGGTCTGTTTGCTTCTCTGTGCTTTAAGATACTCAATCTGGATAATTTCTGAGGTCTTTTCTGACCCCAGTATTTTATGGGGATAATTTCCATGGATATTCATGTTCTAACAGGGATTCTGGTTTTTGTCATTACTGTTGTGCATTAAGGGCATGAGAAGATGGGAAGAAGAGTAGAATGTATCCCTGGCACCCCTTAAGACAAACCACAAAAAATGCTACTAGGCTTCCACTGAAGGTGAAAATCCTGACTATAGGGATGAGGGGGCTGGGGCGAGCTCTAGGCTTTTATGACTTCCCTAATTATGATGAACTTTGCAAGATTGAGCTTGCTGAATATTCTGACATACCAACGTTGCCTTCTCTATTGCTCCTGGGACTTCTCCAAGCCACATGCATACCAGTGTTATCAGCAGGGAAGTGTTCTGAGGGGGCATCCTGACAATATGGCATTGTCCTGTGGGACTTATAATCAGGTTCCAACAATGACCTTTTATCCCGTTTGTTTTTCGCTGGGTTGGTGGATGCGCCTCAACACAGGCTTATGGGGAATGTTTGGGCACACCTGCTTCCACACTGCTTTTCTGTCGTGTCTCCAAGATTTCTGTGCATTGCTTTCCAGCCATGATTGGCACCATCCTGGCTGTGTCCTTCAGATGGAATGTTGTTTTAGGGAAGTCCGGGGGCTGGGGTAGGGGGCAGGTTGGCAACGGAAGTCCTCATGAGCAGCTGTGATTTGTGGCAAAGAATGTTTCATAGTGGAATTTTCCCCAGCACAGCTCCTTCTACAACTCAGCATGGGATGGAATAATGTTGTAAAAACCCAGAGAAAAAAGAAAAGGATATTGTACACCAGCCAGGGTTAAGGGGAAGAGATCTTTCAAAGTTACAAAAACATTCTAAAGGAAATGCATCATTGAATCACATATGATTATTTAGAAAACCTGATTTCAAAACCTGATGTCTTACTCTCTATGTGACTTAGGCAGGGACACAGAATCTTCGTGTTTCCTCATCTATCAAATGGAGACTAATCTTTATTTGCCTAACAGCGTTGCTGTGAAGATCAGATGAGAAGTTTATAGTTATTTAAAAGGACATTTGAACACATTAATAGCTGCAGAGGGGGAGGACATATCGTTAGGAACAAAGCTTTGCAATTCACTAGCTCTAGATTCAAATTCAGGTTCTGCAGTTTAGCTGTGACTTAGTTTCATGCTTCTCAAACTTTCTTGTGCGCATGAATCACCTGGAAGCTGTGTTAAATTTTTGCATGTTCTGATTCAGAAGATCTGGAGTGAGGCCTGAGACTCTGCATTTCTAGGCAATTCCTGTGCTGCTGGTCCACACTGGGAGGAGCAAGGAGTGAAACTCCCTAACACAATGATTCTCAACTTGCATTGCCAATTTAGAAGCATCTGGGAGCTCTACAAAGTCCCAATACCCAGGTTGCATCTCAGATCAATTAAATAAAAATCTCTGGGGATAAAAGGCAACATCAGTATTAGTGCTGAGACTTAATTTTTTTACCCTGTAAATTAAAAAAATCATAGTCCTCCTTTATAGGCTTGTGCTGGGATTCCAGGTTTATAATACTCTTGCTGTATTCTGTTTCATTAAAAAAAAACTCTCAACAATTTAAAGGTATTGTAGTTCTTTTGTGTTTATAAAGCACTGTACATGTATTGTCTCACTAAATTCTCCAAAAAGTATTGTGAAATACTTGCATTTTCTAGACTTTGGGGGCTAAGTAGCCTAGATAAGGGTCCAGAGCTAGGAGATAGTATCACTGGGACTTGAGCCTAAGCCTCCTCCTGCATTTCAATGAACAACTTTGTGATTAATGCATGTAAACTATTACCGAAAATACTCTTCCTTAGGGTATAAATCTGCCTGGATATATTATCACCATGTATTAGTCTGTTCTTACACTGCTGTAAAGAACTACCTGAGACTGGGTAATTTATAAAGAAAAGAGGTTTAATTGACTCGCAGTTCCACAGGTTGTATAGGAAGCATGGTTTGGGAAGCCTCAGGAAACTTACAGTCATGGCTGAAGGCAAAGGGGAAGCAAGCACATCTTCACATGGCCAGCAGAAGAGAGAGAGAGAGTAAAATGAGAGATGCTACACACTTTCAAACAACCAGATCTTGTGAGAATTCACTCACTATCATGAGAACGGCAAGGGGAAAATCCACTCCCATCATCCATTCATCTTCCACCAGGCCCCTCCTCCAACACTGGGGATTACAATTCAACATTTGGTTGAGGACACAGAGCCAAACCATATCACACCAGAAAGGTCAGCCGTCGTGACTGAATTTCATTCACTTGGCCTCATACTGTACCCAGTGTGTGGAGGTGTGGGTCACAGATGGAGTTTACTTCCTTCCTTCTCTAAAGAGAAGAGGGCACTTTGGATTTACAACTTGAAACCTGTGTCTGTCTCCCCAGCTTCAGACACTTGATCTCACTTTATTTCAGAAGAAAAAGTGCCAATATAGGGTTCCATGCAGGGTGAAGCAAAGAGAAATGGCCCTTTTGGTGGAGAGGATTCCCTTTTGCTCCTCAGTTTTAAAATGGTTAAATAGCAATTTGGGACCAACAGAGCATCCCCTGCATTCATCCTGACTTGCTCCTTCTGTTTCTTTACCTTCCCCTCGAGGAGGGAAAGAACTTAAAGACAAGAGAAGCAAGTGAGGAGTCACTTTAAAAAAATCTTAGATGGATGATGGTCATCCACCTTTATGGGAGCTCTGAAAAGATGTTTGTTTTTTGTGTTTTTGTTGTTGTTGTATTTTTGAATTTGTAAAAGGGGATGTGGTCCCTGCTTGCTCTAGGGCTGAGGTTAGTCATGGAACTGGTGACTTCTGTGCCCATGCTGTAAAAATCACGAAAGCAGCCTACTAGGATGGAATAATTTCAATTGGGATTTTAAAAAGTGCCTGAACATTGCACAGAAATATATCATCAGATCCCACTGAAGGCTGGCATGGCACACTGTAAAGATGCTCTCAAGGGATTTAGGGATTGCCTGCCGGAATGTTCCCCTTTCCTGTTTCCAGCCCAATGATTGAGTGAAATGACTTCGGAGGGAAAAAAATCTTCCGTTTGGCAACTGCACCAAGTAATGGATAGAAAGCGGTATTTTGGATGTAATTGATGCTTTTTTTTTTTTGAATCGATAGACACTAGGGGAGTTCTCAGTTATTTTTTAAAAAGAATTTAATGGAAATACCTCTGTTATTTTAAAAGACTTTGGAACACACAACAGAGGGGAATTTATCTTTTAGTTGCTGACAATCTAATGTATGTTTCTTCACCTGTCATAGGCTTAAGATAATGAATCCAGAGCTGAAGAGGCTGGTAATTTCTTCTTGGAGATTATCCTTATTATGAAACAACATTTCCTCTTTCCAACAGTGCAGAAATATTTAGCACACTTTGGGTAGTCTCTTTTGTTCTGGCTTGTTCACCAGAATACCCATACGATCAATTAGTGGATATTTTGATTAGGCCAGGAATAGATGCTCCATCCTTATAGGTGGATAAAACCATCCTTCCTCCCCAAGTAGCAAAACCTTTTGAGATGGGAGAGAGCAAGCTCTTGGCTCCCTTGCTGTGTCGTTCAAAGTTATTGCAATGTCAGATGGGCTGAAGTTGTGCAATTGAGGCCAGTTGTCAGAAGATGAGCATATTGGTTCCCAAGAGGAGATTATCATGAGAGTTAGGGTACTCTTGGCTGATCGCCCCTGGCTTAATAGTGGGAACAGAGGTCATCACAAGACAGCTGGTCCTGAGCTCATGGTAAAATGCCTTCTGCCTTCTGCTCTCAGTTGCCTGGAATAAGTATACCTTTGGGAAAGTGTGTACATATTTTTTGCACTTGATTGCATTTTTGTACATATGTTATAAAAGAGCTGTAGTGTTGAGAGCTTTGTGAGGGTCACCCACAGTGAGTGTAGCCCCTTTTAAAGGTCCAAGAGTGGCATCTAAGCACCATCTGAAGACAAGACCCTTCAGAGGACCTGGCTGATAACAGGTTTCTTATTGGTGAGGAAATTATGAGCAGTGCAAATTCTTTTGTATAGGCAAATTTCCTCATGGATTATGGGCTTATCTTGGGAGGGAGAGAAAAATGCACTTCTTTCAATTTGTGGGATGAGGCCTGGGAGTCATAATTTGAACACACAAGAAATATGATCTTAAGCTGCACCCTAAGCCAGTGAAGTGGGGCATATCAATTATCCTTGACTATGGAGTAGCCAGATTTCCCAAAGGCATGTTTAATCAAGACAGACCAGCACACTTTCTTTCCCACTAACCCTCCAACATCTTTTTCTTTGCAAAGTTTTCCAGTGGCAGCAGCTTTCCAATATTTACTGACACACAAACCTTGAAGGTCATTGTAAGCCTGTGGATTTTTCTCCACGTGAAACATCCACTGGAGGATTTTGAACAGAGGAAGGATATATTCTGACTTATATTTTAATACAGTGTCACTCCCACTATTATGCAGAGACAAGATGATTATGGGGGCTGGGGAGTCAGGGAGAAAGCTGGAAGCAAGGAGACTGGTTAGAGGTTATTACACAATCCGAATAAGAGATCATGGCAGTCTGGGCTGAGTGGTTGCAATGGAAACGGTGAGAGGATCCGATTCTGAGTATGTGTGTGGCACAAATGTCCGTGTCCTACCTCTTCCTCAGACCTTATCTTAAGTAATGCAACAGACAATTCCAGCTTCCTGTGTCTGCTTGTTCATGTCTGAGAGCTTTTTCTCAGGAACTCAGAAGGTCACTTTGTCTACAGTGCCTCTGCAAAACCACCACCCGGGATTCACTGGGGCATCTGATTTATTGACCTGGGACCCCACCTGACATTGCTTCTTACCAACGGACCCACTTAACAGTAAAAGGGGAGTGAGGCAGGCACGTGGCCGTGGAATCGCTGCACCACATCGTACTGCCTGATGGAACAATAAGACAGTCTCCTGAAAGGCAAATCCAGATTCCCAGCTTAGGGGTGACATCCTGTGGTGTACACAGCCCTGTTTTTCAAGATGTGGAATATACTTCAGTGAGTCTCAAGCTGTGGACCCTGGTCCTAGAGCATCAACAACACCTAGGGGCTTGTTAGAAATGCAGAATCCTTGGACCTGGCCTCAGACCTCTGTATTAGATTCTCCGAGGTGGGGCTCAGAAATCTGAATGTTAACAAGCTTTCTAGGCATTGCACACTGAAGTACGGGAAGCACTGCATTATATGGTGTCAGATCAGATCCGCAATAGATGGAATACATATGGCCAGGAATCGAAAGTGGAAATGAGGCCGGGCGCGGTGGCTCACGCCTATAATCCCAGCACTTTGGGAGGCCAAGGCGGGCAGATCACCTGCGATCAGAGTTCAAGACCAGCCTGGCCAACATGGTGAAACGCCATCTCTATTGAAAATACAAAAAATTAGGCCAGGCGCAGTGGCTTACGCCTGTAATCCCAGCACTTTGGGAGGCCAAGGCAGGCGGATCATGAAGTCAGCAGATCGAGACCATCCTGGCTAACAAGGTGAAACCCCGTCTCTACTAAAAACAGAAAAATTAGCCAGGCATGGTGGTGGGTGCCTGTAGTCCCAGCTACTAGGGAGGCTGAGGCAGGAGAATGGCGTGAACGCAGGAGGTGGAGCTTGCAGTGAGCCGAGATCGCGCCACTGCACTCCAGCCTGGGCGACACAGCGAGACTCCAACTCAAAAACAAAACAAAACAAAAAAAAAATTAGCCGGGCATGGTGGCACATGCCTGTAATCCCAGCTACTCAGGGGGCTGAGGCAGGAGAATCGCTTGAACCTGGGAGGCAGAGGTTGCAGTGAGCCAAGATCGCACCACTGCACTCCAACCTGGTGACAAGCATGAAACTCTGTCTCAAAAAAAAAAAAAAAAAAGTGGAAATGAGAATGGCCCATTTCCCCAATCCTTCCAGTAACCCACTTTGGAAATTTGTGCTTCCAGTTCCTGCAACTTTAGGCTCTGCTGGATCAGACGCCCTGATTCCCGGGAGAGAAATGGCTCCACCAGGGGCACACGGAAGGGTCCCACTAAATTTATAGCTGATACTCATAGGCTTTTTATGCCAGTAGATCAACAGGTAAAGAAAGGAGTGACTATTGGCCCTAATTATTTTAAGGAAATAGGGTTTCTGCTACATAATGGGGATGGGAAGGATCATGTCTGAAACACCAGGGAGTTAGAGCAACCATAGCTTGGCAAGGGAAAGGGCATGATAACCTGGGACTCAGGCTCTGTTGGGGAGAGGGTCTAGACCACCCCACTCCCACCAGGGAACTGCTTAGATCTAAGCCAGTGGAATACTGGTTGAGAGGAAGATGAATCTAGAATGGGTGGTAGAAGAGGAAGGTAATCCTTGTCATGAAAGCCTTGTCTTGCTTTTTTGCAGGAACAAACAAAGAAAAAAAAACTGGGACCAGCCACTGCCCTGGGGAACAGTGGCAGGGTGGAGTGATCTGAACATGAGGCATGAGAAGAACTGAGTGACTACAGTGATTGGGCTATAATAGACTCTGTCACTGGCCCAGCTGTAATCCCTGGCGCCTGCTGCTTCACTGTGTTCTGCAGGAGTTCCACTGCCCTGAATCTCTGACTCTGTGCCCGAGGTCTTTTTCTGGAATTGTGGAAGGTGCTCTGCTATGTGGGAAACAAGCTGGAAGTTCCGGGAATCACACTTCCCAGAAGCTACACCCAACCAGTGATTGACAGGAGTTGAAGTAAAAACATCATGGCTTTCTTACCCCTTAAGTGGAATATTTTATACTATTTTTCAGAATTTCCCCAAGGAGTTAAGCTGTAATTGCCCATCACGGCAGCCGGGTTAATAAGGTATCTGTATCTGCCAGAATTAAATGAGACGGCAGAATCACATAGTAATTTGAGCAGGAAAAGCTTAATATAAGGAATTATCATGTAATTATAGAGTTGTTCTATAATTATGTAATATTATATTCTAAGCTCCTCTTATACAATATAGGAGAGGATTTGCAGTAACAAGGGATTAGATAGCAAGATGTAAGAGAACTCTGAAGAATATAGGACTAGTGGATATAAGGAACAGCCACTACCCCTGGGGCTGAGGTGGAGCACTCCAAGAATTAAAGAACCTGGAATAAGAACACCTCACCTCACTCACGGCTCACTGGATGGTGGACAAGTCCCTGAGTTGTGATGCTGTAGAACTTTCTGGAAATTTGCCCTCCATATTTTCAAGGGAAGATGTCAAAGAGAAGTTTCATCTCTCAGAAATTATCTCAAAACCTTCTTGGGGATTACCAGGGAAAATTGTCACAGGAGACTCCATGAGGGGTCATGTCACTCCTAGGCTGTTCAAGGGAGTTCTGGGGGAAGCTGGGCACTGCTGGTCACAACAGGTTGTAAAAGCTGGGCCCTGGAGAAGCTGTCCGCACTGCAGGAGACTGGGTGCTGCTGGAGTTGCTGGATGAGCTTAAGGCATGTGGGGAGAGGAGAACATTAGAACTAGGAAATGAAACCTCTCTCTATTCTACTGTCCCTCCAGCACCCTCTACTGTAAACACTTAGCATTGTGCCACCTGGCACAGGAGAAGTCTTTACAGGGCCCGTCTATAACATAGCAAAGCAGGCAACAAAGGGTGAACTTGGAGTGGCTCACATGTTGCTCTATGTTGACTTCTTCCCTTTCCTTTTTCATTCCCCTACTCCCCTTATTGGTTTTCCTTAAATTCTAAATAAAATACAGTCATCCTCAGTATCCAAGGGGGATTGGTTCCAGGCTTCTCAGAGAATACCAAAATCTGTGGATGCTCAAGTCTCAGTTATAAAATGGCGTAGTATTTGCATATAATCTACACACGTCTTCCCATATACTTTAAATCATTTCCATGTTACTTACAATACCTAAAAAAACGCTACATAAATAGTTGTCATTGTCAATTACTTTTTATTTTTGTATCGTTATTTATTATTTTTTTCAAATTTTTTTTACTGCCTGTTTGGTTGAATCATGGATGTAGGGTTCATGGATATTGAGGGCTGACTAATCGCACTTGACTTTTGACTCCGTGTTGGCTTTTGGGTAAACCCAGACTACATTTTGAAAGTAAAGCCAATAAAATTTTCTAATGCATTGTATTTGGGATATGAGCAAAACAGAGGAGTCAAGGATGCTTCCAATGTTTTTGGCCTAAACCATGGGGAAAATTTCATCTTTATAATATTAAGTTTCTTAGTTTTAATACTGAATATGATGCCTCCTTCCAATTTCCCTGTAGAGCCCTTTGCATCTTTCATTGAATTTATTCCTAAGCATTTAATAGTTTTGATGCCATTGTAAATGATATATTTTTTCTTTTTCTTTTTTTTAAAAATAGGGTCTCACTTTGTTATGCAGGCTGGAGTGCAGTGGCACGATCTTGGCTCACTGCAGCCTCGAACTCCTGGGTTCAAGTGATCCTCCTGCCTCAGTCCCCCAAGTAGCTGGGACTACAGACATGCACCACCAGGCCTGGCTAATTTTTTTGTATTTTTTGTAGAGATGGGGTTTTGCCATGTTGCCTAGGCTAGTCTTGAACTCCTGAGCTCAAGTGATCCACCGGCCGTGGCCTCCCAAAGTGCTGGGATTATAGGCGTGAGCCACCACATCCAGCTTGTAAATGGTATATTTTTAAATGTCAGTTTCTAAAATGTTTTGTTAGCATAAAGAAATACAATTGACTTTTTAATACCAAGCCATCTTGCTAATTTAATAATTTAGTTCTAGATCTGATTTAGACTTTATAGTTGTGCAATTGTACTATCTGTGGAAAATGACAATTTTTCTCTTCCTTTATAATCTTTAGCTTTTTTTTCTTTTCCTTGGCTTTTTGCAAGATAATGGGATGTCCAGTGTGGTGTTATATACAAGTGGTAATTGTAAGTGTCCCTGTTCTGTTCTTTTTGTTTGTTGTTCTCAAGCTCAAAGAAAAACAACTTTGCTATTTCGTCATTGAGTATGATAACACTTAAACTTTACTTACTGTAGGATTATTGTACATAATCTTTATTGTATTAAAGATGTTCCTATTTTGCTAAGAATTCAAATTTTGCTAAGAATGTTTTTATCTCAGAGGTAATGATGAATTTTACCATATACTTTTTCTGTCTCTGTTGAGAGGATAATTAGATTTCTCTTCTTTGTTAATTCTCTCCTCAAGGTCATGCTGAATACCAAATTTCCATATAAACCCTAGGAAGTGATGAATTCTCTAGACTAGGATCTTTGCAAAATTATCTAGGGCTTCTATCATTTGCCTCCCCTTTCTATCCCTGCCCCCTCTCTCCTAGACCCTTTAAATGCCATATTCTTTTGGGAGGACAATTGGACAATTGGCATATTGGAGGACATATTCTTTTTTTTTTTTTTTTTTTTTTTGAGTTTTTTGAGACAGAGGCTTGCTCTGTCCCCCAGGCTGGAGAGCAGTGGTGTGATCTCGGCTCACTGCAAGCTCCGCCTCCCAGGTTCACACCATTCTCCTGCCTCAGCCTCCCGAGTAGCTGGGACTACAGGCGCCTGCCACCAGGCCCGGCTATTTTTATTTTTTTATTTTCTTATTTTTTAGTAGAAACGGGGTCTCACCGTGTTAGGCAGGATGGTCTCGATCTCCTGACCTCGTGATCCGCCTGCTTCAGCCTCCCAAAGTGCTGGGATTACAGGCGTGAGCCACCGCACCCGGCCTTGGAGGACATATTCTTTTGGGAGGACAGGATGATGCTTTCTTCCTAACCTCAGTGTTTATAGCATTAGCTTTAGGTTTGAGGTCCTTTAGGCTCTTAGCCTTTGAGGATTCAAAACTATTTTCCTTTCACAAAAGCTCTTGTTTATAAACAAAGTTTTAACTTTCAAAATTATTTTACCCTTTTACAGTTTTATAAGCCAATTTTTGGAGTAAAAAGTGAAGCATTTGACTTTTCATTTTCAGAATTTGTTCCTTTATTGGGCAGCAAACCTCAGCCTCAATATGCATATTTCTTTGTATTTCTTTTCTATTTTGGGGGACAGTGTCTCATTCTGTCACCCAGGCTGGAGTGCAGTGACACGATCATGGCTCACTGAAACCTCAACTTCCCTGGCTCTAGTAATCCTCCCACCTCGGCCTCTCGAGTAGCTGGGACCACAGGCACCTGCCATCATGTCCGGCTAATTTTTGTATTTTTGGTAGAGACAGGGTTTTGCCATGTTGCCCAGGCTGGTCTCGAACTCCTGAGCTCAAGCGATCCACCCTCCTTGGCTTCTCAAAAGTCTTAGGATTATAGGTGTGAGCCACTGTGCCTGGCTAATGTGTATATCTCTAATGTCATTATGGAAAACAAAAAATGAATCAGTGAGCAAAACATAGTAAATGTTTTCAAAATATTATATTACTATTTGTTCACTTTCATGGGAATAAGTTGTGGCTCAGGTAGGAATGTGCAGCAATTGTCCAAGTGACAAATGATAGTGGCTTGGTCTAGAGATGGCAGTGGAGAGGAGAGAAATGGTTATGTTCAAGGGATCTTTAGGAAGCTGAATCCATTTAATCTGGTCTCTGATTACATTTGTAGAGCACTGAGTATGAGGAAGGAATCAAGAATGGTGCTTGATAGTCTGGATGGTTTGGGCGTCTGGTTTCCTCAGAATTGGAGGAAGAACATCCTGAGTTTACTTTTGGATATATTGAGGTCAAAGTGCCTAGAGAGACGTTCATGTGAACATGTCTGCTAATCAGTAATATTAGAGAGAGAGGGCTAATGCCTCAGAGAAGAATTGGGGTGACAGGTAAAATCTGGTAGGAAAAATATAGTTGTGAATTGAAGCCACAGAAGTAGATGGAATTGTCTAGGGAAAGAAGATAGTGTGAAAAGAGGAAAAAACTGGGGGCTGAACCCTATAGAATTCCCCCTTTTAAATTAAAAATATATTGAAGTTTTTAAAAATCCAGTTACCAAATTGTATATACTATGTCATATAATTTTTTTAAAAAAATCATATGCTTAGGCTGGGCGCGGTGGCTCATGCCTGTGATCCCAGCACTTTGGGAGGCCGAGTTGGGCAGATCACGAGGTCAAGAGATCGAGACCATCCTGGCCAACATCGTGAAGCCCCTTCTCTACTAAAACTACAAAAATTAGCTGGGTGTGGTGGCACACGCCTGTAGTCCCAGCTATTCAGGAGGCTGAGGCAGGAGAATGGCTAGAACCTGGGAGGTGGAGGTTGCAGTGAGCTGAGATCATACCACTGCACACCAGCCTGGCAACAGAGCGAGACTCCATCTAAAAAAAAAAAAACAAACAAAATAACAAAAACTATATATATATGTATATATGCTTACACTTAGAGTTGATTTTCACCTGATATATACTCAACAGTGTAAACAGTGAACAATCGTAGGTTAATGCCCATGCTATAGTATTTTGAACATCACTCACTTATACAGTAGAAAAAAAAAAAGACTGGAAAGACAAACAGTAGTTCTATCTAGTTGATAGGATAAAGGATAACCTTTCTCTTTTTACTTCTCTATATTTTCTAGAATTTATATTAAAAACATATCTTTAGTCCTTTGTTTCCAGGACTTTACTTTAGTACTAGGGATGAAGTGTGCTTAAAATATAAGACTTTGGAGTTAGATCCATTATTCTAAAGCCTACTTGATCATCAAAATCAGCAGAGGAGCTTTTGTACAATGACTAATCATGTCCCAGACCAGATGTGGGGAATCTGAATCTCTGGATGGGACTCCCAGTTAGCAGAGTTGCCCCAAGCAACCAATGGTGATGAGGTTGGGGAATCTCTGGGCTGAATTGTTGCTAACATTCAGTCTATATATTTCATGATGTCTGTACTAGAATGAGATATTTTTTAAAATGGCAAAAACAAGAATGTCTCTTAATTTTGTTTAAGAGATGGCGTCTCGCTCTGTCACCAGGCTGGAGTGCAGTGGGGCGATTATAGCTCACTGCAGCCTCAATCTTCTGGGCACAAGTGATCCTCTGGCCTTAGCCTCCTTGGTAGCTGGGACTACAGGCATGAGCCACTGCACCTACCTAGCTAATTAAAACAAAAATTACTTAAAGATGAGGTCTTGATATTTTGTCCAAGCTGGTCTTGAACACCTAACCTCAAGCAATTCTTCTGCCTTGGCCTCCTGAGTAGCTGGGATTATGGGCATTTCTTACTATGCCCAGCAGAAGTTTTTAACTTGTAAATATTCATTGATCTTAATTGTAAAATGAGCTATAACCTTAAATACTGACTAAAGGTCAAAGTAGACTATTATTCTTATTATAGATTCGGTGTGAGATTTCTTTAAATAGTGAGACCTTCAAATTTATAGGTTAATTCGTCCATATTTCTCAGGAGTACATCTGAAACCTGAATCCTAAAGACGGACACACCTGGAAGCATGCGGTAGGTTTGACTGACGCACTAGCCATACCCATCCCTAACATGGAGAAGAGCCATCTATGCTCTGCGATGAGCTGAAATGAAGAGTCGAATTGCACCTTTAATAAGTGGTCCAGACAAAGTATTTGTGTTCACTGCACTAAGTTTTTGGACATGATAAAAACAACTTTAGATTTTAGCTGAAAAAGATGGAACATACATTGTTATTTTGTGTCAATGACCATTAATTAGAACAATTTAATAGAATAGCTCCAAAAATAGCAAGCAAAAAACCCTCCAAAAAGAAAACAGACACTCAAGACTATTTGTCTTTAGAGGCAGCCTCAGGTAACCCTATTTCAGCTGAGCTGGTGCAGAGCGTGAGGGTGAAACATGGCAGATTCTGGCCGCATCCTAGCATGACCTGGCTATACCCATGTACAGACCTTCCCTGGATCCAGTACATCAGAACTTCCAGACCTGGAGCCTAGACATTGCGTGTTTTTAAAATTCCCCAGGTTATTCTAAAGAGCAGTCAGGATTGAGAACATCTGAACCTCAACACACTTTTTCCTTCCCTCACAGATTTGCTGTCTCATACTTTGCTACTTAATTCCGGCCATTTCTAACATTCCTCCTCTATCTCTTGGTAGCAGATTGAGGCCTGGGTCTACGGGGGCAGAGTGGGTACCAGGGACAGTTTCATGGGCCTGTGATGTGTGCTTGTCACACACGGCCCCGTGCTCAAGAGGACCTCATGTTTGGTTTTATGTTTCACTGCCATCCCGTCATCTTGAAATTCCTCATTTTACTTTTGAACTTCCATTTTGTAAGTGAAGTCCAAAGGGACAATGGAGCATGCTCATGAAGCAGAGATACACGCAACCTGCCACCCCATTTATATAGAGTGTTCACCATGCCCCATGAGCACAGAATTCTGGTAGGCCCACCATGCATGGGACTCAGCAAGACTCAAAGTAAGTACAGGCTATGTGTGTTCTGTTTACAAATGAGTAGTCAGGGGCATGGAAATCCCTGAGAGGCCATGCTTTCCATTCCAGCCAGAACTTGCTGCAAATGGAGAAAATGGACAGCAACACATTGAGAAACACACACAACTAAGGAATTCTATTATAAGCTTTCTTACTTATATTCCTTCCCTGTATTAGCCAACCATTTATGTTGAAAATGATGACATAAAAGGAAAGAAAAAGTTCATTTTCCTTTCAGTCCTTTCAATTTTTTCACCAGAAAGCCAAAGGTGGAAGTGAAATAAAAACAGTTGAGTTACTCTTGTGCAGGATTTCCCCTGTTCCGATAAGAACAAAATACATATGCATGTGCAAGCTAAGAGATATGCTGGGTGTAATTTTGGTGATTTCACCTAGGAGTTAAACACCATTATAAGTTGCATTTTTAGTTTTTTTTTAAATTGACACATAATTGTGTATATTCATGGGGTACATGGTGATGTTTCAATACATGCAATGGATAGTGATTTGATCAGGGTAATTAGCATATCCATCATAGCAAACCTTTACCATTTCTTTGTGTTGAGAACATTCAATATCTTCCTTCCAGGTATTTAAAAATATATAATATGTTATTATCAATGATAGCCATCCTACAGTGCTCTAGAGCACTGGAACTTATTCCTCCCAACCAGCTGTAATTTTGTATCCTTTAAGATATCTTTTCCTATCCTCCTTACTACATCCTTCTCAGTCTTTAGTATCCTCTGTTCTGCTTTTTACTTCTATGAGATCAACTTTTTTTTTAGCTTCCACATATGAGTGAAGACATTCAATGCTTAATTTTCTGTTTCTGGCTTATTTCACTTAACATAATGTCCTCCTATTCCACCCATGTTGCTACGAATGACAGGATTGCATTCTTTTTATGGCTGAATAGTATTCCACTGTGCATATATAACATACTTTATTTATTCATCTGTTATTGGATACCTAGATTGATTCTATATCTTGGCTACTGTGAATAGTGCTACAGTAAACATGAGTGTGCAGATATTTCTTTGTTATACTATTTTCCTTTCCTTTGGATAAATTCCTAGTAGTGGGATTGCTGGATCATATGGTAGTTCTACTTGCAATTTTTTTGAGGAGTCTGCATACTGTTCTTCGTAGTGGATGTACTAGTTTACTGTCTTACTAACAGTGTATAGGAGTTCTGTTTCCTCTCTATCCTCACCAGCATTAGTTGTTTTTGTCTTTTTGCTAATAGCCTTCCTAACTGGGGTGAGATGATATCTCATTGTGGTTTTGATTTGCATTTCTCTGATGATTAGTGATGTTGAACATTTCTTCATATATTTGTTGGCCATTTGTATGTCTTCTTTCGATAAATGTCTGTTCAGATCATTTGCCCGTGTTTTAAATTGAATTGTTTGTTTTTTTGCTGTTTTTGCTTGAGTTCCTTGTATATTCTGGATATTAATCCCCTGTAGAGCGAATAGTTTACAAATATTTTCTCTCATTCTGTAGGTTGTTTTTTCACTCTGTTGATTGTTTCCTTTACTGTGCACAAGTTTTTTAGTTTCTATTGAAAACTGGCATTGCACAATACAAAGATGATTGTTAAAATTTATGACAACAATTTAAAGTTTTAATTTCTCTTGACAGAGTGACATTCAATAGCAAAAAATTAAAAAAAAAATCATGACAAGTTGAAAGAGACCGTGGGATAAAAGAAAAAGCACTTTTTCTCCACTTTTTGAACAAAGAGTTCCACACTTTTATTTTGTATTGAGTCCCGATAATTATGTAATTGGCTTTGGTGGGGGCCATTGGAAGTCAACTATGAACAAAAGTGCCCCCCTCCCTGGCCCCCACTTACTTACTTTCTCACAAGCTCCAAGAAGCCTGGCTTGAGGGACCACAGGCCCACAGCCTCCCAAGAGCCAAGAGTCACTTTTGGTAGCAATATGACCCAACGGCAGAAAATGCCAGGACTCCAGCTCTACCACTGCTAGAATCCTGACTGACTGTTTCCAGCCGGCCCAGCCTGCAGTCAGAGAATGATAATGAGCAGTTCCCTTCTGAAGATGAGCTAAGTATGGGCAGGAAGGGTAATCATTAACAGCTCTCTTGTGGATACACTAAGGCCAGCAAAAATGTCTGCAGACAAGTAATTTGACTGCATGTTTTGACAGTAAACTCAAACCAGACAGAAGGTGGGGAGGGTTGGGAAGGGAGAAGCTATGAACTCTACTGGGAGAAAATAACTGGGCTCCTTCATTCTCCTTACCCCAAGAGGAGAGCTTCAGAGACCAAACACCCGCATGGAGACAGTGTGGGCTAATGGGAAAAACCCTGGACAGTGTCAGGTTCTGGGGACTCTAGCTCAACTCTGCTGCTGACTGGCTGAGTGACTCTGGGCAGTTCTAGCAGCCTTGCTGAGTCTCTGTTCTTACCCTCATCACGTTCTCATAAGCCTGAATTTATCCATATGCTTAGGATGCAGTGATTGGAAGAAGAACTCAGGCTTCAGCCACCACTTTCCTGCCTTATCTCGGAGTGGAAGTTTGCCAGGGTAGCAGCCCTCAGTTTGGGCATAAATGGGTGAATGTGCCAATAGATCTATCAGTCTGAGGAGATGAGCTCTCTCCCAGGCACAGGCAGAAATGGGTCAGGCCTGAATGGCAGATCCCCTCAGGCACCTGCTGTAATTCCTGAAAGACTTAAGCTCGTTTCATTTTGAGCTCTAACTGTCTGGACTAATTATCCACTTTTAGAAATCCACAGATTAGCAAGTGTGGTAAGATACGTTGCTCAGGCCTAATATGGTCAGTCACCAGGGAACTGAAGAATGTAAACTAATATTTTCCATCATAGTTACTGACAGGTGATATTCGTGTCAGCCAGCTCTGAACCCTCACTCTTAAGAGCAGTGTTGCCTCTGCCTCCGGTCTTTGCAGAGGCCTTGGTTTCCTGTGGAACCCAGAGCATCCCTTTAGCTTGTGTTATTTATTGATTTCTTGCTGGAGATATTATTTTCAAAGTACAGATTTGAACCTCATAGACCAGAGTCTATCAATCCAACAGTGTTAACTAAGCCGCTCCTCTGCATCAGGAACTTCCTGGCTTACAGAGAAGAAGTCTGAATTGGCCTTTGTCATAAAGCAGTGTTTCTCAATTTTTGTTTTATTATCCTCACTTAAAGAGAAAAGTTAAATTTTATTTAAATTCTCCCCCCAAAAAAGAAATTAAGTACTAAGGAATAAAATTTAGGCAGGTAGGGTTGAGCTTCAGAGGATCACAAACCAGTGTACTAAGATTTATTTATTTATTTTTTTTTTACACTTCTTGAGAACCAGTTCTCACCATCCTGGGAAGAATATCCATCGTCCCTAGTGAGAAGGCATCCCACACAGAACCCATTGGCCTGATCTTCTTAGGAGAGATAGGAGAAGGGGCAGAATTGCAGGATGATAAAAGCCCAGAGTTTGGAATCAGACTCCCAGGGCTTTATTTGGCATAAATGCTTCTTGCCCTCAATTTCTCCACTTGTAAAATAGTCTGATAATGGTTCATTCCTCATAGGGTTACATAGGATTAAGTAAGATAATACTCACATAGTACTTAGTAAAATACCTGGCATGAAGTAAGCACTATAAATCATACTTTGAATAACTGATAGTTTGGGGCCAAAATCTATATTAGTTATCTATTGCTACATAACAAGTTGCCCAAACTTAGCAGTTCAAAACAGCAAACATGACCTCACACAGTTTCTAAGGGAAAGAAATCCAGGACCAACAGGGAAAGAAATCCAGGTATAATACAGTGTCTCTCTCCTGAGGTTGCAGTCAAATTTAATTGCCTTGGAGACCATTGTCTTAGCACTGCTACTCTATATCTTAAGTGACAAAAGAAACAGCACATCCAAATGCAGCATAACCTCCATAAAGACATTGAAGAGGACCTTAATTGTTATATAGGTTGGTGCAAAAGTAATTGCGGTTTTTGCCATTAAAGTAATGACAAACCACAATTACTTTTGCACCAATCTAATACTTTTTTTTTTTTTTTTTTTTTGAGACGGAGTCTTGCGCTGCCGCCCAGGCTGGAGTGCAGTGGTGAGATCTCCGCTCACTGCAAGCTCCGCCTCCCAGGTTCACGCCATTCTCCTGCCTCAGCCTCCCAAGTAACTGGGACTACAGGTGCCCGCCACCATGCCTGGCTAATTTTTTTGTATTTTTAGTAGAGACAGGGTTTCACCATGTTAGCCAAGATGGTTTCGATTTCCTGACCTCATGATCCGCCCACCAAAGTGCTGGGATTACAGACATGAGCCACTGTACCTGGCCCCCCTTCCTTTGTTTTCTCCACTTGATGAGTGCCTATTAGCTCTCAAAGCTCAGTTTAAGCATCTCATTAGAGTCCTGAAATACCCCTTTCATACTTAGGGCAGTACTCCATGCCTCTCTTCATGCTGCATATTTTGATTTTGTCTATCTGTCTCACCTGCTAGTTCATCTCCTCCTTGTTCACCTCTTGGTCTCAGTGCCTAGTAGAGTGTCAGCTACATAGTAGATGCTCCTGACCTTGTGATCCGCCCGTCTCGGCCTCCCAGAGTGCTGGGATTACAGGCGTGAGCCACCGCGCACCCGGCCATCCATTCTATTACGTGGTATGTTATATCTTGTTTTTTGAGAATCTGCTGGGGAAAAGTACAAGAAACGGCTGTGCTTTTCTAATTTGCCACTTTAGGATGCTCTGAATTATGTCATAATCAGATTTTGCTTTTTACACTGGCATTGGCATCTAGAAAGCAATTTATCACATGTTAATTGGAACTTATCATGTGTTTGTGTATTAGTTTCATGTCTGGTTTTACCTGATGTCCCTTTCCTTTTATTCTCCCTTTTTCACTCTGTCCTTCTTCAAAGTTCTTGTTTTATTTTATACATTCTCATAAACTTTCTTAAAATCTTCCCAGAACAAGACAACTAATCAGTAAGTAAGCAAAATAAACAACAGTATAATTATGTATATATAAGTACATTAAAATGTGGCTAATCTAAGAATACATTTGAAGAAATAGTCAACTATGAAATAGAAATAAACAACATCATTAAGATAGCATAAATATGTGAGCAAGTTAGCGGCAAATTTAACAACATGTGCAATATCTATACATCAGGAAGTATAAAGCATTGCTGAGAGAAAATAAAAAAGACAGGATAAGAAGGCTCAATATTATTAAAATAGCAATTATGCCAAAATTGATAGAAAGATTCCACACAATCCCAATCAAACTTACGAGACATGTTTTAGAAATTGATGAGCTGATTCTTTTATATTAAAATGCAGAGAACAGAGGATAGCCAAAAGAGTTTTGAAAAATAAAAAAATTGGAGGACATGTACTTCTTGATTTCAATATTTACTCTAAAGCTACAGTGGCTAATGCAGTGTGGTATTTGGTGCAAGAGTAGAAATATCAATGAACAAAATATAATAGAAAGTGTAGAAATAGATACAAGTATAAGTATCCAATTGATTTTGAGTAAAATTACCAAGATAATTCACTGGGGAAGGGTACTTTCAATAAATGGTGCTGGAACAATTGGGTAGCTGTATGTCAATAGATAGAAAGATCAATCAGTCTCAACTCTTACTTTACATCAGAGTTACAATTAACTCAAAATGGATCTACAACTGAAAAAAAGAGCTAACGCTCAAACTTGAGGGGAAAAAAAAAGAGTAAAAAATATTTGTGACCTTAGGTTAGGCAAAGCTTTCTTAAAGCACGAAAAGCACAAATCATGTAAGAAAATACACTGATACATTGGACTTCATCATAGTTTAAAACCTGTGCTCTTCTAAAAACACTGTTAAGAAAATAAAAAAGCAAGCCACAGGCTTTTTGTTGTTATTGTTGTTTGTTTTGTTTGTTTGGTTTTTTTTTGGTAACATTTGGACACACATACATTGCTAGCAGGAATTTAAAATGGTTCAGCCACTTTGGAAAACAGTCAGTTTCTTATAAAGTTAAGCATACACTTATCATTCCACTATTCAACTCAGCGATTCCTCTTCTAGGTATCTGTCCAAAATAAATGAAAACATATGTATACACAAACACATGGATGTTTAAGGCAACTTTATTGTTAAGAGCCCAAATCTAGAAACAACCAAATGTCTTCCAACTGGTGAATGGATGAGCAAATAGTGAGAATGAAGACAGAGTGCAGGGCAAGCCTAAGATGTGCTCTACGTCCTGTCCAGAAGTTCTTGGGGGCGGATTAAGCCCCAGCTGTCCTCAGGAGGAGCCCACTCTTCTGTTCGCCTTGCACTGGCTTCGTTTGCTTCCTTGTCTCACCCCTCTCTCTCTTCCTAGCACATCCTGGATCTCTCCCAAATAATCTCCTTGCACTTAGACCCTTGTCTCAGAATCTGGGACGATTCAGACCAAGACAGTTCCACTTGGGTGGAAGTTTTGGTTTGGTTTCAAAGCATTCTTTGACCCCTAACTAGCCCTAAGGGAAATCTGTGGTTAGGATTACCCAGTAACTTTTCAAATAGTGTGTGGCTTTGACCACAATAAAGACCGAAGTGCCAAGGTGACAAGTGGGAGCAGTGTTTTGCAGACTTTGCTCTGAACAGAAATCTGTCACTGTAACTAGGACTTTGGAACCCTTCCCTGTTACCGCTGTACATGTGACATTAGACATGTTAATGCTAAAACTGGGAAGAAATCAAGCTATTCATTTCACCCTCTCCTTGACAAAAATGGCCTTGTCTTTTGCTGGGTATAATTATAAGCAGCTTTCTACTTAAGTATCTAAAATTTGTTAAGCGTCTGCTATGTAGCTGACACTCTACTAGGCACAGAGACCAAGAGGCGAACAAGGAGGAGATGAACTAGCGGGTGAGACAGATAGACAAAATCAAAATATGCAGCATGTAGAGAGGCATGGAGTACTGCCGTAAGTATGAAAGGGGTATCTCGGGACTCTTAAGAGATGCTTAAACTGAGCTTTGAAGGGCTAATAGGCACTCATGAAGTGGAGAAAAGAAAGGAAGGGGGGCCAGGCGCGGTGGCTCACGACTGTAAACCCAGCACTTTGGGAGGCTGAGGTGGGCGGATCATGAAGTCAGGAGATCGAGACCATCCTGGCTAACACAGTGAAACCCTGTCTCTACTAAAAATACAAAAAAATTAGCCGGGCGTGGTGGCGGGCACCTGTAGTCCCAGCTACTCGGCAGGCTGAGGCAGGAGAATGGTGTGAACCCGGGAGGCGGAGCTTGCAGTGAGCCGAGATCTCGCCACTGCACTCCAGCCTGGGCGACAGAGCAAGACTCCGTCTCAAAAAAAAAAAAAAAAAAAAGAAAGGAAGGGCATTTTGGGCTGAGGAAATAATGTGTACAAAGGCACAGAGTGCCTCAGAGCATGGTGCATTCAGCCATGCAAGTTCTGCAGGATGGCTAGAGGGCAGAGGTTTTATGACCCATGAATGGGGACATGAATGGTGGTACAGATGGGGCAGGCTATTGCTACCAGACTTTGCCTCAGAAGCAATCCTGTGCACATGGGAGGCATAGATATTCACCAAAGAGGCCAGGTAAACATGAATTTCCCCAAACTGGAAATCCAGCTCAGTTCTCAGCCCTGGATGAAGTGGTGTGAACAGACTTTTCCTCTTACCAATAGCCAGGAACAGTATGAGGAGCCAAGGGTCACAGTCTTAGAACTGAAGACGCTTGGAAACACCTACAACCCTGCCAGCACTTCCCTGTACAGACTTTCTCAGTGGCTTTCCCTAAGGAAAGGGAGGTGGAGACTTTACTTCAAACTCCAGATCCACTTGTACTGTGCAAGTCTTTGCGGTATGGCCTCACCTGTACCACTCAAGAAACTGTGGCTCTCTTTCTTTCCACCACAGAGAGGGAGACTTTCTTCAAAGGTCTCTAGAGAGTTCCAAACAGTGACAGGGTCTTGGCTGCCTGTTTCCTGAGCTGTCAAACAACACCCTTTGGTCTTCACGGGGAGGACTGTAAAAATGACTCACACATTGCTGTCCATCTCCCATCTCCTTCTGACAACATCAATGGTTTCTGCCAGATGGCCATTATATGTTTTATGAGATCACAGGCAGTTTTGCCTGCCAAAGTGCTTGGATTTAGTATTTATGGAGTTAAGGAGATTATATCCTAAATGGCAACAATAGGCAAACACCAGAACTACACAATCAGATTCCTTGACATTGGTGTGGCTTCTTCAGGGGGCTCCAGCAAGGTTGCTATGTCTCAAACCTGGCATTTTCTCCAAATCAAAAGATGTTCACGCACACTTCGCTTGTACACTAAGCAACAATGTGCCAGATGAATGCCAGAGCTTCGGTAGCCACAAACCTTGCCACTACCTCTGTTTGGACTTTGAAAATTATAAAGGAGCTTCAGGGCTGTTGTTGTTGGCACCCAGAGGTAGAAGTGAGGTTTCAAGACACTGGAAGTGAGCACCTTATCTTCCCACTTCTCTGCTCAAAAAGGTAGATGCCAATGGAAAAGGTGCTTTTTTTCTTTCCTCCCTCTTTCCTTCCTTGTCTCCCTTCCAGGAGCTAATCATGACACTCAGGAGTATGAAGACAGGCAAGACTTGATCCTGGGCTCAAGAAACTTGCAGGCTCTTCATGGAGAAAGTGTAGACAAAAGCACCAAAGGGGCCTACTGCCCTTCTGTTCAAAGTGTGGAGACTGAGACCATCACCTGAATGCTGCTAGAAATGCAGAAACTCCTCCCCAGCTCACACCTCCTGAATCAGAGCTCGGTGCTCTAACCAGGTCCCCAGGTGACGCATGTGGACCCTAAAGTTGGAGAAGCTTGGATCTGTGCCTTCAAACCTGCAAGATATGCTCCCCAAAGCACACAGGCTGGAAGTAGAATGAGTAGTTCTGGAATAAAGGCGCTCAAAGCAGGTTCTATGGAAATAGTAGCCAGCTTTGACAAGAGATCAACATAAACCCAGTGAGCAGAGAAAAGACTGAAGAAATAGTCTGTACAGACAGTGAGCGGGACAGTAAAATCAAGTGAAAGGAGAGCTCTGGAGCTAGGGGAAAAAAAATCCAGATTCTAGACCCAGAACTTGACTTTATTATTACCTAACCATTTGACCTTGGACAAGAATCTCCATTTTCATCAGTGAAATGATGATCATGCTACCTGTCCTGCTGACCTCATAAGGTCCCCAGAGTTTCTGATTCAGCAGGTCTGGGTTGAAGCTTAATAATTTACATTTCTAATATTTTCCCATTACTGCCAATGCTGCTGATCTGGGAACTACACTTTGAGAACCAGGGCTCTAGATGCACAAGATAAAGATAAACATTTAGGCCAGGCCGGTGGCTCATACCTGTAATCCCAGCACTTTGGGAGGCCGAGGCGGGTGGATCACCTGAGGTTGGGAGTTCGAGACCAGCCTGACCAACATGGAGAAACTCCATCTCTACTAAAAATACAAAATTAGCCTGGTGTGGTGGCGCATGGCGCATGCCTGTAATCCCAGCTACTCAGGAGGCTGAGGCAGGAGAATTGGTTGAACCTGGGAGGTAAAGGTTCTGGTGAGCCGAGATCGTGCCATTGCACTCCAGCTGGGCAACAAGACTGAAACTCCATCTCAAACAACAACAACAACAACAAACAACAACAACAACAACAACAACAACAACAGAAACATGTACTGAAGCTAGGAACATTTATGACAGCCTGGTTTTCTTTGTTTATTTCCTGAGATGGAGTCTCACTGTGTCGCCCAGGTTTGAGTACAGTGGTGCAATCTCGGCTCACTGCAACTCCTGCCTTCTGGGTTCAAGTTGATTCTCCTGCCTCAGCTTCCCAGGTCTCTGGGACTACAGGCGCCCACTACCATGCCTGGATAATTTTTGTATTTTTGTTTGTTTGTTTGTTTTTGTTTGTCTGTTTGTTTTTTTGAGATGGAGTCTCACACTATCGCCCAGGCTGGAGTGCGATGGTGTGATCTCGGCTCACTGCAACCTCTGCCTCCCGGGTTCAAGCAATTATCCTGCCTCAGCCTCCCGAGTAGCTGGGATTACAGACGCCCACCACCATGCCCGACTAATTTTTTGTATTTTTAGTAGAGACGGGGTTTCACCATATTGACCAGGCTGGTCTTGAACTCCTGACCTCATGATCCACCTGCCTCGGCCTCCCAAAGTGCTGGGATTACAGGCGTGAGCCACCACGCCCAGCCTAATTGTTGTATTTTTAGTAGAGATGGGGTTTCTCCATGATGGCCAGGCTGGTCTCAAACTCCTGACCTCAGGTGATCCACCCACCTCAGCCTCCCAAACTTCTGGAATTACAAGTGTGAGCCATCGTGCCCAGCCTGATTTTCTATTTCTAAATGTTTCTTCCAGTAGTCCTGCACCCTAAGACCAAGGCCTTGGAAGGTGACCGCTTTAGTGTTCCAAGGCAGATGTGTGGCTTCTTAATCAAGGAAGTTATGTCTGGGAGGGGAGAAGGAGCCCTCCTGGGCGATGAAGCAAGTTCGAAGCAACTGGTGACCACTCTTTAAATGAGGACTTCATCCCTAGGGTCCAGTTAAATTTCAGCTAGTCCAGGGACTAACACCTCAAAGACCTACACAGCCCAAGTGAACCCAGGGTTTGAAGTCAAATCTCCAACATCCACCTATAGGAAAAACAACTCAGAAAATACTTTCCAGATATATATTTTTTTTGAGATGAGGCCATATCAGTCAGAAATGTAGAACAATAGATGAATTCCAGCCTTTCTTTTGTAAACATTTATTGAGCACCAACTGTATGCTAGACACAAGTTTTGAATGCTTCACCATGATGTACTCTTGAAATAACTTCCTAACAAAGAGTAAATCACCATACCCATGGCATCTCAGTTCTCTTTGCAAGTTCCTCTTTGCTTTCTTCCCGTTTGTATTATTCATTCTTTCTTTCATTCATTCAGCATCTGAGGCTGTGTTCTAAATTTGGGGCATGCACAGAGATGATTAAGACCCTGTCATTGTCTATGAGAAGGCCATAGAACAGCAGGGGAGATGAGGCACACAATGAATAATTATAGTGAAACCTAGGAAATAAGTGGTTTAGGAGGGTTACAGATAAAATGTCAGGGGAGTTTTGAGGCAGGAGAGATTACTACCAGCTGTGGATTTCATCGGTTCACAGGGAAAGAGTCTGGGATCAAATCTGGCAGAGGGAATTGAGTTCTCACTCCCCTTCTCTCAATCAATAATAACACAACTAAGGTTTCTGAACAGGGCCAGCAGGGGAGCCAAGTGGAGATGTTATGGGATCTCTGGGATGTCGATTTTTCTGGCCAGAAACCTCTGTGGCCACAGTGCCTTTGCCCGAGTTTTTTGTCCTGCGTTCAGGAAGAATGAGGTAGGCAGACAACTGAAGGATGAACAAAAATTTTATTTAGTATTAGAACAGCTCAGAGGAGTGGGTAGCTCCTCTCTGTAGGCCGGTCGTCAAGTTGAGTGTTCAACTCTTAGCAGAGAGGAGACCCAGGAGAGGATGGCTCCTTTCCAAAGGCAAGTCATTCCAACATCTCTGCAGGTCTCTAAAGGTCTCAGCGGAAAGGGTAGCTCCTCTCTGCAGCTGGTTGTCCCATCGTCTCCAGCTATCCGCAGAGAGGGTACTCTGGAAGAGGCCCTCCCTGGCCGGAAGGTGGGGCCTTACTGGGACCTGGCCCCTTCTGGCCAGGAATCAATCTGCCTCCTGCTGCCATTCATGGCCCTGGGGCTCAGCCCCAATTCCCCCTGGGAGATCAGAGCAGGCTCTGGAAGGGGAGAGAGGCCAGGCAGTGGAGCGGGCACTGCAGAGCTTGCAGGGATGGGGGGCAGGGAGAGGGTAAGGTGGGGGAATGGGTCCTTTCTGGAGACCCAAGGATGCAGGCTGCAGAGATGCCTGGGTCCTGTGCCGCAGCTGCACCCAGGAGCTCTTGCCTCGCCAACCTGGAAGGGGCAGGGCTCCTGCTTGTCCCTGGCTCCTGCCTGCTTCCTGGAGCAGGAGGCCCAGAGCACCTGGGAAGGCAGATCCTGCCTGTTCCTGGCTCCCCCAAGAGCACAGGGAGGCTCTGATCCACAACTACAGTTTGGGCAGCTTACTCTGTAGAGCAGGAGGCCTGGGTCTGCAGCTGCGTTTTGGGCGGCTGCAGTGGCACAGGAAGCTCCCAACCCAACGCAGAAGGGCAGGGCTCCCGCTGGCTCCATGGAGTGTGCAGCCCCAGATGTACTTCCCTGCTACAGCCGGCATGATGGCAGCAGCCACTGCCATCAGAGCTAGAGATGGGGGCCACTGTTGTAATATTCCCAAAGGGTCTGATTTCAAACCCTCTCTAGTTTCATGCAATGGGACATATTTTCTGGATCTCTTGCAAAGAAATGAAGATAGCATGCCTGGTTCCTTGTACCTAATCAGAACCTACTTGGAAAGGACTAATACCATGTTTTGTATGGGATAACAGCAGTCTTTCTATCTGAAGGGCATTGCACCAGGCCATCTGGGGTCTTCTTTTCCATTGACCATCAGGTATGTGATGGTCAAGATCTGAGAACTGGGAAAAAGTTCTGGGCTTCTGCAGAGGAAAAAGACATGGTCTCTGGTGTCACAGACCTAATTCATATTTCAGTATTTCACTCATTAATTTATTCAAAAGCCATTTGTTGAATACCTGCTAGGTACTGTCCAGAGCCCAGGTGTGGGAACACAGCAGTGAACTAGAAAGTGAAGGTCATTATGACTTTTTATCTTTATCAATGTTTCTTTGTATCTTATGCATCCTAGGGCCCTAGTTCTCAAAGTGCCGTTCCCAGACCAGCAGCATTAACAGAAATGGGAAAATGTTAGAAACTTTTTGACATTTGGCCCTGGCCCAGACCTGCCGAATCAGAAATTCTGGAGATGGGCTCAGAGTTTATATACCCTCACATTTTTTTTTTGAGGCGGAGTCTCCTTCTGTTGCCCAAGCTGGAGTACAGTGACACGATCTCAGCTCAGTGCAACCCCTCGCCTCCCGGGTTCAAGCAATTCTCCTCTCTCAGCTTCCCAAGTAGCTAGGACTACAGGCACCCGCCACCATGCCCAACTAATTTTTGTATTTTTAGTAGAGGCAGGGTGTCACCGTATTGGTCAGGCTGGTCTTGAACTCCTGACCTCAGGTGATCCACCCACCTCTGCCTCCCAAAGTGTTGGGATTATAGGCGTGAGCTACCACACTCGGCCAATTCACATTTTTGATTGCTCATCAGCTTGTATTTCATGGTGAGCAGGTAGAAAATAAACAAGAAAACAAATAAAGAACTACAAAGTGTTAAATGATGGTGACTACTTTGGAGACAAGAGAGTAGAATAATATTACAGAGAATGACCTGGAAGGTAAAGAGGCAGGTGTGGGCTCGTGAGCTAGACAGAGAAGGCCCTTCAAGGAAGAGACATTGCAAATGAACCCTGAATGATAACCAGAAGCCAGGTGAAGGCCAGAAATTCCTCACTGTGACCTCGAGAAATCTGACTGTTTTGAGTCTCAGCCTTCTTACTCTTGAAATGAAGACAGTGTTACTGACTTCACACGGTTGTTATAAAAATCAAAAGGCACAGAAACTACAAAGCACTTGGTTTCGTGCCTTCTGAGTCCTCACGTCCCTTTGTCTCCTTCCTTCCCCCTGAAATCAAACTTGGAGACTAGGTCATGACTCAGTCCTACCTCCTTGGAGGCACCTCCTTAGTACCTGCCTCAGGATCTTTGATGCTCTGAGCTCTCCTTGGGCTTCAGACAGACTTTGCATTCCCCAGAGGTCAGGAATGCAGTTGCCATCTGGCATTCAAGCAGATATCAGAAAGTATTTAGACTCTATATGTCCACATCTCAATCCCTAGAAAAGACAGAATCTAGAATACGCCAAATTGGTCTTCATCTCTTTTTGATGACAGATGAGCATGCTGGGAGATCTCTGATAATGCCCTTTGTACATATACTTTTTAAGTTAAAAACAGATTTTTCATTTATGGTTACAAAATGCACTGCTTTTGAGATAAGTGGCCTGTGTTGAACTGCACAGATCCTTCACAGACAGCTCCTGTTTTTCTGTTGTCTGTCTTTCCCGGGAACCTTGACTCACTTGTGTTATAGCAGGAAAGGCTAATTAGTACCAATGGATGGGGGCATTTTTCTAAGGTTGATAAAATGTTGCCAGGTAGGATGTCTTGCTGTCATTAGGGACCTCAATAGAGATCACACTCAGGTTTCAGGGTCTTCTCTCAACTCTGGCATGAAACCGTAGGAGATTGAAGAGGTGAGGGTGAGGGTGGAGGTAAGGAGAAGGACCACCCAGGGCCAAGGACATTTCTGTTCTTGGCAGAGCTGTGGCTGCAGAAAAGACGGAGGCAGACACTCTGGGAACTTACATATGAGGTAGGATTTCTGACGCTGAAGCACAGGTTTAGCTAACTCCACAGGTAAATGGAAGACAGAAATGTGAGCTCAGAAAACAAGAGGGCTGCTGGGAGAAACCAGTGTTCAGGGGCAGTATAGGATTGAGTTTCAGAACTCCATCCCACTGCTTGGGCTGAAATCTCAAGCACCTGCTGCCTACCAGCTGTGTGGCCTTCCTGTGTGGCAAGTTACTGAAAACTCCAGACTCCCATGCGGTGTAAAGGCCTTGCCCAAATGCTCTGCTAAGAAGCTTGGTCACACATAAGCCTGGCTCCTACCTGCACTGAGTCATGTCTGTAAGGGTGACCACAGCCCTCATGTTGACTCTTTGCTCAAGAAAACTCAATGCTGCTAAACCACCAATGTCCCAACCACTTTCAGTAATTCTCTACCTTTACTCACTTCCTGTAATTTTTCCATTTCTCTGTAGGCCCCTGCTCCCTATATTGGTTCCCTATTTTTTTTTTTTTTTTTTTTACTCTCCATGGTCCTTTTTTTCCCCTTTTGAAAACCTCAGTCATGACCAGGCGCGGTGGCTCACGCCTGCAATCCCAACACTTTGGGAGGCCGAGGTGGGAGGATCACGAGGTCAAGAGCCCGAGACCATCCTGGCCAACATGGTGAAACACTGTCTCTACTAAAAATACATAAATTAGTTGGGCGTGGTGGCACGGGCCAGTAGTCCCAGCTACTTGGGAGGTTGGGGCAAGAGAACTGCTTGAACCCAGGAGGCGGAGGTTGCAGTGAGCCGAGATCGTGCCACTACACTCCAGCCTGGTGACAGAGCGAGACTCCAACTTAACAAGAGAAAAAAAGAAAACCTCAGTCATCTTTTTCTTTGGTGGAGTTGAGCTCAATTCATATTAGAGTCTCTGTCCCTTACTGCAATCATCTGAATAAAATCTGTCTTTCTGTCTTTCATATGTGTCCAGGCTGTTTTCCTTTGATGATACTAACCATTGCAGAATGAGTTTCCTCCTCTGAAACATGGATCTCATTATAGCATGTACGTCATGATGAGAAATAAGCTGTGTAATGCAACGTCCACAAAATATATAGCCCGTGTTCTAAGTACTACTCAATACATGTTAGGTGAAATGATTGTGTTAGCTGTTATTACAGCAAGGGCAGTCATCTTGCCCGGAAAGATGATGGCATTACTTGAGTGTGGTTTGATCCGTTGTCAGACCTGGCTCAGAAAAGCCTCATGAATGCTGATCTGCAATTGGCAAGGTGTCTGGGAGGTGGAAGAGGGGAGCATATTGAGGTTCTTTGTCTTACACGGCCTCCTCTGTGCCGAGCTAGCTGGCCTTCTCTGCTATTCCTCTTACAAACCAGCTCTTCTGCCAGAGTGCTGAGATAACACAGAGAAATGACAGCTGTAGGAGGAGGAAGTGATTACATCCTATGTCCCTGTCCAGAGGTCGAATGTCTTTACCACTCCTCAGAAGAGACAGGAGCTCATTGACCCAACAATTTGAATCATTTGCAATTAAGGATGAAAGCTTTCTTCCCTTAACTGCTCATCCTGTGAAGTATGAGGTGAAAACTTGGCTGACTGAGGGGACAATGACTCTGCTTCCCAATAATGAATGACCCTGGGACCAACAGACTTTGGTGTCTTCAAACCCAGAGGGACTAAACCTCAGCAGATTCAATAAATGGGTCTTCACAGAGCTCTTCAGGGCTGGCAGACAGATAAAAGGGTGAAGGGTTCCATTTCATCATTCAAAAGATCCGTAGGAGACTGCTGGTCCCTCCCTCCAGAAAGCAGAAGGCGGGTGGAAACATGACAGTCACGTGGGTCATTTGTGAGGGAGAGGTGACTTTTACTCAGTAAGCCAGAAAATCAGAAAAGACATCCTATGATGGGCCTGGAGTCCCCGCCCCTTACCAGGCTGACATGCGTGGGAAGAACAATGTAGGCAGGAAAATGTGCTTTCTAAAGGGTCTCTCTAAATTCCTGCCTGTCCCTGACGGAGTGGTTTTCAAAATGCAGTCCCAGTACCAGCAGCATCAACATCATCTGGGACTTGTTAGAAATGCCAAGTCCAGGGCCCCATCTTGGAGCTATTGAATCAGAAATTCTGGGGGTAAGACCCAGATAAGATGTTTAAAGGGGTTCTAGGCGATGCATTTGCATACCCAAGTTTGACAATCCCTGCTCTAAGAGATTAGGGTCCATTCTCAGCATTTGACTTCTTCTTTATTTTTCCTATGATGGTTAAAATTTCTAAAAGCAATCAATCAGTCTCAAGCTCCTATCAATTAAACAGGAGGAATAGATTCTTGTTAAAGTAGGACCCCCTGAAGAAGATGTCGGGGAAAGATGAAAGCCAGGCGTGCACCTCACTGACTCCCAGTTCCTCTTCATGGTCACTGCTGCGTGGTCAGTACAGCCTTAGTGTTCAGCCACAGGAGGGCCCATAGATGAAAGAAGCCAGTGTCCAGCACCCACGGCTGAGCTGAAATAATATCACCACTCTCTCTTCTCAGGTCCTGGCCACTCCAAGCTGGGTTTTTAAAATTATTATTATTTTTAAGTTTATTATATGGTTTTCACAGACCTGGAAGGCTGAGTCCGAAATGATCTCTGACCACTCCCCTCATTGTTCCCTTTAAGAGGATGACATGGCTCCTTCTGAATGCTGAGAACCAACGGAGTGTTCTTGAAGGCAGCTGGAGCCTGGTCTTCAGGTGAGAGAGGGAAGAATGAAACTGGCTGCTACTATACAAACCTGATTAGTATCCAAAGAAGGCAAGGAAGAGGACAGACATTGAGATAGCAGTGCCCATCTCTCTCATTGAGGTATTTCTCCAATATCCTTTTGGGCTTGAAAACCTTTTACTGCATTAGGCTAAGTGAAATAAGACACAAGAGGATGAATTCTATGAGATTCCACTTCTCTGTGAGACCTAGAATACTTAAATTCATAGAGACAGAACATACAACAGTGACTACCAGGAACCGGAGGGAGGAGGGAATGAGGAGTTAGTATTTAATGGTTTCAATTGGGGATGAGAAGCAGCTCTGGAATGGATGGTGATGGTTGCACAAGAGTGTGAATGTACTTAATGTTACTGAATTGTACACTTAAAATGGTTAAAATGACATATTTTATTTGTACATTTTATCCCAACTGAAAATAAGTAAATAAAAAAACCCTTCATTGCCCTTGGACATTGCCTGACATCAAGACCCAGACCTTTTCCCAGCTCCACAGGCCCTGTGTTCTTTGCAGGCCTCTCCAGCCTCATCTCAAGAACCACATGCTCCTCTAGAACAGTCACTGCAGCCTTCTTTCAACTCCTTAAGAGCGCCATGACGCTCCTGCCCAAGGACCTTGACCCTTTCCTGTTTAACTGGCTCTCACTCTTCTTTGAGATTGTATCATAGGCATCTGTGCCTTGGGGGTGCCTTCCCTTATTATCTCTCTCAACCACAAGACTGGGATCAACCCTCCATCTTGTTTAATACTGTTGCCCTGGGGCTGAGCACAGTGTCTGGTCGCAAATAGAAACTTGGTAAAATATGTACTGAATGAGTAAATCAGGAAATTGAGAAATAGGGCCATTTCCCTCTCATTCCTGGATAAGAACCCCCTGATCTGGGAAGTGTGATTCAAGGCCAGAAGTTCTCAAAGTTTCTGGCATTGGGACTTTACACTCTTAAAAATTATTGAGGACACCAAAAAGCCATTGATCATGCATTATGTCTACTGATATTTATCACATTAGAACTAAAAACTGAGAAATTTAAAAAATGCAAGAATATACAGTGACACATTGCATTAACACTAGAAGAATGACATCATCACACTTTATTAGCCTCTAGAAAGTTCCACTGTAGACTCATGAGAGATGAGAGTGAAATAGGAAAATGACTTCTCAGTAGTATTATAAAAACAGCTTTAACCTCAAGACTCTAAAAGGGTTTCAGAAAGCCCCAGAGGTCCCCAGACCACACTTTGAAAATAGCTGTTCCAGGCATTTGAAACGGCAAGTCCCTTGCTTGTGGTGGTGTGCTCACGGGGGGCTTAGTGCTTGAGTTGGGCTTTCTAGAGGCACACAGGCCTGAGAGAATGGGGTGTGTGCTACAGGAGTCTACCCTTGTCCTCAATTTCACTTCCCACCGTTTCAGCTTCCAAGGTTTCAGTTACCCATGGTCGACCGTGGTCCGAAAATATTAAATGAAAAATTCCGGAAAAAAACAATTGACAAGTTTTCTTTTTTTCTTTTCTTTCTTTTTTTTTTTTTTGAGACAGAGTCTCACTCTGTCACCTGGTTTGGAGTGCAGGGGCGGATCTCCACTCTCTCCAACCTCCAACTCCCGAATTCAAGTGATTCTCCTGCCTCAGCCTCCCGAGTAGCTGGGATTACAGGAGCCCGCCACCATGCCCAGCTAATTTTTGTATTTTTAGTAGAGACAGGGTTTCACCATGTTGGCTGGGCTGGTCTTGAACTCCTGACCTCAGATAATCCACCCACCTCGGCCTCCCAAAGTGCTGGGATTACAGGCGTGAGCCACTGCACCTGGCCAATTGACAAGTTGTCAGTTGCACTCCATGCTGAGTAGCGTGATAAAATCTCTCATCATCCATTTCCATCCAGCCCAGGATGTGAATTATTCCTTTGTCCAAGGTAGGCACACTGTAGATGCTCCCTGCATGTAAGTCAATTAGTAGCTGTCTTGGTGACCACACTTAAAAAAATCTAAGTATATTGAGGGTTCAGTACTACCTGAGGCTTCAGGAATTCACTAGGGGTCTTGGAATGTGTCCTCCATGGATAAGGGAGGGACTACTGTGCTAGCAATACAGAAACTGGTATGACTGATGCTGAACTGTATTGTGTCAAGGGTGAGAGTGTAGAAGATCAACACATCCAACTGGGGCTTATTGAGTACTTTCCCTGTTCCAAGTATAGTTCTAGGCACTGGAAACATAAAGATACCTATGACACAGTTCCTTTTTTTTGTTTCTCCAAGGGCAGCTTCTGAAACAAGCAGAAGGATTTCTAGAAACATGACAAGGACCCTTCTTCAAACAACCCCTCTTTACTCACATGAGATAATTTCACATAAAGGGATTATCTACAAATACACTTCATGAAATCTGAAGAGTGGAATACGGTCATGCATGGTTAACAACAGGGATATGTTCTGAGACATGCATCGCTGGGCAATTTCATTGTTGCACGCACATCATACAGTGACTTACACAAACCTCGATGGTATAACTTACTACACACCTAGCTTCTGTGGTCTAGCCTATTGCTACCAGGCTACAAACCTGTGCAGCATGTGACTGTACTGAATACTGAAGGCAAGTGAAACACAATGGTAAATATTTCTGCAGTGTCTAGATATATCCAAACAGAGAAAAGGTAAACATAGAAAAGGTAATGTGTTGTCCTACACCATTTTGATACCTACAACGTCGCTAGGCCAGGGAACTTTTCACCTCCATTATAATCTTACGTGTATATGGTCCATCATTGACTGAAACATCATTATGTGGTATCTGATAGTACAGTTTTGCATCAGAAGTCAGCCTTGCAGAGTCACCGGCTATGTGGGACCAGCACATTTTCAGCCTGGCTGGTTGAAGATGTTGAAGGAGAGAGAATCACAGTAGAGCTGACAGTTTTTGCCAGGTATATACATGAACATTCTAACCCAAGTACAGACATCTGTTCCCAAAGGAGTATGGCTAGCAGATGTAAGGAGTATGGTTCCCAAAGGAGTATGGCAGATTTTGATGCAGCCTGTCCTTCCTTCTCACTAAAATACCCAGGAAGATGAAGAAATTTAAACATTCTAAGTAATGTTAACAAAATGAGACAACTCAATGCCAGAATCTAATGGGAACTGACACAGAGCTGTTTTGGGTTAAAAATCTATCCTAACTTCCACCAAAAATAAGGAGAGAAGGTGCTTCACAACTGTCCTACCACCCCTTCCATCATCTTTCCTTGACTCAGAGCCCACCTGGAGATTCTGTAACCACTCAAAAACAGACTTTCCTTTCTGCCCTGTAGTTGTTCTTCTCTCTATTCCTGTCATCTGAGTTCAAATTAGTTGAATCTTTTAGGATGTCAGTTGAGTAAAATGTTTCTTAAAGCCTATCCCTTGATCCAACAATACTGCTTCTAGGTCTTTATCACTAAAATATAATCAAAGTTATGTAAAAGTATCTAGTTCCAACATAGTTCTAAAAATATTCCGGCCGGGCACTGTGGCTCAGGCCTGTAATCCCAGCACTTTGGGAGGCTGAAGCGGGCGGATCACGAGGTCAGGAGTTTGAGACCAGTCTGGCCAAGATAGTGAAACCCCGCCTCTACTAAAAATACAAAAAAGTAGCTGGGTGTGGTGGTGGGCACCTGTAATCCCAGCTACTTGGGAGGCTGAGGCAGGAGAATCCTGTGAACTGGGGAGGCGGAGGTTGCAGTGAGCCGAGATCGAGCTACTGCACTCTAGCCCGGGCAACAGTATAAGACTCCATCTCAAAAAAAAAAAAAAAAATAAATAAATAAATAAATAAAAATTCCTTTGGCTTGATTTTTACAGAGAAACAATATTTTCAATCTAGAGAATATTTTTGTACACCCACATAATGAAATAATATTCAGCCATTAAAGATGGTACAATAGATACATATATACTAACAAGAAAATATTTGAAAAAAGCAAATTACATGATATATGTCTAGTATAAATTCAGTTTCTGCCATGACCCTCCCACCACCACCACCAAAGCTTAATCATCAAGGTACTAATCATCAAATAAGTAATCATAGAAATTATTTCTGGACAACAGGATTATTTTTACCTTTATTTTTTATATATATGTTTCTTTTAAAATAATAAAATACATCAATGAACATTATTGTAATTTAAAAATTATATTGCAAGTGGCAAGGATCTCCAGTGTCACCACATCAGCAGACAAAAGCACCTTTCTAACCTGGCTGGGAAACGCCAGGTAGAAGGGAAGACTCCGAGAGCGCCCAGCCTACTGCCGGCAGAGCTTTGTTCCACCGGGAGCACGACACAGCCCATCAAGTCTCCAGACTGATGCTGACTCATCTGGAAATCAAATCTCCTCTGAACTGCATCCTCCGGGGATAGTTCAGAAATCCCCATTTAAACAGATTACAAAAAAGACCTGCTGGAGGCCTGACACGGGGTGACACATGAATCTTCAGCACCCAAGAAACAGGCTGGAAAAAGGTCCATTGTCCATTTGACAGAAGAGAAACTGGAGAGAAAAGAAAGCAGACACTCCCTGGGAGAAGGTATTCCAGGGTCTCTCAGGGGGTTGCACAGACCCTGCTAACAGGCCCCACATGGTCTGAGCTCGCCACTGAAAGAAGACACAGGACCGTAGCCACCTGTTATTTCCAAGCTCTGTGCAGGGCTTTGTTGTAACTACCAAAGATTCAAGGAATGGAGCAATGTTCCCATTATTATAATGCTATCGTCTGAATGCTTGTGTCCTCCTAAATTCATATATTGAAATCCTAACTCCCAAGGTGATGGCATTAGGAGGTGGGGCCTTTGGGGGTGATTAGGTCATAAGAATGGAGCCCTAGTGAATATTAGTGCCTTTATAAGAAGGGATCCCACAGAACTCCCTTCTGCCATGTGAAGACAGAGCAAAAAGACTGAGACGCAGGAATTTGGTCCCCACCATACACTAAATCTGCTGGCACCTTAATCTAGGACTTCCAGCCTCCAGAATTATGAGGAAAAAAATATGCTGTTTACAAGCCACCCAGGCATTGATATTCTGTTATTGCAGCCTGCATAAACTAAGAGATATACAGAGATAACTCTACACTTACATCCTACTCTAGTGTTTTCGAGGCTCGTTTACATGGAGTCTTTTTCACCTGATTCTTGCAAAATTTACAGGAGAGAAAGGGCACAGGTTTCATCTTCTCTGCTTTTCAAATGGAGAACAGGGGGTGAGGCTGGAGGCAGGTAAGGAGCGGGAGAGAAAGCAGAGAAAAAACGCCGATGTCCTGGGCATGTCCTCTGGGTTAGTGCTTTCCAGAGTTCTCTCCTCTAATCACAGACCCCGCAAGGCCGTTGCTCTAAAACTGTTCACAGAGGTGTGATGGAGGCTGGGAGACTTTCCTTATGGTTCCCATACTTAGACGATCAAACTTTGAATCCTCAGCTGGCCCCTCACACAGGATCACGTTGCCCCTACTGACTTACACTCAATTAAGTTCATCCAGGCACTCACTGAAACTGATCTCCATACTATCTTGTAAGATAAAGTTTGCATGTGAACAGTTTCTGCTATTTTCCGGCATACTCTGCTCTCCAATATTTCCAATAACAGATAAGTTTGTTACAAATGAGCTTTATCATTTTTTTCTGTTTGATTGTGTGAGGCAGAACCAGACAATTTCTGTAAGAGGTGATATTTGTAATGCCCACCGAGAGGATGTGGCCACTTTAAAATCACAAAGTGGGACTTCTGAACAACATGAGTGGTCAGACTGTGTTGCAAAGGAGGCCCTGGCTGGAAGGAAATTGGACATGAGCTGACAAATACCGTCTTGCCCAGAATCACCGGGGCTGGGGGGCAAAGTCAGCTGAGGGATTAGGATAGGAAAAGTTGTGGGAGCTGTCACATCGTAAAAGCAATCAGATCCCTTAGACAAGGTGTGGCCCTACCCAGCTAATGCTGTTTGGTGTTTGTAACTGAAAGGGAGGAAATGTGTACATTTTTACAGGGACACATATTTCATGCATGTATAGAAACACAGGGGAAATGTGTTGGAAAGAAATAACATCAGAATAATATTTTTGATGACTTTTATTTTCCTCTTTTTGATTATCTGTATTTTATCATTATAATTTATTCTTTTTGTTTTCTTTAAGAAAATAGAGGAAATTGCGAGGCAAGCCAGACCGCCTTTCATAAACAGTCTGAAGCTTCCCCTCTGTAGCCACAGAGGACAGAGCTGAACTTCAGAAGAAATTCACTGTTTCTGATATTTCTGACCAAAGACATAGCCACAGAAAACACTCCTATTTAGCCTCTCCTCTTCTTTTAAGGGAGCTTGGCAGAAATGCAATTGTTTATTCCACGCTCCTTTCAGGATGCAGGATCAACATCAGTACGTCCGTGAGTGACCCAAGTTTTCAGGAGGAAAGAAGCCCTCACTCCCTAGAGTATAGCCTAAGAAGCCCATGGTGCTAAGGCCCCTCTAGATTCTATTTCCAGGAAATTGCAGAGAGAAACTACCGAGAAAATGCAGAAATTGATTTGTGTTCTATGCAAAGGCAATTAAACAGCTAAAATGAGAAAAAAAAAGACTTTTTGTAACTTGCATCTTAGTCCTTTCAGACTGCTATATACAAAAATGTTATACACTGGCTTAAACAACAAACTTTTATTTCTCATGGTTTTGGAAGCTGGAGAGTTCAAGATCAAACACTGGTATATTCAGTGTCTGGTGAGAGCCCCACTGTTGGTTCATAGACAGCTGTCTTCTTGCTGTGTCCTCACGTGGTAGAATGGGTGAGGGAGCTCTCCAGGATCTCCTTTACTAATATATGGGCACTAATCTCACTCATGTGGGCTCCACGCTTATGACCTAATCAATCACCTCCCAAAGTTCCCACTTTCTAATACCATTACCTTGGAGGTTAGGATTTCAATATGTGAATTTTAGAGGGATGCAAGCATTCAATCCTTCGCACACTTTTTACCATTTTTTTTGATGAGCTTAGAAAGAATTTCTGAAGTTTGACTTTTGTACTACTTGGATATGACTTTAGGTACACTAGTCCCCCTTTTCCTGGGGGCATACATCCCAAGACCCCCAGAAAATGCCTCAAACTGGAACCCTACATAGGCTATGATTAGATTAACCAGTTACTTGAACACAGCACTGCGATACCATGACAGTCAGTCTGATAACCGAGGCGGCTACTAAGGACTACTGGGCAGGCGGCGTAGGCAGCGTGGATCTGTTGGACAAAGGGATAGTTCACATCCCAGGCTGGGATTGGATGGAGTGGGATGGTGCAAGGTTTTGTCTCACTACTCAGAATGGTGCATAATTTAATATTGATTAATTGTTTATTTCTGGAATTTTTAAAAATAGTTTCAGACTGCGGTTGAATGCAAGTAACAAACCACAGAACACGAAAGCTTTCATAAGGAAGGACTACTATATTTTTAAGTTCATAGTTATTTGACTCACACTCCATTGAGCAATGTGTTCTTTTCTGTCAATAACATCAAGGTTTCAACATGATTTTCTCTGCGGTGCTCCTGGGACAGAACATCCGCATTCCTGAGTCATGGCTGTCGGATCTGTTTCTCCAGTGACGGGACTGGGTCCATGCTGACTCATGGGACACCCACATCAGGCTCTCCCAGGGTCCAGGGCCATGCACCGTGAGCACGGCTGGCCTGGAGGGCTGACAGTCATGGGTGGCTCTGGGGAATTGGCGGCTCTTCTGCAACAGAACCAGCAAACTTGGTCTCATTAATACAAAGCCCTGAGTTAACCCTCTAGCCAGAGGTGTTTCTCATAAAGTCACTTTGCGTCTGATTCATCTCTTGGCTGGGTTGGAAGGTAAACTTCTCGGCATAGAGTCCCCAGAGGCCTTTTGTAATCACAAAAGAGAAATGTGACAGCCTGAACTGGGTCGAGAGGTCATGGTGAAAGAAAGGCTGGTGTCATCAGCTCAGCACTGACAGATGCCCTCCCCTAGAGGAGAGCGCAGGCACAACTAGTTTTGCCTCCCTGGATTAGCTGTGCTTACATTTTTTTTTTCACCCTCTTCTCATAATTGCATAAAGGAGAGTCCCCAGAAATGTCACCTCAAGCCCCTTTGCAACCTCTTGTATGCACTGAAAATGCTGTTTATTGAGGTACGGTCTATGAGAATGCCCACTTATTATAGAAGAGCTAATTCAGTAAAAGGAAGGATAATGAATTATGATGCATAACGGGGTCCTAGGGGGAACGGAGACAGGGGAGAACAGCCAGCTACCGAGACTTTCCTAATAGATTAGATGTGACAGACTTCAGTTCTTATTATGGGGATGCTGAGAGACACCCCACTATCACTCATACTTCTGTCCCTGTGTGCAATGAGCCAATTTAATAAATGTTGGCCAAATCAGCATGCCTTTTGACTCACACCTGATGTTTGGTTCTCCCACGGCTCTTATTCCCCTCTCTGCTTCGTACTTATTAGGCTAAATTACAACTATTTTTTAATGTAATTAGCCCCCTGTTCATGGATGGAAGTCAGCAACTGTAACTTCTTTACTCTTACAAGCCCTGCAGCACAGAATACCATAACCAGCACATAGTAGGTGTTCAGAAACAAAGGCCTAAAAGTATTGACTGATTGGCTAAATGATATATGCATAATTATATTCCCAGTACAGCTGCTGTCAGCAGCTCCTCCACAAACCTCCCACAGCACAATGCTATTGCAATTTGACTTTTTATGCACCCATAAATGTGAGAGCAATTCGTAAACTGTAAAGCTCCAGTGTACATGAGATGGCATTTCTCGCCCCCTTGCAGGGTAACAGGACCCAGATACAAAGAGCTGCGACTTAAACTTTCATCCTAAAAGCAAACCAAATATGGATTCACTTCTGAGGTCCTTTGCTCTCTGAGTGTATAAAATTCCCCTTTGAGTCTCCTTTCCAGTTTTCTCTCCAAGTTACCAAGAGCTATTTTGGAAGCCACCTAGAAGGGCTTCCCCCCTCTAAAGGAGTGGAGAACATGAGGCAGGCAATAATGAGCAATGAGAAATACAGCTGCGCCTCAAGGTGTGTTATTCTTGATATAATCTCCGTAATGAATATTTGTTTCGGTGGGAGGCTTCCTGGCAATCTAAGTCCTCTTCCTATGTTTGGAGAAATCCTCACCCTGAGAGTCGTGGTGACACATAAGCCCAGAAAGCCCCAGACAGCCCAGAGGCTCACATTCCACAGTGATGCTCTCCCAGTACTTGGTATACCTGTGTCCCCTCAGCGTACTTTGACCAGGTGCTAGAGACAAGATCACTCAGGGATCCCAAAGGAGTCCCTCCAGCAGAAGCAGCGGTGGCAGCTTCAGCCAATATTAGGTCTAGAAACAGCCAAGTCAGTAGGAGCACACAGTGGCAGGGGCCGGTAGTGGCGTGCTCACCTGAGTCTCCTGGTGGCTTGCTGGGACTCTAGTTCTGGCCTCCCCCTGCACCTACTGTTCTCCTATCCTGTTTCTGCATAGTTTCCCTCCCTTCCCCTAATTGCCAAGACTACTATAGAGATAACCTAAAATGTTTAAACAGGGATTTAGAAAAGCCTCAGGGGTAGCACAAGAAATAAACCAGAGGCCGGGCTCGGTGGCTCACGCCTGTAATCCCAGCACTTTGGGAGGCCAAGGCGGGTGGATCACGAGGTCAGGAGATCGAGACCATCCTGCCTAACACGGTGAAACCCCGTCTCTACTAAAAATACAAAAAATTAGTCGGGCGTGGTGGCGGGCGCCTGTAGTCCCAGCTACTCGGGAGGCTGAGGCAGGAGAATGGCGGGAACCTGGGAAGCGGAGCTTGCAGTGAGCGGAGATCGCGCCACTGCACTCCAGCCTGGGTGACAGAGCGAAACTCTGTCTCAAGAAAAAAAAAAAAAAAAAAAAGAAATAAACCAGAGACAGATGCAGGTAACTGAGGGGCCAGGCTTACTGGAGTAGAAGGGCTCTCGGGATCCCAGGGTCCCTTGGGAGCCCATGGTTCCTGTGTTATACCCGAGCAGGGCATCCAATAGACAGGAAGGCCCTGCCTTTTAATAATCCACTGTTGTTCTCTTTCTATTTGTGGCTTGTGTATTATCCTCCATTTCAAGGGAGAAGTCCCATATATGAAGATCTCTCTTCCCATCAGAGTAGTTAAATCTTTGTGGCCACCTCTGAGTATGTCTTTTGGAAAAACAATTCTTGAGTCAAAAGGTATTTGCATTTAGAAAGCTTTTGATGTATGTTGCCAAATTCCCCTCCAAAAGAGTACCAACTTACCAATTTACTCTTCTACTGGCAGTATATTAAAGGGCCCTCTCCCTCAATCCTAGCTAACAGCAGGGATTATTGTTCTTTTGCATTTTGCCAGTTTGATGGCTTTAACATGGTATGCCATTGCTGTTTTAATTTGCACTTGTAAAAGTTACTTATGAAGTTCACATTTTTTTCGTGTTAATTGTCAATGAGTATTGTTTTTTCAATTGCCTATTTGGATTCTTGCTTTGTTTTATTTGAAGGTGTTTGCTTATGTTTCTCCTATTGTTACATTAAAAAGTTTAGCATATTGATAATTTCTTTTATGCCTACTATTTTTGTCATAACATGCTTTGTAACTTTTCATTTACCTTATATTTTAATTTTATTTTTTACTTTGTGGGCAGCCTAATATGCCTCAAATCATCAAAGGAAATGAAAATTAAAACAGTTTCTTTTGCATATCATTGTCTTTTCAATATTAAAATGAAGAACTAAGAACTTCTAGAACTTCTTTCACTCTTTCCTCAGTGGTTGGTTTTCATAATACAATCTGAAGATTTAAAGCTTAGATTGTTTTTATTACATTCCTGTTTTTATATTTTAAATCTTTTATTTAATAAATAACTTTTTAGAAGCAGGATCTTGCTATGTTGCCCAGGCTGGCCTTGAACTCCTGACCTCAAGTGATCTTCTTGCTTTGGCCTCCGCAAGTGCTAGGATTATAGGTGTGAGCCCCACGCCTGGCCATGTTGAATAGTTTTTGACATCTGCATGAAGTCTTCTAAATAAAGGTATGTGTAAAATACTTAGCACAGTGCAGGAAGATAGTAAGCACTAAATCAGTGTTGGCTTTGATATTATTAAGAAATATTTTTGAATTAATTCCATGTTTTAACTGTTTTGTCACCACCAGCTTTATTTTTTGTTTTCACAGAATTTTCTAGTCTTACATTCTTAGTTTTGTTCTACATTTCACATAGAATGAATTTTTTCAACTAATTTTTTTTTAAGAAATATACCCCGGGAAATATATATTTCAGATATCTGGAAATCTTTTTATTGCCTGCACATAGAAAAAGTGGCAGTGGTAACTATTGTGTTACAATAGTTTTCCTTCAACGGTGTTTTGGATTCTCTTATTTTGGGCTGTTTGACATTACACAGGAGAAATCTAAAACCCGCTAACTTTGTATTACTTTGGGTTTAATTTGCCCAGTTTTTATTGGATAGTTATAGAATTTGTGTTTATAAGGGAAATTTTTGCTCTGGTTCTTCTAGGTGTTGGAGTTATTTCATATTTTTCTCTAATGTAATGTGGTAATGTCTTAATTTGCAGAAAATGTGTAGAAAAAAATGTGTGTGTGTGTGATGTTTAATTAGTAATTCTATCTATCATTGCTGTTTTATTGTTCAGAAATACATTTGATTCTTCAGTTTTGGCTTCTGTTCTCTGTCTTCAATACTTTTCTCCACTGCTTTCATCACATTTGCCTTTCCTTAATATCACTGTGGCTCTCTACATCATCCCACTTCGATTTTGATTCTACAATGGAACCTTTGGTTTTCCTTGCCATTTTTTTCTTATTCCAACCATTTGCCTTTAAATTTCATTTTGTTGTCTTTTCATCTTAGGCAATTGTCTCATTATAATTTCTCATTCTTGTTCGATAGAGCCCAGACTATCTTGTAGTCTATTAAAGACATCAAGTATTTATAAAAAATACCTTTTGTCTGGATCCCAGAGGACAACATTTGCAGGCGTCTGCTCCTCTGATACTCAGAGGGGATAAGAACCAGCCAGACAGGTAGATTGTCCTGAGCCTCACATGGGTTCCATCTCCTTTCCAGGGCATTGTACTCAGAGTCTTCCAGCCCAAATCTCATCCCTAGACGGCATGCATATAGGGACAGTGGCCCCGTCCTTCTTCTCAATTGCATCAACTGCATTGTTCTATGGTACACTGGATCCATGGAGTATATGAAAAAGTACAGCCTCCAGCATTCACTATTAACAGGAGCATGACTCTCCCCTCCTTCCTCTTTTGCACACACCCCTATCCCTTGCTTAAAAAGATGACACCTCTGAAGATGCAATTTGACATTGTCAACCACCTCTTCATAACAGCAGATTACTTAAAGAGGGTTACCGTGTCTTTGTGGCATGTAAAAATATGGAATAAGAAAGAGAACTGGGACAAGGCCACTCCCCCAAACCAGCATGCAAATAGACAAACA